>NC_000022.11:49341714-49657789 GCF_000001405.40 Homo sapiens | reverse complement strand
GAGGGGAATCGCAGGGCCCCGGGGCTCCGGCTGGAGCTCCTGCAGGAGACTGGGCAGGTGCCCAGATCAGGAGCCTGATCTGGGGGGTGTGCTGTGGTCTGGCTGTGTGTCCACACCCAAATCTCAGGAGGAATTGTAATTCCCAGTGTTGGAGGAGGGGCCTGGTAGGAGGTGACTGGATCATGGGGGCGGAGTTCCCGTTGCTGTTCTCGTGATAGTGAGTTCCCACGAGATCTGATGGTTTAAACGTGTGCGGTCCCTCCCCCTCACGTTCTCTCTTCCTCTGCTCCGCCATGATGAGAAGCGCCTGCTTCCCCTTCCCCTTCCGCCATGATTGTGTTTCCTGAGACCTCCCAGCCACGCTTCCTGTACAGCCTGCAGAACTGTGAGTCAACCAAACTTCCTTTTAAAATAAATTACCCAGTCTCAGTTAGGTCTTTCTAGCAGTGTGAGAACGGACACGTAGAGGGTGTGAGAGCCAGAAGACTTTAAGGAGAGGGACGAGCTGGGGCCTGGATGCCCGGGGAGGTGGACCTGGACCAGGACAGGTGTCAGCGGGCAGAGATGGGGCAGAGGTGCGGCTGTCTACCCGCGACCGGGGCCATGCCCTCTCGGGCTCGGTTGAGGAGCTGCTCTTCCTCCAGAATGCGCTCGGACGGAACGTTAGGAAGGCCCTGGTGAGTGGCCCCGACCTCCTCCCCCAGGACTGGCTTCTCCGGCCCTCTGCCCTTTCGGGCAGAACAGCTCGTGGCTCTTCCAGGACCTGGGGCTCCATCTTGCAGAACAGCTCGTGGCTCTTCCAGGACCTGGGGCTCCATCTTGCAGAACAGCTCGTGGCTCTTCCAGGACCTGGGGCTCCATCTTGCTGAGGGGTGCTTTCTTGAGACTCCTTAGGGACGATTCTGATTTTCCCTGGAGCTGTACAATGGCGGTTTATCTTTCAAGGTCCCCTGGGCCTGGGCTCCGAGGCAGCCACTTTCCCTGGAGCCCGTGAAGGAGGTTTGGACGCCAGCTGGGCTGCCTGCCTGTGGCGGGGCAGGAATGAGAGCTGGTGCGGCTGGGGCCCCTGGGTGCCTGGTCCTGCTCTCATGACGCCCACCCCTTGAACCCTGACATGGGCGCCCAAGGATTCTCCCCGCAGGCTCGCAGACTCACCTGATCACCGGGCAAGCGCGGGGCGGGCCTGGGGTTGGCTCTGGGAAGCTCTGGAGCTGTGGACCCTGTGGTAACCTCAGTGCCCGTGGCTCACGTCGTGTGCCAGGCAGCAGATGGCGGAGGGTGTCGGGCTCCCCTGGGGTGAGGCTGTGCTGGTCAGGGATGCCTGGAAGGGGGCATTCAGGGTGGCGGGAACAGCGTGGTGGCAGGTGGAGGCCAGGGTGAGGTCCAGGCCCTGCCTCTCCGGGGCTGCAAAGCAAGGCTGTGCCAGGCCAGGCCGCAGGGGCCTGGGGGTCTCTGGTGCTTTGTGGCGCACACCTTTGCCCTTTGCAGCGACTCACGCTCATGCCGTGGGTGGGTTTGGTCTCCTCGGCGGCGCCGTGCTGCGACTCACACCTGCCATGTTACTGGGACATTTGACTTGCTTTTAGTTTTTTCTTCTTATAAACATCTTTGCACATCAGGCGGTTTCTATTTTTTTTTTTTTTAAAGAATGTTCTTCTAGGAAGAGGAGACCAAGACAAAGTGTCTTGAGGTATCTCGGAAAATTGGCTTCTAAAAAGTTGGGCTTCATCTCCTCAATGCTCTCTACGGAGCTTCTGACACCAAGCATGTGGTTACGGCTATCAAATCCTAGGGAATCCCATTTCACCTGTCTTGTTTGCTTATTAATTTGAAAATTAAATCCCAGAGGAGTATAAATGAGTGGAGGGAAACCCGATGCCATATTTGCCTCAGATCGTTTCTATTTCTTTTTAAAGAAAGGAGCACCGCAGACCTTTCCTCCTAAGACGTGCCTGTCCCTCTGGCTGCCAGGTGCCCCGTCCTTGGCTCTGCTGCACGTCCACACTGTACCTGTGCGGCCGTGGGTGACTGGCCATCTTTTGGGTGAATGCTGTTTTAATCTTTGTAAAACGTCATGTGCTACAACTTGCTCTTTTATGTTTTCCAGAACTATCTTTTTGATTCTATAGGTCGGCTTCATTCAGGTTAACCGCAGTTTGTTATTGCACAATATGAAGGCACCAGCGTTAATTTCTGTGCCTTGCAGATGTGCAGGGTTCTCTGTTTCTAGTCGCAGACGAGGCTGGAGTACATGTGACGGTGTGTGTCTCACGGAGCTCAGCGGCAGGGTCTCTATGCGGCCTCCCCAGGTGTTGCACTCACAAGCGACTGCAGACCCTGTTGACGTGTCTCACGGAGCTCGGGGGCAGGATCTCTGGGCGGCCTCCCCAGGTGTCACCCTCGCGAGCGACCGCAGACCCTGTTGATATGCAGATTCCGACACTGGTCCCTGGGCCACACTTTACCCAGCAGAGCTCCAGGGGGTACATCTGGGAGGAAAGTTCCTGGGCTGGAGGTGTGCGTGCTCCCAGCAAACACTGCTCGGGTGCTGGCCAGGATCTTGGAGGTCATCGCCCCAGTGGACGCTCAAGCCAGTTGTGTGCGGGTTCCTGGCTCTGTGAATCCTCCCATCACTCCTATGTCACGCTGTGAAAGTTTTCTTAATTTGCATCTCTCTGCGGTTTAATTTTGGATTTTCAGATGAATAGACAGACTGAGCCGCTTATGATTTTTATTTTAGCTATTGGGGTCTCCTCTTCTGCAGTTTGCCTGTTCATCTGGCCAGATTTTAGGGTTGTTTTTCTTTCACTTATTTCTTTGCAGGAATTCCACATATATCTGGATATTAGTCCTGTTTATGTTGTGTGTATTGCAAAATTTCTCCCAGTCAATGGCTCGTTTTTTAGAACAAATGGTGTGGTTGTTTGTCAGAAAAAACTTCAAATGTAGAGTTAGAGGTATGGAATCTTTTTCTCTAGGATATTTTATTTGTTTTGTTTGAAGAAATCCCTCCCTATCCCATGATTTAAGATATTCTCTTACTAGTCTTAAAGATTTATTTACTAGTCTTAAAGATTTTTTTGATACGCAGAATTTAATTCTGTGTACAGGAGGAGGCAGAGATCTGCTTTTTAACTTTGCTGTTTGCGGAGCCTCAGCACCCCATCCCCTGAGCCCGACGCCATCACGTCTGCCTCTCAGATGAGTGCTGAGCTGCCTCTGGGCTCTTTCATTCCTAGCACCTGACCAAAGGTGGTTAGTTCTGCTAATTGTTCAAGTAGTTCTGGTAATTTGGATTGTTTATACAGATCATTACAGCACCTGAAAGCATTTCTTTTTTTTTTTTTTTTTTTAATTCTTATACCTCTCAGTTACTTTGCTTTTCTAACTGTCTTGGCTATGGCACCCAGCAAACGTTATAGGATAGAGAGAGAGAGAATCTTATCGTGATTCTGATTTTTATGGAAATTCTTACAAAATTTCTCTAGCAAGCAAGCAGTTTCCTCTAGGTTTTGGTAGTTCTTCTGTGTCCATTTAGGCAATTTCTTTCTGTTTCTAGCTTGCTAAGAGGTTTTCCTAATTAGTGGTTGTGGAAACATTGTTTATGCCCCCTTTTTTTTTTCTTCCAATCTGTTGAGCTTGTGGGGCAGGCCGGGTTTCCATTAGCAACCAGACAGCCAGTTTCCACTAACCCTTTACTATAATTCTGACAAACGCATAAGCTGAACATTAAGGAACTGGAGAAGCTGGCGCCTGAGGGGGGGCTGCAATGCCACAACAAACCCGTTAAGACCCTGCCTGGGTTTTCTCAGACCCTGAAGTCTGATCCAACAATAAAAGCATCGTTGGGCCGGGCGTGGTGGCTCACACCTGTAATCCCAGCACTTTGGGAGGCAGAGGCAGGCAGATCACCAAGTCAAGAGATCGAGACCAGCCTGGCCAACAGGGTGAAATCCCGTCTCTACTAAGAATACAAAAATTAGCTGGGCACGGTGGTGTGCACCTGTAATCCCAACTTGGGAGGCTGAGGCGGGAGAATCACTTGAACCCAGAAGGCAGAGGTCGCAGTGAGCCGAGATCGCGCCATTGCAGTCCAGCCTGGGTGACAGCAAGACTCTATCTCGGGGTTGGGGGCGGGGGCGGGAAGGCATCCTTACACATACACCTCCTACCAGAGCCCACTTAAGACTGAGAAACTTTCCAAGGCTCTAGAGAAAGCTTTCCAGACCCCAGACCCTTGCTAAAGATGAGATAGAGATTGAAAGAACAGTCCTGCTGGCAGGTGCAACCCCACACACAGCATGGATCTCAGAGTGTATACAAGCTCTGGAGAGAAACTTGTCACTTGGAGTTGGTCTGGTGAGCTACTCCGACCTCCTCCTTGTACCTGGCTGCTGAAATAAACTCCCTCCTTCCCCAGTGTCTGCATCTCATTATCGGACCTCGATAACAAGCAGCCGGGCCTCGTGCAGCTGAAAACACTTGGACAGACAGTCTCTTTCATCTGCTACTGTAGTGGAATATTCCTATAGGTTTTCTGACACAGGGGCAAAGCCTTCTGATTTATTTATTTATTTAATTAATTTATTTTTTAATTTCTTTTGAGACAGAGTCTTGCTCTGTCACCCAGGCTGGAGTGCAATGGCGCAATCTTGGCTCACTGCAACCTCCACCTCCTGGGTTCAAGCAGTTCTCCTGCCTCAGCCTCCTGAGTAGCTGGGATTATAGGCGTGCACCACCACGCCTCGCTAATTTTTATATTTTTGGTAGAGATGGGGTTTCGCCATGTTGCCCAGGCTGGTCTCGAACTCTTGACCTCAGGTAATCCACCTGCTTCGGCCTCCCAAAGTGCTTTAATTACAGGTGTGAGCCACCACACCTGGCCAGATTTTTAAATAATTCCATTTGCTAACAATTGACTTAGTATTTTTCCCACTTTGGGTCTCCTTCATTCGGTGAGAATCTCCTGTGATTCTCTTCTCTTCATTGTTGTTGTTTTGTATTTCACATGCTGTTTTCTTCTCTTTCTCTCAAAATGGCTTTTTTTTTTTTTTTTTTGGAATCTCGCTCTATAGCCAGGCTGGAGTACAGTGGCGCCATCTCAGCTCACCACAACCTCTGCCTCCCAGGTTCAAGAGATTCTCTTGCCTCAGCCTCCCTAGTAGCTGGGACTACAGGTGCACACCATCACGCCCAGCTAATTTTTATATTTTTAGTAGAGACAGGGTTTCACTATGTTGGCCAGGATGGTCTCGAACTCTTGACCTCGTGATCCACCTGCCTTGGCTTCCCAGAGTGCTGGGATTATAGGAAGTGGGGGCCACCGTGCCCGGCCTCAAAATGGTCTTTTTATCTTTGATTTTTAGAAGTTGGCAAGATGTATCCAGGACTGTTTCTTTCCCCTGTTTATCCTGCTTGGGGTTTGTTGAACTTTTTGTGTCTGTAAGTTAACATTTTCCACCAAATTCTGGAAGTTTTTGGCCATTGTATGGACCTGGCCAATGCACGCCCTTCCCTCTCCACTCCTGTGACGGCCATTGTCCACACGCAGGGTCACTGGCTCTTGGCCCTCAGGTCTCTGAGGCTTGGCTCATTTTTCTTCAACCTCTGCATTTTGCTTTTTTTTTTTTTTTTGAGACAGGGTCTCACTCTGTCACCCAGGCTGGAGTGCAGTGTTGTGATCACGGCTCACTGCAGCTTCGACCTCTCAGGCTGAAGCAATCCTTCTACCTCAGCTTCCCAAGTAGCTGGTACTACAAGTGTGCACCTTCACGCCCAGCCATTTTTTTTTGTACTTTTTGTAGAGGTGGGGTCTCACTATGTTGCCCTGGCTGGTCTCCAGCTCCTGGGCTCAAGCGATCTGCCTGCCTTGGTCTCCCAAAGTGCTAGGATGACAGGCGCGAGCCACTGTGTCCAGCTTTCTCTTCATTTTGAATCCAGCAAATTCTATTGCTGTGTTCTCAAGTTTATTTTCCTTGGCCACCTCCAAAGTGATGTCAAGGCTGTCTAGTAAATTTCTGCTTCATTTATTGCAGTTTCCACTTCTAGAATTGCCATCCATTTTCTCTAGTTTTCATTTCTCTGTTGAGATTTCCCATTTATTCATTGATATAATATTTTCCTGTACTTATACATGTTTTATTATTTGGATATACTTTATTTTTTATTTTTATTTTTTTAAGATAGTTTTTCTCTGTCACCCGGGCTGGAGGGCAATGGCGCGATGTCAGCTTACTGAAACCCCTGCCTCCCGGGATTGAGAGATTCTTGTGTCTCAGCCTCCCAAGTAGCTGGGATTACAGGTGCCCGCCACCATGCCCAGCTAATTTTTGTATTTTTAGTAGAGAGGGTTTCGCCATGTTGGCCAGGCTGGTCAACGGATCCACCCACCTCAACCTCCCAAAGTGCTGGATTACAGGCGTGAGCCACCACGCCAGTCACCTTATTTTAGTTTTTTAAGAACGTATTTATAACAGTTGCTTTGATGGCTTCTTTTGCTAAATTCACCATTTGGGTCCACTTGAAGTCAATGTCTATCAGCTGCCTTTTTTCCTGACTGTGGGTCAACACTTCCTGTTGTCTGACAATTCTGGGGTAAAAAGCTGACGCTGTAGGGAATGCGTTCTAGTGACTGAATTTCCTTGTGTTTTCCTGGGGGTGGTTTTTCGTTTTGCTTGGTAGGTGGTGAGCTGTTCCGGATTCACTCTGCAGACTTGGTGTTCCTGGCTCCAGGGGGCCGTTTCGTCCCCGCTCGGCCTTGGTGGCGCCTTGGGGCTGCCCTTCTCTTTAGCCCGGCTCCTGATGCTCTCCCCGCTGCCTGTGAAACTGGGCAGACATGGGCCTAGCCTTCCCACTGGATTCTTCATGCCTGTGGTTTCTGCTCTCTCAGCGTCTCAGCCAGGGGATGTGCTTGGTTCAACACAGCAGCTGACTCGCGGGTCTGGCCTGTGAGGCTCTCCTCCCAGGAGTGAGCTTCTCCTGGCCTCGCCTGCGTTGCCGCCGGCCCCAGGTGTCTTCCGTACAGTGCAGCTGTGGGTCGGGCTGGGTTTATGCCCAGAATTTGGATCTCACTCTGCGGCTCCCTAGGTATTCCTCACCATGCTCCTGCACCCTGAATGCTCACCTCTGACTCTTTCACCCAGAAAGGTTGTGGTTTTCCTCCACCCTTCTCCACACACAGAGCCGCAGAGCTGGTGGCACCCTCTTTCCAGCGGACGCTCATCCGAATGGACTCCTCTGGCCACCTTTGTGCACTGGGAGCCCCCGGCGTCGTTCAGTCTGTTTAATCCCCTTTCTAGGATTGTTGGTCAAGGAAAGGGCCGTGCGTGCGTCTCACTTGCCTTCCCTTATCTGGAGTAGTCCCAGCACTGTGTTTAGTTTCTGTGGGACAAGGTCCTTCCCCATTCATTTTTTCCAAAGCATTCTTAACAACTTCAGTGTATTTTTTCGAGGTTCAAATTCACTGTTGTGTGGAACTGCATTAACACGAAGGTGTTCGAGTCCGCCTGAGCGCCTCCAGAGCACTGCTTGTGTGATGGTTCGTGGTCTTTCCCTTTAGTCCGGTGGAAGGCCTTGGTGTGTCCAAGAGCCTGAGTTTTTTTAGTGAGGTAGACAGTGTAGCTCTGCGTTAAAGCAAATCAGTTGGGGGAAAAGACTGTTGGTATTTGCATTGGGCTTTGTTAACTTACCCTTGAGCTGAGAGTACATTTCCCATCAAGTTATCTAAGACAACTACAAAGATGCTTACTCTGGATCAATTTCATCCTGGAGTGGCATCCACTTAACACCAGGAGCCCCCGTGCTTTTAGCTGAATAAAGGTCAAACCGTCAGGCGGCTGGATGGACAGCTCATTCATCACTCGGCGACAGACGTACCCAGCGCTGGCCTCCGTGCCGCGCGGGAGGGCCACACAACAAAGGGTTAATGGATGCGGGGAACCGGATTTCACTCGATGAGCACATAATGATGCCTCAGTGCCGTATTTCCATTTTTATTCAGTTTAGAGGATGGATATTTGCGATTCTCAGCTCTAATTACCCCATTTAGGATGTTCGCCTGGGAAACCGTGTCTTGCAGGGGTCAAGACCACCCTTTGCAAGAAATCTTCTCCCTGATTATCTGCAGAAGTAGAAAAAGTGTCCCTGATGGAAACTAAGATGGTAAATTAATAGATGACAGGCCCCTTTCCAATAAATCCCAATAAATCATGTGCATTTTAATCAGCTCCTGTCTCCCATGATGGGGAGAGAAGAAGGTGGCAGGTGACTCTCTCGGCTGCCTGTCCCCCAGTGCCCTCCCTGGCTGTGCCTGGGGTCACCAGCGGCTGAGTTCAGTGTGATTAATTAAACCTGCTGCTTTGCTGCCGTGCCCTCCAACCCAAGGAGCAGATGTTGGGGACTCCATGGGTCAGCGTGTCGTGGATGGGGTGGCCGGGAGGCGTGCGTGCTGTCTACTTGCAGTGGATGAAGACGGGGAAGTTTTCAGGGACTGGAGGGGCCGTGGCCAAGGGGCTCAGTGCAGTCTTGGGTGTCCCCAGCTGCTGGGAGAGTTTTATTTAGTTATTTATTTATTTTTGAGACAGTCTTGCTCTGTCGCCCAGGCTGGAGTGCAATGGTGTGATCTCGGCTCACTGCAACCTCTGCCTCCCAGGTTCAAGCTATTCTTCTGTCTCAGCCTCCCAAGCAGCTGAGATTACAGGTGCCCACTACCATGCCCAGCTAATTTTTTGTATTTTTAGTAGAAATGGGGTTTTACTGTGTTGGCCAGGCTGGTCTCGAACTCCTGACCTCAGGTGATCCACCCGCCTCAGCCTCCCAAAGTGCTGGGATGACAGGTGTGAGCCGCTGTACCTGGCTAAGTTCTGAGAGGGATGTTCTGGACACAGCCCATGATGTCCAGGGGCAGGAAATGCAGACTCCCGGGGGGGGGGGGGCGGGAAACGCAGACTCCTGGGGGCATGGGAAATGCAGACTCCCCGGGGGCATGGGAAAATGCGGACTCCCTGGGGGGTGGGACACGCGGACTCCCAGGGGCGGGAAATGCAGACTCCAAGGAGCTGATGGACACACTGTGTCCCTGTTTCTGTACTGGGGCTGAGTGCTCGTTGGAGAAGCCCCCCCACCCCAAGGGGGAACAGCATCCTACAGATACCCCTCATCCTACCGCAGGCGTATCCCTTGGAAACTCAGGGCACTGAGCCTGTTTCAGACAACACTTTGGGGGTCTTCCATGACCCTGAAGTCTGAGGCCTCTGCAGATCTGGAGAGGATCAGGGTGGGAGCTCCCCTCCATGTGGGTCCCTCTTGGAGCCCCCAGTTATCCAGCCTGTAAGATGGCCTTGGCTTCCTACACCTCTGTGGCCATGCCTGGCTCAGAAGGGTGTCCAGTCTCCTCTTAACGAAGCCGTCAGCAAGGGGTTCTTTTCAGGATGAGCTGCATCCAGGCTGCGGCTCGGCCACGGTAACAGTGTTTCTGTAGCTGAGCCAACGCGGGAGGAGCAAAGTGCCAGACAACGTCCCTGAACACTGACTGGAGGGTCTGGGGGCTGGGCAGGCACCCCTGAGCGGCCCTGGCTTGTGGGCCGGTTACTCATGGGGCCCTCACAGGAGTTGGGGAGGCTCCAGGGAGGTAGGTGCAGGCTGGGCGGGTTACTCATGGGTTCACCGTGGGGCCCTCACAGAAGTTGGGCGGGCTCGGGCCGCATAGATGGGCCGCCCTCCCAGGGGCTGTGGGGGCCCCAAGGCCTTGCGGAAAGGTTTGTTCGCCAACACTACCATCTACCTCTCTCTATCAAATGGGCCCCTCTGGCTCAGCAAAGTAGGTGGGCACCATCCTTAATCTGAAAGGGGCAGGCAAGGGAAAGGCTGAAAGTGACCAACTGTCCTGGAAAGGTGTCCTCATGGGCCCATTGCATCTGCCTGCCCTGCCGCCTGGGGGAGCCCTGGGGTTGGCTGCAGGGAAAGCAAGGTATGTTTCTCAGCCCTTTTTATTTGCGGATGCAGACTCGCCTGTCTCAGGAGGCAGCTGTGTGGACTGGGAGTTGGTGATGCCTCCCACCTCCCCTGGGCCCTCTGGGTTGGGATCCCCCTGTGTTGGGGAGGGAGGAGACCTGTCCCCTCTCCTGCCACTTCCTTCTATAGGGCCTGCAGTGTGTGTAGCTGGTGAGATATACAACCTGGTTTTCCTGGATGAGAGACCCTCTGACGTATACTTCTTACTCCGTCCTTAGTGCAAGTCCCTGGGGCACAGCAGCCCCTTCAGGGTCTGGTTACACTGCAGGCTGGGAGGACACGCAGAGTGGGTGTGGCTCCGAGTGGAGGGGTGGAGGTCGGGTTGCTGCATACACTCACTCCAACATGGTCCAAGGTGGGGCTCTGTCACCTCTTGTCCCCTTCCCAACCCAGCTCCCACGCCCTCTGTCTCCCGGCCCCAGCTCACATCCCAAGGCTCCTGGAAGCCGCCTCTCATTCCTACAATGAGAGATCTGGGCTTGAATCCTGCCTCTGCCTCCTTTCAGCTCTCTGGGTTATCTCTCTTTCTACCTTAGAGCTTCCAGGGCCCCTGTACTACCCCCTATAGGGCATGCAGGTGGGAGGATGGCACAGGAGGTGCTCTGTGAATGTGCCCTATGCCCCTGGGCCCCAGCCTCCTCTGCTCCCTCTGGGCCCTCTCCCTGAGGTTGTGCATGGTCCAGTCCAGCACCTGTCTGCCCCACTCACGGGGACTTGGGGGTGGGGCCTGCCTCAACTGGAAACTCCATGGAGGACTGGCTCCCCTGTCCCTCCCACACCTGGGGGGCCTGGTGTCACAGGGGTGAGGCTCTCGTCTCCCTGCCCCGGGGCTCATTCTCTGAATTCAGGATGACTCAGTTTGTAGAGCCACTTGGCAATGGGAGGTCAAGATGCAGAAGTTACAGTCTGTCTCCCTCCCTCCCTCCCTCCCTCCCTCTCTCTTTCTTTCTTTTGTTCTGTAAAATTCCTCGAAGCACCCTCGATTCAGTCCTCTCTGTTGTTTGGAAGATGATCCGAGTTCTTAGTTCCATGTTGGATATGGGCACACACCTGGCTGGCAGATGCTGTTGGACTTACCTCCTAGGGCCATGTGGCTGGGGTGTGAGGGCATGGGGTCGGCCTCATCTGTGCACACGGGACGGTGATCCCATCCCCTAAGCCCCCAAGACACCACCTGGAGGGGACAGGACAGCTAGAACTGGCCTCACAAACACAGTGTGACCACCGTACCCAGCTACAGGACCTGGGGCATGCAGGGGTGGGGAATGGCAGGGGGTTAAGAGTCCATGGACCTGGATTCAACCCTCATCCAGGACAGGAGACTCTGGGTGTGGCTTTGACATGGGACCTAGGACAAGAGCAATGGCTTCCCCAGGCCACGGTGGGCACTTGTGGGTTCCATGCTGTGCTGGGCTGGCGCGGGACTCCTGTACTTCCCATCAAGCTTGGGCAGCTCCAGTAAGGTCAGTGGACCTGGCCATCAGCCCCATGTTACCAACTCTTCTGCCATCGTGGTCCTGGGGGCGAGGCTCTCATGTTCCCTCCACCCCAGACCGAATGGATTGTCCCAGAAATGCTGTTATTCCAAACACATATTTATTCCACGCATTAGGTTGAGAAAGTGTGGTCTGTGCTTGCTTCATCCATCTGATAATAAATATTCCTAATGTATTCCTACCTGACACTTGAGCAGGTGCGGAGCAGGGTTCATTACCACCGTGTCCCTTCCAGCATCCCTCACCATGACATCCTGGCACCGCTGGTTTATTTCCTGTGGACCGCTGGTTTATTTTTGTTTGTGGACCCTGCTTCCATGACCAGGGCCTGATTCATGGTGCTGCAGATGGGGGCCATTTGCTCTTTCCAGGGTGCCCTGGCGGGGCTGTCCACAGCGGGTGGCATTGCAGATTTGAAAAATAACCAGGAGAATATTGGGCTGCCCTCTCTCTCCCCTAGCACATTTTTGAAGCACTGTCACTCTTCCCCTTTTCTTTTGGGAGGAGAGGTTCTAGGCATCAAGGCTAGGTGTTTCTCCGTTCTAGAAATTCCTTGATCTTCTAGGTTAATGGAGAGGTTTAACAGCAATATTAGAGACCAGCTGCCCTCGGGCCGCTCCTCTGCCACACGCTGCTCTCTGGGTTTGCAAGCACTATGTCACTTCATCCTCTACTAGCCCTGATAGCACCACATCCCCCAACTGTCCTCCATCCCTCATTGCCCATGGACCATCCACTACCCACCTGTCATTCCATCTACCCATCCATCATCCACTATCCACTCACCCACTCATCATTCCATCCACCATCCCCCATCCACTATGCACCCATCCACCATACACCATCCACTATCACTCGTCATAACACCTACCCAACCGCCATCCACCATCTACCATCCACCCATCATTCCATTTACCAATCCACCATCCACTATCCACCCTTCTACCCATAATTCCATCCATCCATCCACCCATCCACCATCCACCCATCATTCCATCTACCCATCCACCATCCACTATACACCCATCATTCCATTCACCCATCCACCATCCACCCATCATTCCATCCACCCACCCACCATCCACCCATCATTCCATCCACCCATCCACCCATCATTCCATCCACCCATCCACCATCCACCCATCATTCCATCTACCCATCCACCATCCACCCATCATTCCATCCACCCATCATTCCATCCACCCATCCACCCATCATTCCATCCACCCCTCATTCCATCTACCCATCCACCATCCACCCATCATTCCATCTACCTATCCACCATCCACCCATCCACCCATCATTCCATCCACCCATCATTCCATCCACCCATCCACCATCCACCCCTCATTCCATCTACCCATCCACCATCCACCCATCATTCCATCTACCTATCCACCATCCACCCATCCACCATCCACCCCTCATTCCATCTACCCATCCACCATCCACCCATCATTCCATCTACCTATCCACCATCCACCCATCATTCCATCCACCCATCATTCCATCCACCCATCATTCCATCCACCCATCATTCCATCCACCCATCCACCCATCATTCCATCCACCCATCCACCATCCACCCCTCATTCCATCTACCCATCCACCATCCACCCATCATTCCATCTACCTATCCACCCATCATTCCATCCACCCATCCACCATCCACCCATCATTCCATCCACCCATCCACCATCCACCCATCATTCCATCTACCCATCCACCATCCACCCGTCATTCCATCTACCCATCCACCATCCACCCCATCATTCACCCCATCATTCCATCTACCCATCCACCATCCACTATCCACCTATCCACCTGTCATTCTATCTACCTATCTACCATCTACCATCCATCGGCAGAAGGGCAGGAGGGCTGTGAGCTCAGGGCTGGGCTGTGGGTGCAGGGACTGCCCATGATGAGGTCTCTTCGATGACCAGGGCCTCGGGTGGCTGAGGTTGACTGGAGTGGGCAGAGTCAGAAAAGCCTAAAACCCCACAGAATGCCTGGCTCGCTCTCTGTCCACATGGCCCGCCTGGCCCCCATGGTGGTCACCATCCTCCGTCCCCACACCCACTGACCCACCCCCATCTCCAGACCCACAGTCTGTATGCTTGTCCAGGCATCCAGCTGAGCTGGGTGGGCAGAGGGGTCAATGCTGGGGGTCAGGGTGAGCAGGGGATGCACTTTGGCCCTGGAGGGCGGAGCTTGTTGGGGACCCAGTAGGTGCCCAGGGGCCAGGTCTGGTGGCCTCTGTGGGGGTTCCATGGGTGGAGGGAGGTGAGCCTGAAGGCTGTGGGGCATCCCACCAGGCAAGGCCGTTTCTGGAGTCTTCTGGAAGCTCTGGGCCTTAGGATGGGGTGGGGGCAGGTGTGTGGGCTGCAGCAGGTGGAAATAGGACCCGGGTTCCTGTAAATCAAATGGGCGGCGGCATTGCTGGTCAAACCCAGTTCCAGAGCGAATTACCCAGAGCTACAGATGCAGTGGGAGAAGCCGAGGGCCTGGCTGGGACACTGGCCCTGCTGGATGCCCTGCACAGCGCGGAGGCAGCCTGGAAGGACAGATGGCCTGGGACGCGTCCGCAGCCAGGTGAGTGACTGGCCCTGCTGGATGCCTCACGCGGCGTGGACACAGCCCGGAAGGAGAGATGGCCTGGGACTTGTGTCAGCAGCCAGTTGAGTGACTGGCAGTGCTGCCCACGCCTTTGGCTGGGTCACAGGGACCCCTGCTCACCCCAGCTACCCAGCTGGGAGCTTCCGCACCAGCCTGAGCTGTGTGAACGGCCTGGAAGGGAACTGGGCCTGGCTCTTGGCTTCGGTCATTTCTCAAATGCTTTGCTCCCCAACCAAATATGGCTGCCTGCCTCCCCATTTCAGCTGTGCAAGGATTTGATTTAGAATTCCAGCAGCAGGAAATCAGAGATGAGTCTGAGAACAAGGGGGCATTGACGTTGGGCTGGGCAAGCCCCTGGGGGGGCATGTGGGTGCCCAGTGCTGCCGGGGGAAGGAACTCACACCTGGGTCAAACTGTGTGTCCAGGGGGTACTGTCTTCTTCCTGTGGAGCTCCAGAACCTGGGAACTGGGGCAGGGCCACTATGGGCCACCCCTCTGCTGTTTGGGTAGGGAAAACGAGGCCCTGAGAGATGGTGGTCTGCTCCCCAGCTGGCGTCCACTCAGGCTCTTTGGCACTGAGTGAGAGGGCCTGCCCTTTGTGGCTCGAGCCTCTAGGAGGCTTGGGGCGCCTCTCAGGGAAGTCTGGATCTGCAGGCAGGAGGGACCATTGCCTGTGGGAGGCGGGACCCAGGGCTCTCTGTCCAGGCCCGGCCACAGGGTTTGCTGACCTCTCCTGAGGACACTGTCCCCGTGGGAGGGGCGCGGCCAGCTGGGTTCAGAACCACAGCTGAGGGGTGGGTGGGGCTGCTCCAAACTCCCTGGTAGGTAAGCATTGGTGATGCTTTCATGAGGATCAGAGGCCTAGCAGCTCAGGCCCTTGAGCAGGGTGCTCAAGCTCTATGTGCCTCAGTTTCCTCTCCTGATGTCCTGGTACCTGGGAGTCGCTGGTCATGGGTGTGTGGGGACTGATGGAGACAGACAGATGAGCCTGTGCTGGGGTGATGGAGGAGTTGGCAGAGGGGACCCCTCAGTTCAGCCCTGACACAGTGTAAATGCGGAGCCCAGGCTCAGGGGATGGCCACCTGCCAGCACTTTCTGTAAATACCCTGAGTCAGTCACTCACGCTTGGCCCAGGGGCAGGCGGCACATCCTCATGTACTGTCAGCACTGCGAGGGAACTCGGGCGCCACTAGATGCCCAGCCCTGGCTTCCCTGGGAGCTCAGGTTCCAGACACCAGACAAGGGGGTGCTGAGATCCAGCTGGACTGGCCCTATAGGAGGCTGGAGGGCAGTGAGTCTCAGAACTCCACACTGAGGTGTTCACACCACTGGGCAGATCTACTGAAACCATCAACCTCCCCTAAAAACGGGGTCCTGTTTACTCCTTGGGCCCTTCCCTCCTGTCCCTGCCTCTTGTGCAGGTGACACCCCCCACACACAGGGCCACCTGTGCTGTCCAGGAGCCTGCCTATCTGGGGGGAAGGTGCCAGGCGACTCTCGAGGCCGGACTTCAGGCCTGTGTCCAGTAGGCTGTCCTGTGATGGGGGCTGAGTGCTGGCCCTGGATCCCCCCTGGACCCACAGACAGTGGTGGGCTGCCCAACCCCTCCTGAGGCCCTTGAGCCTACGCGCCTGGGCTGAGTCTCAGCTGGGCCCAGGGGAGCTGGATCCTACTCGCCTAGGGGAAGTTTCCAGGTGGCAGGTGGACCCCTGCCAGGTAACACAATCGCACCAAGGGACTGAGAGCAAGGTGCTGGCCTTGAGCAAGTATGAGCTTAAAACGTGACCATCCTTATGTATGTGTTTAAAACGCCACCATCCTCACGGCTCAGATGGCACTGTCCTGTCTGATCGCCTCCCTTCCCCCAGCATGCCAGGTCATTTCAAGAAACTGGATTTGAGGCTCACATTCCAGGTGTGCACCATTGCCTGGGTGAGGGTGAGCCCAGGAGGGATGAGCGTGTCCTCCCCGCAACATCTACACTGATTATTTTACCTGATTGGATTCCCGGGCCTGCGATGGGGCTTCTCGCTGTAGTGTAGTTGCAGGAATGCCTGGGGACCCTGTGTGGATAGATCAGACATGGAGCAAAATACATTTTCAAAATTAGGGTAATAAGCCCTTCCAGTCCCACTGAGCAGAGGAGAGGAAGAGAGGCTCCATCTGGCTTTTACTGTCGCCCAGCCAGTCCTGTGTTTAGGAACGTCACAGAGGGACAGCATGGGTGCACCTTTTCTGCTTGCCGACTGTGGGGCCAGGGCCCTCTGGGGGCCCCAGGAGGTCCCTACTAGAGTCTCTGGCCATGATGGAGGAATCTGGATGCTCGTCTCCGGGGCAGACGAACTCTCTTCTGAAAGGCGGTTGTTTGCATTTCAGGTGGGATTTCCTGGGGACACCGGAGCAGACATGATGACAGTGCCCTTGTCCCTGGGGTGTCTGTGGGCAGGCCCCAGCTGCAGCTCCCACACACGTCTGCACCGTCCTGCTCCCGAGCACAGGGTCTAGAAACAGGAGGGTGTGGGCTCTGTCCTGGATCAGCAGGTGCTGATGGGGGCTTCTGTGGGCAGGCGTCTTGCAGGCCCATGGTCAGGTGCAACCGCCAATGCCAATTGATTGACCAATCTAGGATGCATCTTCCTCTGACCAAGATACGGGCCGGGCAGGGAGGTGCCAGCCTGTGGAGGCTGGGGGTGGGCCTGGGTGCCTTTGGCTCCTCCTGCAGCCTGTGGCCTGGCCTTGGCTCTCTCATCCAACCGTGAGATGTCCTCATCCGCGGTGGGGCTGGAGGAGCTTGCGATGCTGCTCCAGTGCCTTGTGCGTGTTGGGACCACTCCGCATCCTGCCAAGTCGATGGCGGGTGTCTTCGCACTCCCAGCTTTGCTGGGCAGGAGCTCCACACCTGCTGGCCAGAGTTGGCAGAACTGGAGGCCTTGGCTGGCCCACATCCCCTGCCAGGCTCCCGACACTGCCATGGGACCCTGGCAGCCTGGAGCCGGTGGCTGTGGGAGAAACTCTCAGACACAGGTGTGACCCGAGCGTCCTGGCCTGGCCTGCGGCATCAGCCGGTGAGCAGCTCCAGTGTGCTCAGCAGTGGGGAGGTGTGGGCTCTGGAGGGGTCGGCACGGCAGGCCCTTGACCTCCGTGCTGTGGCCACAGGGCTCCTGTGTTGGCTCAGTGGCAGTCTCCACGCTGTGTCCTAGAGGGTGGGCTGGATGGGGTGGCAGCCCAGTGGTGACACGCAGGCCTGAGGGAGCCCCCTCCCGAGACCCGCACCCTCTGGGGGCCTCAGTGCCATGGGGGCTGCCTGTGCCTCTTCTATGGTGTCCCAGCCACGGCACCCAGCCACATGTCAGCTCTGGTCCTTATTACACGACACTGGCAAAGGTGCCTCTGCAAGATCTGAGGAGAGAGGGGCCCACTGCAGGGCCCAGAACCTTGGCCTCCTGGAAGCTAGGCTGGGGCCAGTGGACCAGGTCGACCTGTCGCATGGCAGCCCCACCCCTCTCCCAACCTGTCCCCACGGCAGCCCCACCCCTCTCCCGACCCGTCCCCAGGGCAGCCCCACCCCTCTCCCTACCCGTCCCCATGGCAGCACCATCCCTTTCCCGGCTGGCCTCTGCCTCCTCCCTTTAGTTGCCGTAGGCCGGATGCTCATCCTGACTCTGGGGGCTGGGGGCCCTGCACGTGGCTCACTCTGGGTAAGGACCCTAGAAGGCAGGTGGGGTGGGAGCTGCCCACACTGTGAGGGCAGCTGGCTCCCTGGGAAAAGCTTGATTCCCCCTGGACCCAGCTGGCCCCAGACCTAGGCCTGGAGGGGCTGCCCTCCTGGGGGCCTTTACAGACTGGGGGTAAGCAGACCCTATCTGTTCTGGGACACGGCCTCCCCCACATGACTTCCCTGCTGACCTGCTGACATTCCGGTTACTTCTGGCTGCCTGTGGCATGGGCACCAGCCACCAAGGACCTCATCCTAGGCCCTGCACTTGGGAAGCAGATTTGAAGTCCGACCAGGGCCTCTGTGTCTGGAAGCCAGATGCATGTCAGGGTGCCACGGAAGCCACACAATTCCCATGTGGTGTTGTGACTCTGAACGGGCAGAGGAGGTGCAGAGGGGCTGTGGGTCCTGCCTGGGGGCTCCAGGAAAATGTTAGGATATGACAGGCCACCTGGGTTTGAGGTTGTTTGGCAGATGAGAGACACCAGGCAGGGAGTTCTGGAAAGACAGACCCACCCATGACAGGCTGGGAGGCAGGGCGGGGTCCGAGGTGTTCTGGGGTCGGGGTCCTGGGGTGTGGGTGGGGTAGGAAATGACAGGGGTAGAGAGGGGGCGTGAGGGCAGGGGGATGGGCACGGGGCCCTGGGACTCCTGAGGTCCACCTGTGCTGGGTCCCTGCCCCTCCCTCCCCAGGAGCCTCTGTGTGGCTGCAGGGAAGGCCGGACTCAGCCTCAGTCCCTGCCAGTCTTTGATGGCAGAGGCTTAGCTTGATTTAATGAGCTCTGCTCTTTGTCTTTAAACCCTATCAAATGAATTGATTGCTTATTCTGAGATCTATGGAGAGAGCTGATTTGAATAATCGTGGTGCGACCGCCCGGGTCAGGGGCGCTGGCGGCCACTGGCGTTCCAGGCAAGGCCAGACTGCAGATGAAGCGGGCTTTATCCGGCCTGTGGCCTGGGCTGGTGCCAAATGATTCATTCTTTGCCAGGACCAAAGGACACTTGATCCGCCTTTTCAAGCCTGACATTGAACAATTCAAATCAATGGATGGGATTACCGGCTGATAGAAATGGGGGTTCTCCACGCTCAGAGAATGACAACAGGGGCTGCTGGGGGCTCCGTCCGCCCGAAGAGCCGTGCTCGGGAGATGCGGAGGGGAATGAAGTGGAGCAGGCTCACCTTTGGACGTTTTTAATGCATTATTTCAGAGTAACATATTCTTATTTTAATTAACTTTTGATGTTTCTGAGCTTTCAGTTATCCACAGAGCCGAGAGAACCACTCCGCCGGCTGGAGCAGGCTCTGTGATCCTAGGATGTGTTGTGGATACGCCTTGGGGCTCGTCACAGGCTGCTGAGCCTCAGTTTCCCTTCTCACAGAGCCTCCTCTCTGACTGATTCTTGCGGTGACTCCCCAAATCGACTGTGAAATCAGTTTTGAGTACCTTGAAAAATTTCTAAGAAGTTATGATTTTGACACAGAAAGTTAGCTAAATAATGCAGCAGGCTAAATCACATCTGGAAGAACTGAGAATTCGATCCAAGAGTCTAAACACTGAATCAGCAAGCGGTTTCTCTGGCTGTTCTGTGGCCTGTGTTTTGGGGGCACCCGGGGAGGTCTCAGAGGCCGCGGGGACCTGTCCTGTTGGGTGGTGTTGGATGAGGCTGGGCTGATCATTCAGGGAGCTGATGGCCCAGCCACAAGGGGCGGCCCTCACAGAGGATAAACTCGAGACCCAGGAAACGGCGAGAGCTGTCAGCGGGGAAAATCCGTGGCTGGAAAATCCAGGTGCCCAGACAGGGTTCCCGGGGCAGCTGCCCAGCAGGCAGCGGGTGGGTCTCGGAGCCTGGACTCTGGAGCCATGTGGCTTCCTTTGCATTTCTTGTGCGACCTGGGGCTTGTTCCTGACTCCCGTGGGCCTCCGTTTCTTCGTCTGTAAATTGGGGACACTGAAGATCCCTCCCAGGGTGGCTTCGAGGCTCCACTGGGGACACTCCTGTGGGACCTTAACAAGAGTCCGGGCAGGAGGCGCCGTCGTGGAGCCCATCCACGCTCTGCTTCTTGGCGTTAAAACATGACCATGGCTGGGCAAGTGGGGCCGTGCAAAGTTATCTTTAAAACATTTCATCAAAACATCGAACATTGTCTTGCTATTGGTTATAATGTATAAGGAAAAAGTAGTGAAGTCAATAGTGTAATTTAAACCCCTAGAACCTTGAGCACTAAACCACTTCGTTCCCTGTGGGACCTGCAGCGGGAGGCGTTAGAGCAGCGCTGCCTCCCCGTCCTGCGGCCACACAGAGCGCACTCCTCCCAGGCCCCGGAGCTGCCTCGCGTCTCCCCTGAGTGTGGCCCGGCCTCCAGCGTTCTGTCCTCAGCACCGTCAGTGCTGGGAAACATCTCCGAGGGCCTGCAGCGAGAAGGCGTCCAGGCCTGGCCTCACCCGGGGCAGGGCGGGTGCTCAGGGAAGGGAAGCCAGGCTGTGTGTATCCCTGGGAGGAGGCTGAGTGGGTGGGCTTGCCGCCGTGTCCCTGGGCTACACTCCTGGGGTGTCGTGGGGTGGGTTAGCTCCCGTGTGCTCCTGTGCTGGCAGCAGTGGCGGTGGGGCCCTCTTAGTGGCCCTCCCGGAGGAGGGTGCAGCGAAGGATGCTCCCGAGCTGCTCCTGGTTCTGAGGGTGCAGGCGTCCAGGTCGATGCTGTGCGAGTGGGCCTGTGTCTGCACTACCGCTCCCCCGTCCTGCCTCAGATTGGAAAGAGACGGGTGGTCCAGCTGTCTCTGCAGAATTCCCGTGTGCTACGAGCAAGGCATTGGTTTGTGGCTTTATCTGGTTTGTGTCCAGTGGGTTTTAATGACTGACCCTCTGCTTGCTGGGAGGCCTTCTGAACAGCAGCTTTGGAGAAGTCAAGAGTGGTCGTCCTGGGTCCCGGGCCCAGTGAGATACCAGGGGGTCCAGCTCTGAGGAATCCCCTGAGCCCAGGCCCCTGGCATGCGGCTGGAGGGATGTGGCTGGGCCTCAGGTGAGGCAGGAGTGGGAGGCGGGTGAGCCCGGGGCCAGCTTCACAGCCGGACATCCAGACAGAGCCCTGTGGACCTGCGTCTGTGTCAACACCGAGGGGCGGGTGGGGCGAGAGGGCGGTCACCGAGGGCAGGATTCTGGAAGCTTCTGGGCAGCGTCAGAGGTGCCTGTGATCATCACGGGCTTGGTTTGTATCACAGCTGCCGCCAGGATGCACTCAGCAGTAGGCCGAGGGTGCTGCCCAGGCCCGGGCACTCCTATGGGTGGGGACCTGGGCTGGTTCCTCCCCTGGACACACAAGCCCCACCCCCCCTTAATTTTTGCCTGAGGACCTTATTAGGGTCTTTAGGTTGTGAATGTGAGTCTGAATCCAAGTAGGGAAAAGCACTGTCCAGATTTTCTGACCCATGCTTTCCCGAGGAAGGAGGCCTCATGGGGCTTGGCTGCTCCGGACCCTGGGGGAGGCTGGGGGCCTCCCTCCCCCGTCGCCTTTGCAGGGTCCTGTGTTGTTGGCGAGGCATTCCCCACATTGCTGCGCTTCTTTGTGACCTTGCGTTTCTTTTGTGACCTCGGCTTCATGGGACCTTGCATGGTGGTCAGCTCCTCACTCCCTGGGGTGCAGAGGAGGAGGCTGAGGCTCTGCAGGGAGCCCCCTCCCCAGGGCGGCCCACCCTGGGTGGGGGTCTCCTCGCCCTCCATCCATCTGCATGGCTGGGATGCCCTGGATCCACCTTTTGTTCACACTCACTGCCTTTTCAGCTGGTTGGTTTTTCTTCTACCAAGGATATGTGCCCTTAAAGAAAATGGTCCCAGTGCAGAAGCAGGTGGTGGGCTCGCTGGTGCCTCGCCCACCTTCTGTGGACAGGACCTCCATGGCCTGCCTTAAGCTTCTGGGCAGGTGCGTGTGGACCCTAACCCCATTGCCCTGCGCCCCCACCTGGCTACGGGACCTCCCCTTCTGTCGTCCTGGACCCTCCCCTCCCCAGGCTCCCTCCAGAAGGTCCAGCCCCACCCCCACCCGGCTACAGGACCTCCCCTTCCCTCGTCCTGGACCCTCCCGTCCCCAGGCTCCCTCCGGAAGGTGCAGTCCCACCCTGCACCCCTCACCCCTGCAGCACCCCAGCCCCGCGGTGGACAGAAGCCATGGAGGTAAGCCGGCAGCTGTGCCAGCATCTCATTTCAGCGAGAATGCAGCTCAATTTGAGTAAAGCCACCGGCCAGGAATCCATACTTTCCCCATAAACCTCTGGGCTGGCAGATGTCAATACTGTCGGGATTGAGGTGCCATTCAGACGTCAGTCCTGTTTAGATGAAAATGTCTAATCAGAAAAACATTGGGGGCTTAGAAGAGATGGACCAAACAATTCCAAAACAATTTATCTTAGAAATTAATTCCAAGGAAAACTTTACCCAGTGGGGCTGAAGCTTTAAAGTTTTATTTTCAATTTATTAAAACCCTGACTCCTCGTGTTCTGCGCGAGTCTGGGCTGAGCCCTGGGTGGCTCAAAGTCAGCGTGCTCCTGGGTGGGATTCTCTGTCCCCCGATGGGATTCTGTGTCCCTGAGTGGGATTCTCTCTGTCCCCAGGTGGGATTCTCTGTCCCCCAGTGGGATTCTGTGTCCCTGAGTGGGATTCTCTCTCTATCCCCTGGTGGGACTCTGTCCCCAGGTGGGACTCTGTGTCCCCAGGTGAGATTCTGTGTCCCTGAGTGGGATTCTGTGTCCCTGAGTGGGATTCTCTCTCTGTCCCCAGGTGGGATTCTGTGTCCTCAGGTGCAATTCTGTGTCCCCAGGTGGGATTCTGTGTCCCCAGGTGGGATTCTGTGTCCCTGAGTGGGATTCTGTGTCCACGAGTGGGATTCTCTCTCTGTCCTCAGGTGTGATTCTGTGTCCCCTGGTGGGATTCTTTGTCTCTGAGTGGGATTCTCTCTCTGTCCCCAGGTGGGATTCTGTGTCTCTGAGTGGGATTCTCTCTCTGTCCCCTGGTGGGACTCTCTGTCCCCAGGTGTGATTCTGTGTCCCCAGGCAGGATTCTGTGACTCTGAGTGGGATTCTGTGCCCATGAATGGGATTCTCTCTCTGTCCCCAGGCAGGATTCTCTCTCCATCCCTGGGTGGAATTCCGGTGTCCCCAGCCACCCAGGAAGCTACACCCTCTATGTTGCACATCCCAGACACTTGTGCCACCCCGGGTCACCTTTGCTCTTGGCGACTTGTTCTTCAGCCCCCGTCACGACTTCCAGTGGTCGGCAGAGGCCCGTTGGCTCCTCCTGGGTCTCCACGGTGGCCCCGGGCGCTGTCCTGACACCCACGCCCTGAGCCAGATCCTTGGGTTGGTTCTCAGCATAGGCTGCCACCCAGTCTGAGCCGGCCCCTCGGCTGCACACCCAGAGAGTGGCTCTGGAGCCACAATGTTGCCAAAGAGCTGTGTGGCCTTGGGCAAGATGCCAAACCTCTCTGGGCTCCACTGGCGTTAGCTGTAAGGTGGGATGGTGGTGATGGTGCCCGGCTGGCAGAGCTGTGATGAGGATTAGAGGTGCAAGCAGCTCAGCTCATGGAAAAGACTCAGGGCTGATGGGTGGAGACACATCCATGGACCCCGCAGACCCTGCCAGGAGCTTGCACAGACCCCACCAGGAGCCTTGGGGGCAGGTTGGAGTGGCCCAGGTGCTTGGACAGCTCTGGGTTGGCAGCTCACTTGGAGGTGGAAGTGCTGGAGGAGGGGAGGCCCCAGATGTGCCCCAACCCCACCCCAGGCCCCGTCCCCAGCGAGGAGGAGAGTGAAGGGCCGTCGGCCCTCCCTGAGCGGGCACCTCCCACTCCTGCGGGCCTGGTGGTGAATTATAGAGAAAATGTGCTCTCGGCCTGACTGTTAGCTTTGAGCTGCTCTGGTTGGGAATTGAGTTTCTTAATAAACAGGAAAATGAAAAAAGTTTTGAGCTACTAGAAATTCAAATAAATTCTCAGTATGTAATAAATGGAGCTATCTGGAAAAATGAAAGAGAATTTGCTCCCTCAGACCAGGGGCCTCTTGCCTTAAACCTGAGTGACTTCACACATGATTCGGGGGGCATTTATTGAAATGGGGGGCAACTGAGCTGCCATCAACATTTGAAAAACACGGTGGGGCGCAGTGGCTCATGCCTGTAATCCCAGCACTTTGGGAGGCTGAGGTGGGTGGGTCACTTGAGGTCAGGAGTTTGAGACCAGACTGGCCAACATGGTGAAACCTGAATCTACTGAAAATACAAAAATTAGCCAGGCGTGATGGCGGGCGCCTGTAATCCCAGCTACTCAGGAGGCTGAGGCAGGAGGATCGCTTGAAACTAGGAGATGGAGGTTGCAGTGAGCCGAGATCGCACCACTGCACGCCAGCCTGGGAGACAGAGCGAGACTCTGTCTCAAAACAGCAACAAAACCCCCCCCCCCCAAAAAACCCAACAACTTGAAAAACGAAGGAAGGAAGGAAGGGACCTGGCTGTCATCCTTTTCTGAGATCCTGGGCAGTCCTCGGTGCCTTCCCAGGGTCCAGACTCCTTCACAGATTTTGAGGGCCGAAGGCTGTCTCCACCTCAGTTTCTGCTGCTGGCTCAGCGCCCTGTGGGCAGTGGGAGCCGGTGGGGGGATCAGAAAGAGCAGAGGAGGCAGGGAGGCCAGGACTGGGGAGGGACGCAGCTGCCCGTGGGCCGGACCCTGTCCCCAGCGTCTGCCTCCTGCGGGGTCCCCGAGGGCCCAGGGCTTCCTCCAGCAAAGGGAGGCCTCTTGCAAGGCCTGGCCTCCGCCCAGTGGCTTTGCAGGGATGGGGATTTTACTGCCACAAACACCAGAGCCAGGGATTGTGTTTCTCCCGCTGAGTGGAGGCTTCCAACCCAGCAGGTGTGACGCAGCTCGAGCGGGGACTCCAGGCCCTGGAGGATTCCTCTCCCCAGGACCTCTTGTGTGCAGCTGGATTGCTTCCCTCCGGTTCTGAAAACAGCCCCGCAGACCCCAGGCCGTGCTCAATGGCAATGAAACCCACTTCTGCTAAACGCAGGAGCGCCTATTTGGAGGAAGATTTTTTCCTTGAAATGATTCCAACTAATTTCATGCCTTTCGTGTAAGAATTCTTCGAACAGCCGTGGCCCTCCTTTCCTCCTTTGTTCCTGCAAACAGCTCTGTTTCCTCCCGAGGACCCGAGGCCTCAGGCCTCCCCCGACACCGGCTCCCTTGGCTGCCGCGTCCCGGCAGGTGGCGCTGAGCCACCGCCTTTCATGGCGACGGTGCTTCCCGCGATCGGGCTCGCTTAGATTTTCCTCTGACGCAACAATTTACAGAATCCACTGTTGATTTAGGGATCTGGGGAGCCTAACTTAAAATTAAGTAAATACATAAACCAGGGAGCCAGTGTCTTCCGAACATGAGCGTTCATCGGCACCTCGGTCCTCGGGTGAGGCCCGGCCCCGGCTGCTGCTGGCCGCTGGTGCCTGCCGGACACCCTCGCTCCGGGAGAGCAGGATCCCCGGCCTTGCGCGGAGCAGAGGGACGAAGGCGCCGCAGCCCAGGCCTCTCCCAGGGTGGTCTTGAGACACTTCCCAGACTGGACACGGAGCGGGAGGACCGAGACGCACGCCCTCCCTACGGCCTGCAGCGCCTGCCTGTGCAGTGAATGGAGGGAGGGGCAGAATCGGCTGGAAGCTGAGTGCATTCAGGGCAGGGTCCACACCCTGCCTGGCCCGAGGAGGGGCTGCTCCGATCTGGGAGCCGTACTCTGGTGGCTCGGGGAAGGAGTTGGGGGCTTTGCACCCAGTAAGAGATCTGCATCCTGGTGTGCCCCGAAACACGCGTGTGCCCCAAAACACCTGCACCTGGCGTGCCCTGAAACACGCGTGTGCCCTGAAATACCTGCACTCCGTGTGTCCTGAAACACGTGTGCCCCGAAACACCTGCACCCGGCGTGCCCCGAAACATGCGTGTGCCCCAAAACACCTGCACGCTGTGTGTCCTGAAATACGTGTGTGCCCCAAAACACCTGCACCCGGCGTGCCCTGAAACACACGCGTGTGCCCCGAAATACCTGCATTCCGTGTGTCCTGAAACACATGTGTGCCCCAAAACACCTGCACCCGGCGTGCCCTGAAACGCGTGTGCCCCAAAACACCTGCACGCTGTGTGTCCTGAAATACGTGTGCCCCGAAACACCTGCACCCGGCGTGCCCTGAAACACACGTGTGTGCCCTGAAATACCTGCACTCCGTGTGTCCTGAAACACATGTGTGCCCTGAAACACCTGCACCCGGCGTGCCCTGAAACACGCGTGTGCCCCAAAACACCTGCACACTGTGTGTCCTGAAATACACGTGTGCCCCAAAACACCTGCACCCGGTGTGCCCTGAAGCACACACATGTGCCCCGAAATACCTGCATTCCGTGTGTCCTGAAACACGTGTGCCCCGAAACACCTGCACCCGGTGTGCCCTGAAACACACGCGTATGCCCCGAAACACTTGCACCCCGCGTGTCCTGAAACACACATGCTTGTGCCCTGAAACACACACACACTGGGGTTCAGTCCCGAGGCCGGCTGGACCCTGAAAAATCACATATTTCAATTTATCTTCCAGAACTGCTAATTACAAGGACATTTTGGCACAAGAGTAATTATTTTTGCTTCCCAGTTAGCCCAGATCTTCAGGAGAAGGTGGGCCCGCGTGGCTTGGGTCCAGGGCCTCTGTCCTCAGAGCCAGGTGCTGTCCGAAGCATCATACCCACAGGCAGAGCAACCGGCCTCAGTTCAAATCTTCAGAGAAACAGAGAAGAGCATAGCACTGTTTCCCCAGAAGGATGCGTCCCAAACACTTGCCTTGCCAAGGAAGGTGCTCAGGGTGAGCCCCTCAGAGGGGCTGGTCCCAGCTCAGATGCACCCTGGGGCTTGTGGAGCTGTAGATGAGGCCAGATTCCTTCCCCACAGGAGTCCCTATAGGGCATGGGGTCATGGAGGGGCACACTGGCTCCTGCCTTCCCTGGGGGCTCCAGAGGAAGAGGGAGGATTAGCTGCTGACTCCTGGGCTTCTTTCTGGGAAGGAGCCTGTAGCTCCTCAGAGCCCATGGGGCAGCCCCTTGTGGGAGCTGGAGCCCCTGCGGAGGGTGCCCAGGGCCCACGTGGTGCCCGCCTACTCCTTGCTGGAGGGAGGCAGCTCTGCCCGTGCAGCTGCTGCAGAGGCCTGGGATAGGCAGCTTCGTGGAACCCAGACCCCATCCAGGGAAGAGCAGAGTGCTCAGGGCCCTCATTGTTACCCCGTCTGTGACCTCGCCTCCCAGGGCTGCTCCTGACTGTCCCAGCACCCGCTCGTTCTGGGCCCTTCTCCCGGGTGCGTAGATACCCTGGTATCTGTCCGGCGTCCCCACACTCCAGCTCCGATTCCAAATCCTCCCGCTGAGTCTGCGCAGAGCTTGGTTCCCTGAACTCCTCCCCCCAACACCCAGGCTTCTTTCTGGTCTTGCCGGGGGTGGTAGTGGGGGGCTCCTCCCCAAGGGCCAAGGGTGCAGCCATCCCAACCCAGACTCCCCTCCCACCCCTCCAGGTTGTGGGGCACGGAGCCTTGCTGAGCTTCCTGGGAACAGGGCCCAGGCCCCGGCCACTTTCCCGGGAGCTCAGAGCCGCTGGTCTCCATCGGGCTCCGGGCGTGACTACCAAGGCTCGTGGTGGACGTTTCTGTGGGGTGGGGCTGTGGGCAGGGGGATTGCAGAACTAACCCCACCCTGAAGGGACAGGGACTGGTCTGTGGCTCGAGGTCTCCTCTGGGGACTGAAGCAGGGAGGAGGCCTGGCCAGCACCTGCCCTGTGGACGCACAGGGGCCGCGGGCATTACCACCCTCTGTGGCTCAAGGGCCATATGTGTGTCCAGCAGAATCTAAGGGGTTGGAGAGGCTGCCTGGAGCTGGGCCAGGGAGAAGGCTCTGGAAACAGCACATAGGGGATTAAAGCCCTGCCCGTGGGCCTCACAGGCCGGAAGGGATGAGCTCATGAGAAAACAGTAGATCCATCTGAGTGGCCCAGCAGGGAGCCCACGCCTCCACCTGCCAGGGTGGAGGCTCACACATGTTCTGAGGCTGGCCAGCCCTGCACCCCAGCCTCCCTGTTCCAACCCAGCCCTGCACCCCAGCCTCCCTGTTCCAACCCAGCCCTGCACCCCAGCCTTCCTGTTCCAACCCAGCCCTGCACCCCAGCCTCCCTGTTTGAACCCAGCCCTGAACCCCAGCCTCCCTGTTCCAACCCAGCCCTGCACCCCAGCCTCCCTGTTTGAACCCAGCCCTGAACCCCAGCCTCCCTGTTCCAACCCAGCCCTGCACCCCAGCCTCCCTGCTCCAGCCGAGCCCTGCACCCCAGCCTGTCTGCTCCAGCCCAATCCTGCACCCTAGAATCCTGCACCCTAGACTCCCTGCTCCAACCCGGCCCTGTACCCCAGCTTCCCTGCTCCAGCCTAGCCCTGCACCTCAGCCTTCCTGTTCCAGCCCAGCCTTGCATCCCAGCCTCGCTGCTCCAGCCCAGCCTTGCATCCCAGCCTCGCTGCTCCAGCCCAGCCTTGCACCCCAGCCTCGCTGCTCCAGCCCAGCCTTGCACCCGAACCTCGCTGCTCCAGCCCCGCCGTGCACCCCAGCCTCCCTGCTCCAGCCCAGTGCTGTTTGTTCTGTGACAGGGTCTGAGAGGAGCACGGACTCTCCCCATTCTCTGCCTCCTGCAGGCTCAGTGAACAGGGACCCACACAGCAGCCTCCAGTCCAGCCCAGGAGGCATTGCTGGCTCTGGGTGGGGCTCTGGGACCTCCAGCCGCTGCCCATCATCTTGCTCTGTGACCTCCAGCCGCTGCCCATCATCTTGCTCTGTGCTCCTCCCACTCACACAGCGGAGCCCCCCACATGGAGCCCCTGACTCTCCCAGAGAGCCTCACGCTCTGGAGCCAGGGCTGCTGTCATTAAGACCTAGGACTAAAATTTGGCAGCAATTAAAGGTGTGCTTGCTGCCGTCCACCCACAGCTGTCAGGCTCCGCCAGAGGCCGCGCGCCTCCTGGATGCATGCACAGAGCTGCCCCTGGGAATCCTTCATTAACTCGAATTACGGAGTAAGTCTCAGCGCTTGACCCATGACCCCTGCCTGCCTGCAGAGAAAATGAAGCATTCAGTCCTAATTAGGAGGCCTGGAAGGCGGGGTGGCCTTCCCTGCAGGGAGCTGGCCTCCACCACCCAGATTCCTGAGTGCATCAGTTCAATTAGGAGGCGTCTCCAAAACACACTCAGTTGTTTCTGGCAGCAATGTGTCCGGTTGGCAACGACGCTTCCTGTATGCACAGCCGGGGCGTCATTGGGTGGGTGCCCTTAACTAGGCCATTGTCGGAGCTGATTGCAATTTGCTGAGTGAGGATGAGCATGGGAGCCACGAGCGCAGACGACAGTGGCCGCCCTGGAAGGCAGTGATGGGGGGTGTTCCCACAGAGGGCGAGGTCTGGAGGACTGAGAAGGACTCAGTGCCACCTGCAGTGCTTGAGGCAATGCTCTCGTTTCAGGGGGTGTCCGGTGCAGTCAGGGGGCCGGGGAAATAGGAGCAAAGATATTCTGGGACAAAGGGTTTGGCTCAAGTTAAAGGAAATGCTACACTTAGGGTCCCCAAAAGTGAGAAGCCAATTTACGACCCAGCTGCCTCTCATCCTGGAGACTTAAGCGGCCGATTCTCTGTCGGGTGGCAGATGTGGGGGTCCCTGCCTGTAGGAGGTCTGTGGGCTGATCCGAATCCTTTCCATGAGTGTCAGAGTGGGCGGTGTTCCCTTTGTCCCAGCCGGTCCCAGAGCCGGGAGCCGCGGTCCTGGAGTCATGGGTGGGCCGACTACAAGGGGCCCCCCTGCCTCGCTCCCATCCATTGTGCATCCTGGGCCCTGCCTGGGGCCTGGAGTCATGGGTGGGCCGACCGTGAGGGCCCCCCCGCCTCACTCCCATTCATTCATTCTGCATCTTGGGCTCTGCCTGGGCTTTTGTACCCAAACAGCTGCATGTGCCATTTCCCTGTCCCTTCCCTGTGAGGGCAGTGTGGTGACATTGCTGGGCTGAGGAGCCTGAAACAGGACAGGAGCCTCCCAGAGACCTGGGCAGCTCAAGCCGAGCTTCCTGCCTCTGCCTCCTCTGGGATCTGTGAGCCTGGTTGGCGTGAGGGCTTCATCCCCCACTGAGAGAACCTGGAAGGCCTCCTCAGCCACCTGCCCCTGAGTTCCCTGGCAGGGATGACCCATGTTCCTGGGCGGTGCCCGGGGTTGACCCGACCATCCCTCCTGTCTCCAGCTGCCCTGTCTCGTGCCCTGTTGCCCATTCTCTGACTCTCAGCTTTTCCTCTCCAGCCCCTGGGGGGGCACCCCTGCCCTGCCTTTGTGGGGGTCCCGAGCCCTGACTCATTCTTTCTGAGATTCCAGCGGCGGGCGGGACCCTCGTCCAACAGTCCCCCAGGGATCCTGTATGTTCGCCTGAATTCCTACCTGCCTGGGAAAAACTGGAAAGGAAACCGTTTACATCCAAAACGTACAGTTTGGAGTGGAGCCTGTGGATGGAGCCCCCTGCATGGAGCATGGGCCCCTGGGTGGATCCCCCTCTGCACGGAGCGTGGGCCCCCCGGGTGGATCCCCCCCTGCACGGAGCGTGGGCCCCCGGGTGGATCCCCCCCTGCATGGAGCATGGGTCTGTGGATGGATCCCCTGTGCACGGAGCATGGGCCTGTGGGTGGGTCCCACCTCATCCTCGCTGTGGATGGCCTGGCTGGGTGTCCTCGTCCCCCACCCCTGCCCTCCTGGTGGGAGGAACTCCCTCCTGTCTCCTTGGTGTGGCCGGGCTGAGTGGTGCTGCCTGACACTTGCCTTCCGTCCGCAGGAGATGTTTGAGAAGGAGCCTGTGTCAAAGTGTAGGCATCAGATGAAAATTTACCTTCTTGTTACCTATGTAAATGGGCCGGGCTCCACGAAGTCCTTGGCTGAGAACGGTGCCACTGACCGACTGAGCTCCCGATCGTTCTGAGAGAGGCTTATGTGCACAGTGGACGTGGAAGGCTTTGATGATGTTGGTGAAACTCTCTCTGGTGAGCTGGGAGGCAGCCTCGCCATGCCCACCTCTCCGACCTTGCTGTGGATGGGTCACAGGTGATCCCACTCTGCTCAGGAGGAGCTGGCCCCCCAGCCTGACATGACCACACCCTGGTCTCCCCACCCTGCGCCTCAGTGGGTGGGTCAGGCACATCCAAGCCCCTCCCCTCCTTAGAGGCTGGACCTGGAGCCGCACTGCACTGTGGGGTCAGCTCCCACCATGCTGCACAGGCAGGAGCAGACCCCTCCAGATGGTGCTTTCAGGCCCACGGCTCTGTGGCAGGGAAGCCCAGTGTCTCCCTGGGATGGGCCTGGGCCACCACTGCAACCATGTTTAACAACCGCAATGTCCCCTGTGCAGCCAAGGGGGGTGCCGGGGGTGGGTCCAGAGGTCTTGGGACAGGGGCAGGAGACAACAGGGGCTGGGGAGACCCCCCAGGGTGGGGTGGGGTTGGGGGCCCTGCTGTCAGGCAACACCCATTCAGGATTGCTAGTCTCCCTCCAGGGGACTGACCCCTGATCACCACGCAGTGCCCCTTTTATCCCTGATACTGGTCCTGGCTGGGATTAATCACAACTCCTGTGTTTTCCGTTAGTGTTAGCGTGGTGTATCATTCTCCAACCCTTTCTTTTCATCTATGTGTGTCTTTATATTTGGAGGGAGCTTCTTGTGGATGACATAGAGTCAGGTTTTTTTTTCTTTTTTTTTTTTTTTCGAGGAGTCTCTTTCTGTCACCCAGGCTGGAGTGCAGTGGTGCCATCTCAGCTCACTGCAACCTCCACCTCCCTGGTTCAAGCGATTCTCCTGCCTCAGCCTCCCAAGTAGCTGGGACTACAGGCACCCGCCACCCCACCTGGCTAATTTTTTTTTTTTGTACTTTTAGTAGAGATGGGGTTTCACCATCTTGGCCAGGCCGGTCTCAAGCTCCTGACCTCGTGATCCTCCAACCTCAGCCTCCCAAAATGCTGGGATTACAGTCGTGAGCCACCGCACCTGGCCCAGTCTCTCTCTTTTGATGGATGCACGTCAACCCCTGACTTCTGAAGCGACCATCCACATAGCTGGATTCCTGTTGGCCACATTGGTTACTGTTTGCTGTTGCTCGGTCTCTGTTTCTTTTTTTGTCTTCCATTCTTTTTCTGCCTTCTCTGGTTTTGATTGAGAATTTTGTATGATTTCATTTTCTCTCCTCTCTTAGCAAATCAGTTACACTTCTTGTTTTCTTTCTACTTTTTTTGTTGGTTGTCATAGAGTTTGCAATATACATTTACAGTGAACAGAGAGGTTCACTTTAAATAGTGTGGTGCCACGTCACAGGCAGTGCAGTTGCCTCATGGCAGAGTGTTCCAATCCCTTACAACTTTGGTGTCATTCATTTTACTTATCCATAAGCGATAATCGCCAAATATGTGGTTACTATTATCCACTTCTCCATTTCTCCATTTATTTCTCCATTTATCCGTTATTTCTCCTTGACTTTAAGAAGATAATTTAATTGGGTACAGAATTATAGGTTGTTGGTTTTATCCTTTCAACACTTTAAATGGATACAAACGGTTTATGGCTTGGGTTAGTACTAAATGTGTAGCATCGGTGGCTCAGAAATGTCGCCCCAGAAGGCACTTCCTCTGGTGGGAACAGGATGGGAAGTGGGCCAACAGGGAGAGGGTCCTAAATGTGGGAGCAGGGATGGGAAGTGGGCTAACAGGGAGAAGGTCCCAAAGGTGGAAGCAGGGATGGGAAGTGGGCTAACAGGGAGAGGGTGCCCAAAGACCTCACAGCAGAAGGTTCCTGGAGTGAGGCCTGGTGCCCAGGCAGAGATTGTCCCAGGATGGCGCCGTCAGCCCGGCGTCAGGGTGGCCGTTTGGGGGCTGGTGGCAGCTTTGTGCTCCTGTCTGCAGACGCTGTCAGAGATGGATTGGGGACAATCCTGCGGGGAGGTGCTGAGGAGGGCAGCTACGACAACTGGCCCCACACCAGGTGGGTGTCATCAGAGGCAGCTGTGATAAATGGAGGGGCGAAAAATATATTTACAACTGGGCAGTGTCCAAGGCCATGAGATTTATGTTCCTCTGGTCTTGGTGGCCTCCTGCGTCCCTGAGGGCTCTGGAGGGAGCCTGGCCGGCCTCATCAGTTTTTTGTGCTGCGTCTTCCAGGAAAAGCTGGGGGCCGCTGAGCCCAGGCCACCAACGGGAGCTGTGGACCCAGCCTGACCCCTGGACCGAGGTGCTTTCAGGGCACAAGGGGGATGCGGGAGCCTGTGGCTGCTGTTGCTTCTGCTCTCAGTTCATAAACGCACGCTGTGCACATCCCCTGTGCTTGGCAAGGGGCCTGGATAGAAGGGCCAGTGAGGAGATGCCCATCCTCCAGGCACTGTGCCTCCTCCCAAAGGTCAGCACCCCGAGCATCACTGTGCTCTCCCCACAAAGGTCAGCAGCCCCGAGCATCACTGTGCCCTCCCCTCAAAGGTCAGCGGCCCCGAGCATCACTGTGCCCTCCCCACAAAGGTCAGCACCCCGAGCATCACTGTGCCCTCCCCACAAAGGTCAGCACCCCGAGCATCACTGTGCCCTCCCTCCCAAAGGTCAGCACCCGGAGCATCACTGTGCCCTCCCCACAAAGGTCAGCACCCCGAGCATCACTGTGCCCTCCCCACAAAGGTAAGCACGCCGAGCATCACTGTGCCCTCCCCACAAAGGTCAGCACCCCGAGCATCACTGTGCCCTCCCCACAAAGGTCAGCACCCAGAGCATCACTGTGCCTCCCTCCCAAAGGTCAGCAGCCCCGAGCAGGGCCCTGGGGAGAGGCCAGGAGAGTGGAGGATGGGAGGGAGAGTCGTAAGCGAGGGGCCCGGACTTGAGTAGGGTCTGGGTGGCACTTGAGGGTTTCTGCGAGGTGGACTCATGGGCGGGAGAGCGGCATCCCCAGGCCCTGGGAAGCTCAAGGTGCCAGGAGTCCTCGGAAGGGGCGCTACATCTGTAGGGGGCCTGGCTCTCGGTTGCGGCCCCCAGGCATGGGACCAGCTTGCTCTCAGGCCAAGGGGAGAGGGGGCAAAGCGCCCACAAGGCCAGTGTCTGTGACCCTGTGTCCCTCACCCAACGTGGGACCTCCCAGAACCTTCCTCCAGTGGCACCAGTGACCGGGGGCAGCTTTGAGGTGGTGGGAGATGATTTAGAGCAACAGTGGGCAGTTTGCCTACAGCCACCTGGCTTGACACACTTGACCAGGTCACCACAGATGTCCCTGAGCTCTGCAGCACGTGGGTCCAATACAGATGTGGCAGGTTTGTCTGTTGGGGAGTGGCCTGGCTGGCAGCTGTGGGGAGAAGGCCAGGACGGGGCACAGCAGAGGCCTCACCTGCCCAGCGGGGGCTCTGGGGCTGGGGTGGCTCCTCAGAGATTGCCCAAGTCCAGAGCTTGCATCCTATGCAGCCGTCACGGGGCACAGGGCCCCTGGGTTACTGGCAGGTCCGTCAGCCATAGCCACTGCCCCATCCAGGGCCTGCTGGATTTGCAGAGGCCAGACTTGGGAACTGACTGGGGGAGGACCAGGCCCCTCTGCACCCCTCAGGATTTATGTGGGGGCCGGCCTCTGCCGTCCACCTGGGGCGTGACAATGCATTTGATTCACTGTCTCTCTGTGTCACTGTCTCTATGTCTGTCTTTATCTCACTGTGTCTAGGTTTCTGTCTCTCCCACTGTCTCCCTTGCTCAGCTGGGTGGGAAAGGGACATTCTGGAAGGTTCCACATGGTCTTCCCTACAGGTCAGGACAACTGGGCTATTCCAGTGACGTATTGGGGATCTGGGAAATGACCTCTGGGAGTTCCGTGAGCTCCGTCTGGAAGGTCCCCATTCATTTCCCGTTCCCTGCTCTGCTCTATGGGGGCGCGGCGGGGCTGCAGTTCCCTGATGCTGGCGTCTGCTCTGTCCCCAGCCCACTGCCCTGACCGTTTGGACAGACCCTTCCTCCCCAGCGCCCCTTGGGAGGGCCAGGGGGACCCTTGCCCAAGGCTTCTGTGCATTTAGGGTTCTTTCTTCCCCTCTCCTGTCTGGATTCTGCATCTGGAACCTGCCCCAGGGGGGAGGCTGCGTGGGATGCTGGGTTTGCTGGGCAGCTGCCTGTGGCCCCAGCCTCCGTCTTGACTGCCTTAGTGGGGTGGGTGGAGCTGCTGCCCACCTCTCCTGCCCCCGGGGCTTGGGTGCTACCGGCTTTCACTCCCACCTCTGTGGGGCAGGCCCCGGTACACCACTCAGTCTGCTGCTCAGCCCCACAACGGCCCTGCCTTCCTTCTGACAGTCAGGCCCCCTTCTGCCATCAGGGGCCCGGCTCTGTGATGGTGTCTGGCCGCCAGCCCTGCCCACACCGCCCGGCCACCCCAGCTTCCAGGGAGGCTGCTGCTGCCCACTCTTCCCAGTGGCCAGTGCAGGGTCTCCTGGGCCCCCGGGAGCAGGTCAGCCGGCAGTGTCCAGCCTTACACCACGCCTACCAGCACGGTCACTTCTCAGGGCCTTTGGTCCCCGGCGTGGGCTGAGCTGGGCTCTCGCTCTCCTGCGTCACTGGCATTGCTTATGTGCTGTGCCTGTCTCCCTTGACGGCTCTCAGCCCTGCAGGACCATGGACGTCCCTTCCCTCTCTCAGCAGGTACCTTCTGGAAGATTCCATGTGGTGCACTTCCAGGGACAGGCATGTTCAGGAGCAGCTGGGGGCAGGCCCTGGGGTGGGGAGGTGTTACCCGAAAGGTGGGACCATGCATGGCCCCTAAGCCGGGGCCTCCAGCTTAGAAGGCTCAGAGCAGGGCCTCCACCACCTTCCCCATCCTGAGGCCTGGGTCCCCGTCCTTCACCACCCGGGCCTGGCTGTGGCCCAGCAGGTCTGGTGTGCACGGCGTCTGCCCTGTGGCTCTGCGGTGCTGGCCGTGGCCTGAGGCTGGGGTTCGGCTGCAGTGCTCTTTGTGCAGGGGAGGAAGAGGAGGGTGCCCCAGCGAGTGTGCACATTCATCCAGCATTTCGGGGTCGACCTGACCTTGGTGGAGGTGGCTGGTTTTCGCTGAGGGCATTTCCTGAGGATTCGGCTGCAAATGAGTGCCTCCGCTCCTGGCAGCCCTTGGTCTGGGGAACCTGGCATCCACCGTGGCTGACCTGTGTGGTCGGCCGGCCGCTGTGGGGCTGTCAGTGACCCAGCTAATGACAACTTCAGCCAGATGCCTATTGCCTCAAATGCCTGGAGTTCGCCTTCCTTCTCCTTTTTGATTAATATTTATAATTAGAATTGATCAAAAATACGGGTCATGTTCACAGACTAGAACCACGCCCGTGAGGATAGCTCTGTGACCGGGCCATGGGGAACACACACAGACAGCAGCTTCCCCAGAATCCCCCGAGGGCCCACAGCCCCGACCTGGCTCTTTCCTCCCTGATTTTCCCCCAAAGGGTGCAACAATTCCTGTTTTCCCAGCTCTGCAATCTTTCCCATCTATCAAATGGGAGTTAAGATGCAATTACTTATTTATGAATGAAATTAGAAGAGGCATATTAATAAATTATGTGAATCCATTTGTTTCTAAAAATATGATGGAGGAATTAGTTGACATATTAGAAATGCTGTGATTTTTATATTGTGATTACTTGTTCTTTTAAAGCAAAATGCATTTTAAACAGCTTAGCGAATTGTCTAATTAACCACTTTGTTTACATAAAAACATGCCTGGAAAGCGGGGGGAGCTTGCCTCTGGGATTAATGGGAACAGTGGGAAAGTTCTTGACAGGATCTCTACCAAGGAGACAATTCCTGCTGAACAGGGAGCAGGTGCTGGGGTCAGTGAGTTTGAGCCACGTTTGGTGTGAGCTCTGTCAAGGCTCAGTTCTGCGGCACTAGGGGCCGGAACCTGACTTGTTGTCAAGGTGTTTCTCTTGTTGTTTGGGAGAAGTCCCAGGTAAGCAGCATTTGTGCCCCTCCGGCCACAGCTCCCAATGTGAGCAACGGCCCCCCGTGAACTTCTCCTTTCCAGCTCCTTCAGTCTCAGGGCCTCACGCGTCTGCGACCTGCCTCCTCCACTCGGAAGCCCGTGGGCTTCCTGGAGATGTTCTCAGCTCCCAAGCACAGCCTGGGAGGCAGAGAGAAGCCACACTTTCATGCATTCAAACTGAGTGAAGCTCTGTCATGTTCTGGGCACCAGGAAAATCTCCATGATGCCAGCAGGCGTGTCCACAGAGGAAGGGGCGAAGAAAATGTCGAATGGACAGGCGACCTGCATCCTGCCCAGCTCGGAAGAGGAGGACGTCCTGAGATTTGCCACAGCCTGGAGGCGATTGCGCTCGTGACAAAAGCCAGACACAGAAAGACAAATACCACGTTCTAATTTGTGCATGGGAGCTAAAATAGTTGAGTTCATAGAGGCAGAGGGTGGGGAAGGGCTGGGCAGGGGGGAACTGGGGAGAGGTTGGTCGAATGGCACCAAGGCTCACTTGGGAGGTGACAAGCTTGGGACAGCAGGGTGGCCGTGGTGAAGGAGAACGTGTTGGGTACATGGATTTGCTGTGACCTGACCTCAAGTGCTCTTGCCACAGAACCCAGGTGCTCCCTGCTGGAAAGCCACACGCGGCAGAGGAGAGCTGGCAGGAGGAAAAGCGGGTTCGAGTCAGCAGCCTTTGGAGACGGCAGACTGAGAGTGTCACAGAGACCATCTCAAGTCTGCACGAATTCCAGGCTCTTTTATGTTAAGGGCAGGGGGACGGGGAGGGGGTTGGGATCAAGAGGTGACAGGTGACCGCACACATGTGGGTGCCAGCGAGGGTCCGAGGAGGCTGGCGATGCCTTCGTCCTTGGTCAGGTCACGAGCACCTGTGAATCCACAGCAGAACAGCTGTTCACAGCTTCCCCTTTCATCCCGGAGTGAGTTTCAAAACCTGCATCACGACTGCCTCTGTGTATTTTCTCCGTCCTCTAGAAGATCCTAGGCTCCGTGCAGGAATGGGTGAAGGCCCCTTACACAAAAACAAAGTCAGGTCCTGAGTTCTTTTGCTGTTTCTTTGCTTTCTCCTGCAAAGTCACTCGAAAGGTGACTGGCGGAGGTGAGGCTGCGCTAATTAGCTTGATTGTGGTGACCCTTCCACAAAGCACGTGTATGTCGGCATATTCACTGGGTCATGCACCTCGAATACATATTTTTACTTGTCAAATACATGATAATAAAGGAAAAGAAAGAAAAAGACAGAGTGGAGCCTGCCCCCGCCCCGTGAGGAGCTCGCTGCCTTGATCCTTCCTGGGAAGCGGGTGCAGATGCAGGGGCGGCCCCTGGACCTGCCCTGGGTCTGGGCCCTCCTATTGCCCTGTGAGGCCACCCCTGGGCCTGGTGCTCCGTGCACCCCTGCGTTCTCTGGGCCTTTGTCCCTCGTCCAGGGCCCAGGCTGAGTCGAGGCTGCCTGCAGCCAGGCGCCTTCCGTCATGTGCACATGTGCTGTCTCAGCTGCCTGGGTCAGTGCCTGAGGAGTAGAAACTACCCAGGAAATCCTGCTTGAGAAGCTGCGTTCAAAGTGGCTCTGTCCACCGAGCACACGGCATGTGGACTGCACGTGGCCGCCTAACTCAAAAGCCCCCAGAAAGCCCACGCCAATGCCCAGGTTCTGAGAAAACCTCAGGTTCCCTCTGTCCTGGGGTATGGGGCATAAGATGCCTTCGAGTAGACATGAGAGGCTGGTCATGTCAAGTCCTCCCTCTTCTGACGGCTGGTCACTCCGTCACCTTCTATTCTCCGATGGCTGGTCACTGTCTTCCTCCTTCCTCTGATGGCTGGTCACTCTGTCACCTTCCATTCTCCGATGGCTGGTCGCTGTCTTCCTCTTCTGACGGCTGGTCACTCCGTCACCTTCTATTCTCTGATGGCTGGTCACTGTCTTCCTCCCTCCTCCGACGGCTGGTCACTGTGTCCTCTCTGCACTGGTCACTGTGTTTTTCCTGTATTGGTGACTCTGTGCTGCCTGCACTGGTCACTCTGTTGTCCTCCCCCTCCCCGCATCTACAGCCCCAGTGAGTGCTCCACACCTGCCTGAGCCGAGCCTTGCTCTGATGGTGCCGCATAACCAGGATGTGGCCACAATCACCTGTGCCCCGATGACATCCGGCCCATCCGTCACCCAGGCCTGGAGTTGGGGCAGGAGGTGACTGGTCGTTTGTATTTGTCACAGCCTTTCCCTTTCTCCTGTCCGTGAGCCGTGCTCCAGGATGGGAGCTGTGGAATTCCCGTGGAACAGCCTCATGATGTCACAGGTTCCCTGCATCGTGGCTGGCAGAGCCCCGCATGCACCAGACGCCTGGTGCCTGAGTTTCCTCCTGGCTCTGAAGCAAGAAGCTGCAGCCTCTGCATTCTTTGGGTGGAGCTTCGAGCTCCTTGTGAAAGCTCTTGGGACCCCTGAGACTGCTCCCCCAGGCGCCGCACTCAGCCCTGGATGTGGGTTGAGAAGGAGACAGTGGTGAGAACAGGGATGCTGTGGGCTGGGGGCCCGGGGCTTGCGCTGGGGGTGGCAGGTGGGCAGGAGAGGAAGAGCTGTGGGGATTTTAGGCTCTCAGGACTCTGCATGAGGCGGCTCCCCTGCACCTTCAAGCCAGCATGGCTGGTCGAGAGGGCATGTTCATCAGACCTGCAGGCACGCACGTTATTCTCGGGATGTTCAGGGATGTGTGGGCTGAGAAGGGGCTCCGCATCCTCCTGGTGGGTAGGGCTTGGGCCGTTGTGGTGGAGGACATGGTACGTGTGATGCTTCTGCTGTCCGGGAAGGCAGGGGGCAGGCAGCATCCCGGGGGAGCTGCTCCAGGAACTGGCTTCTTGGCTTCCTGCAGTGGTGGGGGCTGCTGTGGGGATGGCCTGTGTGTCTCAGACACCTGGACTGTGCACTGAGGCCTGGTGTGGCTGTTGCAGTCTTTGAGGACTGGAGTAAAGCCCCCCGCTTCCAAGTGAGCCTGGAAGAAAGACCCTGAAACCCCCCAGGCATCAAGGGTCCCACAGTGGAAGCCTAGCAGAATGACAAACCGGGAAGGAAAGGGCTCGCAAAGGTGACAGACCTGATTTTAATTCCTCTGGACTTTAATGTTTCTGAACTTTAAATTGCAAGGGAACTTAGCATTTAAACCTTAATTTCTCCTTAAAATTTTTGTAAGGGGAGAGAACGCCTGCATTCAAACAGGGGACGTCTCTTGTCATTCATCATAGGAGTGCTTCCTGTGTCTTTATTGGATGGTTTCACTGCAGAGCCTCAGTAAGCCATGCTGGACAGAGCGCTGGATGTAGTTTGGGGTGGATGAAGAACTGGGAGTGGACCTGGAGGGGGCCGCACTGTCCCCAGAGGCCCAGGAGGACCCAGAGCCACCGGGGCACAGCCTCCTGATGGGGGAGTGCCAGCTCTTTGCTCAGAGCCAGCTGCATCTGCTCACCCCTCATCAAGGGGATGCTGAGGCTGGTGGGTAGAGAAGGAGGGAAGGAGGCTGGCGAGGGGTGAGTCCTTCCCACTGTGACATTCTCTTGGGGGCACACATGCCCCTGGGAGGCAGCTGGACTTCTCAGACTGTCAACACGAGGACACGAAGTAGATACAAGGGCCTGGCTGGCACCTGGAGCAGCCTGGGGCAGCCTGGTCAGCGTCCTCAGCCGTGCCTCCTGCCCTGTCTGCTCCTTCTCCGTGGGGACCACAGCCCACACCAGCCAGCGACGTGTTGAAGCTGGGGCCTCAGAGACAACTTCGGGGCCTGGAAGGTGCCCTGATGTCAGTTATGGGTAGGGACAACCGGGTTGGGCTCAGGGAGGCGTCTGGGTGGTGGAGGAAGTCCCTGGAGTTGAGTGGTCCAGGCCAGGGTAGTGGATGGAAAGTCGCAGGGATGCCCCTTCCTCTGGGATGGCAGAGGGGTGAGAACCGCAGAGTCGAGTGCAGTCGGGGGCTGGAGACCACTGGGACAGGGACAGTCTGAGGGGCTCCCTGCCACCCGACGCTGTCTCTGCCTGGAGGCTCCCGACGCCGCCTGTGCCTGGAGGCTCCCAACACTGCCTCTGCCTGGTGGCTCCCGACGCTGCCTGTGCCTGGAGGCTCCCGACGGCGCCTGTGCCTGGAGGCTCCCGAGCCTGGGGCTCCTTGGGTAGCTTCAGCTCCAGCCCCGCGGCACCGCTGTCTGCAGTAGATGCCCTTGCTTCTGGCCTCCTGTTACTCTTGTTTCTTTCTTTATCTTTTCTTGAAAAGATTCTAAAATGTCCCCGCCTGTCAGTGCCCGGATCTCCCGCAGGCCTGGTCCAAGTGGAGGGGAATTCCGCTGCTGGGACCTTCTGCTCCCGGGGCTGTTTCCCGTCCTGCTCTGCGCTGGCGCAGGCTGCGAGGAGCTCTGAAGCCAGTGGGGGCCGTGCCCGGCCTCCCTGCTCCCCACCTTTAGGGAGACCCCCTCTCAGAACACATGGTGCTGTGGACCACCCCTCAGTCCCCTGGGTAGCATCCAGGGACTTTCTGGGGTCTCTCATTTCTGTCCCAGAAAGCACGACCCCGGGATTAGAGAAGATCGCCCTCCACGCTCCAGAGACTTTGGACCACATGATGCCAAGTTTATGGACAGACCCCTGAGTCGTTAGGAAGCATCTTCCTCCGTGACGTTTTTAGAAAGTGGTGTCTATTTGGAAATGGAATCGGGCTACGCTGTTGGATTGCGGGAATTCTAGGAGATGCACTTTATTTTGCCTGTATTCTCTTCAGCCCTGAAATATTTTGCCTGTATTCCCCCTCTGCCCTGGTATATTTTCCGTGTATTCCCCTCCGCCCTGGTATATTTTGCGTGTATTCCCCTCCGCCCTGGTATATTTTCCGTGTATTCCCCTCCGCCCTGGTATATTTTCCGTGTATTCCCCTCCGCCCTGGTATATTTTGCGTGTATTCTCCTCCGCCCTGGTAGCAATGATGTCCCGGGTTTGGATTGACCTGCCGCGCCGCAGTGTTTTCCGGGGATTCAGATTGACCGGCCGCGTCGAGGTGTTTCCGGGTTCAGACTGACAGGCCACGCTGCGGTGTTTCCGGGTTCAGATTGACAGGCCGCGCCGCGGTGTTTCCGGGTTCGGACTGACCTGCCGCGCCGCGGTGTTTTCTGGGGATTCAGATTGACCGGCCGCGTCGAGGTGTTTCCGGGTTCAGACTGACAGGCCGCGCCGAGGTGTTTCCAGGTTTGGATTGACCTGCCGAGCCGCAGTGTTTTCCGCGGAGGCGTGGACTTTCTTCTTTGCACGTCGTGGTGTTTGGTGAATCTTGAGGGGAGGTGTCTCGGGCAGCCGGGTGGGAGCTCCCAGCTTCTGCCGTGTTCTGACCGCACCTCATTCTGCACAGGAGACGATCCTCCCTGGCCGGCGGGATTCATGACCCTTCGCGCAGTTGCCCCGTCCAGATCCACGTGCAGGACTGGTCTCGCGTGACACACGCGGCCGGCACCTTTCAGACGGAAGTGGAGGGGCTGACGTGCCGTGGGCAGAGCTCTAGCCAGGCTGCCCAGAGCGCGTGTCATGTCCGTGTCCATGAAGATGGTGTCTCTGTGTATAGGTCACTGCAGGGGGGAGAGGAAAGAGCTCCGTGGACCTTGCAGGACGCAGCCTGTGGGGAAGGGGCTCCCGTTCTCGCCTGCATCCCGCAGCCCTGGGGTGTGGTTTCCTGTCTTAAACCACCTCCATCAGCCTGGATTATGTTCAAATTGTGGAGCGCAGCGCCGGAGGGGGCCTGCATCCCCACCGTCCCTTCATGTCCAGGTGCGGTGTCTCCGTCCCAGAGAAACTGCATGGAGTCCCCCCACGGTTCCCACTGGAGCCAGACCTCAGACTCGGAGCTCCTCAGTCTCTGCTGGGTCAGAGGCAGTGCGTTCATTTTAGGAGCAAAGTTGAATTCAAATTTGGATGAGCACACGAGGCCCCTGGTGGAGCTATTCCTTCTGCCTTTGAAAGTTCTGTTGAGAAGTTGCACATAATGACGTTAGCAGTCTTCGCTAGGCATAGGATGTTTTAATGAATAGTCTTCCGTTTCCAGTCATCTCTTACTTTAAAACATGTCTCTATTATAGAACTAAAAAATGCCCATCATAGAGGGAAATATTGGAATACAATGAAATAAAAAAGAAAATTCAAATAAATAATCCATAACTTGGTTATCCAGAGGCAACTCCTGTTAATTTTTTTGGATATATTTCATTCCTAAAGTTCTATCTTTTTAAGATTGTCATGTAGGGAACACAGGAATCACATCCCGTGCCCCCTTCCTTTCTTAAAATAGCATAGTTGATGCCTTATTAAAATCTTTTTTTATTATAGTAAGTAATAAATTTCAGCCAGATTTGCATGTGTGGATTGCATATTCTCTTATTTTCTCTCTTTTCATGTTAAATTATTGATGCCGTGAATACAAACAACTCCCTCCCACGCTTGCTTTGCTTTCCAATTAACGCAAAATGCGAAGCCAGTCTCGTGTGCCGTGTGCCGCAGGTCGTTGGGGCTAACTTTTGAAGAGCAAGAGAGAGGAGCCCTTTGGGAGGTGAGGCGGCTCCAGGGAGGGGCTTGGTAAGGAGCTGCCGGGTCTGAGTCACAGTTTCTGCAGTTTCGTGGGGATCCAGGTGTGCTGGCTGAGAAGCCTCTAGGAAAAGATGGGTGAATTATTTCAGGCAGGGCCCAGCTTGCTGTGTGACAGGGGCAGCAGCTGGGAATGAGAGAGGCCTGGCTAAAGTCATTCCAAGACCCCTCCCGGGTCCTTCCTTCACTCGGGGCCACCCACCAGGAGCCAGCCCGCCACATGTTCTTGGGGGCATCCCAGCACGGGTCTGGGTGTGCCGTGCAGGAGCTGTGAGTCTAATTTCAGGGTCAGCTGCTGGACTCAGCTAGGTTTTCCCAGCGTATGGGGTGAGAACGCTCCCACCTGGGCTGGGGGCTCAGACACTCGAGCTGGCTTGACAGAGGCAGCCCCAACCCATATTCTCCTTGGCTTTTTTTTTTTTTTTTTGTTACCTCCCATCCATCATCCAAAAAAACACATGCCCAGCAGAGAATCGCTGCTTCTGCTGCCTGCTCCTGGCTGATTTCCAGGCGACCCATGCCTGTGTGGCTATGCTTCTTGTTAAGATATTGAAAAACTCCAGTGCCAGTTGGCAAATAGCGCAGTAGTAGCTGGAATGAGTAGTGGCGTTAATTAGTAACGAAAATCCTAACGTAACTGCACTCGTTTGAGCCAGTTGTCCTAAGTGCCACAATTACCCTTGGTAAATGGGTCTCTAATGGTGTGGTTTTAGTCAATAGTAGAATTATTAAATACGTAGAATTCTTTAGTAGCATTATAAGGTCCAGACAAATTGGGGATATAACTGCTGTTAGTTCAGGGGAAGCTGAAAGAGGATTTGCACTGCAAACAGTATTTTTGATGCAAACATACATTCTCCCCTGTAAGTTACCTAAGGACGTGGTCCACAGGAGATGGGCTTGGAGCCCTGATGGCTGATGCGGTGGTCACCGAGTGGACAGAGGTGGAGCAGGTGGAGGTGGGTGTGTCTGCACTTGAGGAGGGGTGAGCAAAGGCTGGGGTGGGAGAGCAGGGAGCAGGCAGTACCCAGTGGGTGTTGAGGGGTCAGGAGGAGTGCAGGCACCCAGGTCCATGTCATGTGGGTGTGTACCTGGCCATTATGATTCAAAGCATGTCCAGCTGTGCTCCCGCTGGCACCAGGACTTACGACTGCCCATTCCATGGGAAAGTCATTGGAAAAGTCCAGTGCCGTTCCCTGTGTCAAAATGTGACCCAGACAGGGTCATCATGTAGCTAGCAATGGCCACATCAAAGATACTATGAACAATTTTAAACAACACCACCAACAAAATCATTTATAATAGCATCCGAGACAAGAAATACTTAAGAATAAACAAATGTGCAACACACACACACTGACAAATATAGTGCATTCATGAGAGAAATTTAACAAAGAACTAAATAGATGGAAGGATATACAATGTTCATGGATCATAAGACTCAACACTGTTGATTTCAATTCTACCCAACTGGTCTGTAGATTCAATGTAATCCCCAAAGATGTTTTGTAGAAATGGCAAACTGATTTTAAAATTTATGTATAAATGCAAAAAATTGAAAATAAGAAAAATAATTTTGGAAACAAAAAATAAAGTTGGAAGACTTATCCTACCTGATTTTAAGATTTACTATAAGACTACAATAAAGACAGTGTGATAGTGGCATAAAGACAGTTCAGTGGAACAAAACCGAGAATCTAAAAATAGGGCTAAAAATTGATATCTGTATGGAAACAAAGTGAATTTCAACCCTTACCTCATACCATATACAAACATTGACTAAAAATAGATCCTAGATTTAAATGGAAAAACTGGAAACATGTGGAAAAAAACCTGTGTTACCTTGGAAGGCAAAAATGTCTTATGTAAGACATGAAAAACAAAAACCATAAAATAAAATCAATAAGTGGTATTTGATCAAAATTCACTGTTTGAACAGACACTTAAAAATAGAGATATTTAAGCATATGAAAATGTTCAACATCATTATTAATCAGAAAAAACAAATTAACTCTGTAATGAGACACCACTACACACCCATAAGAATGACTATAGTTCTAAAAAGTTTGGCTAAACCAAATATTGATAAGAATGAATAGTCACTGTCATACATCATACATGTGAACTATTATACATTTTGGTAGGATTGTGGACTGATTCATGTTTTTGCAAAATAGTTCGGTATTTTTTTTTTTTTCTTGAGACAGAGTCTCGCTGTATCGCCCAGCTGGAGTGCAATAGCATGACCTCAGCTAACTGCAACCTCTGCCTCCTGGGTTCAAGTGATTCTCCTGCCTCAGCCTCCCAAGTAGCTGGGATTACAGGCACCCGCCACCATGCCTGGCTAATTTTTTGTATGTTTAGTAGAGACAGGGTAAACTCCTGACCTCAGGTGGTCCAACTGCCTTGGCCTCCCAAAGTGCTGGGTTTACAGGCATGAGCCACTGCACCCGGCCTGGTATTTTTTTTTTTTTAATAAAGTTAAACATACACTCATTATATGATCCAACAGTTACATTTCTAGATATTTACTCAAGAAAAGAGAAGACACGTGCCCCACAAAGACTTGTACATAAATGCTCATTGCAGCTTCATTCAAAGAGCTAAAAGCTGCAAACAATCCACATTGCTATTAACTTGGGAATGCATCCATATATGGTTTTATAGATGATATGCTCAGATACTGTGTATATAATGTGCTCTATACAGCAGGAAACCACTTGGATATAACAAGGAATGAACTATTGATACACACAAGAGCATAGATGGCCACAAACACGCCAAGTGGAGGGAGCCAAACACAGAGGACATGCTGTGTGATTCTACTTAAACTAAACTCAAGAAACTGTAAACTAACTGGTAGTGATGGAAAGCCAGTGGATGCTTGCCTAGAGCTGGGTCTGGGGGCTGGGTGGGTTGGGGCTCAGGTAAGCCTTGGGATGAAGGAAATGTTCTATATCTTGATTGTGGTGCTGGGTACACATTGCACCCATTTGGCAAAACTCATGAGTGTATTTATTTTATACAAATTATACCTGAAAGTGGATTTAAAATGATTTGGAAATAATTAGATGAGCTGACGGTGCCGCAGCACATGGCATTTGTTAGGATACACATAATTGCCAGGAATGTGACATGCATACACATGCATGTATAGACACACACATACACACATGGGCACACATGCATGTATAGACACACCCATAATATACACACATGGGCACACACATGCATGTACAGACACACCCATAATATACACACATGGACACATGCATGTACAGACACACCCATAATATACACACATGGACACATATGCACGTACAGACACACCCATAATATACACACAGGGACACATATGCATGTAGAGACACACCCGTAATATACACAAATGGGCACACACATGCATGTACAGACACACCCATAATATACATGGACACACACGTACAGACACACCCATAATATACATACACGGGCACACATGTACAGACACCCATAATATACACACATGGGCAGACACATGCATGTACAGACACACCCATAATATACACACATGGGCACACACACATGTACAGACACACCCATAATATACACACATGGACACACATGTACAGACACACCCATAATATACACACATGGGCACACACATGCATGTACAGACACACCCATAATGTGCACACACAGGCACACACATGCATATACAGGCACACCCATAATATACATGCACGGGCACACACATGCATGTGCAGACACACCCATAATATGCACACATGGGCACACATATGCCTGTACAGACACACCCACAATATACACACATAGGCACACATGTATGTACAGACACACCCACAATATACACACATGGGCACACATACCATTTTAGCTCCGGCTGCTACAGCAGAATACCGTCGCCTGTGGGCTTATACACAGCAGACAAGGATTTCCTAGCATTCTGATGGCTGGAAGTCTGAGGTGGGGATGCTGAATGGCCCATTCTGGTGAGGGCTCTCTTCCTGGTTCACAGGCGGCTGTCTTCTTGCTGTCTCCTCCTGTGGTGGAAGGGATGGGCGTTTCTCTCGGGTCTCTTTGTAGGGGTGCTATTCTCATTTATGGGGCTCTGCCCTGGTGACCTCATCACCTCATAAAGGCCCCACCTCCTAACCCCATGATGCTGTGGGTTGGGTTTCAACATAGACATTTTTGGGGGACACATTCAGTGTGTAGCACATACATACATACAACATGTGTGTAACAAAGGGGATACATACATATAGGTACATAAACAGACACAAATATGCACACATACGTAATAAAGAGAATACAGACATATATATATGTAATAAAGGGAATAAATATACAGTTACGTATTATACAGGTTTACTTAGAGCATGAAGGGAAAACTGTCCATTTGGATGGGCGTGGATACTGATTGCTGTTGCCACCGCAGTTGTGGGACCTTCCTGCCCTCCAGCCTTTAGGCCCCTTGACCAGCCATTCCCTGGCCTGGGGTGGGGGCTTGAGCAGGGACTCACAGTTCCCATATTCCAGATGCAGGAACGCAGTGTGGCCTCCAGCAGCTCCAGGCCTCCCGCCCCGTGGACGCGTCACGCTGAAGTCCTCCAGGTGCCATTACTCTGAGGAGGCACAGACTGCGGTCCCTGTTTTGTGTCCACCCCTCAGAGACCCTGTTCCAAGCGTCTCGTGTTTGGAGGAACCGAGAACACAAATGCAGCTGTGTCTGATTCACTCATCCCACGTGCCAGCTTTGTGCCTGGCTTGCCTCCCCTCTGCTCTCCCCTGGCGGGAGCACGTGTGTAAAACACACTCTTCTCTTCCCAGGAAAGGCGCGGGGTCCATCTTCCCAGTTTCCAGCAAGGTCTTGTGAAAACTGCACTTGATTCTAGCAGGCACGGCCCGGGCGGTTCCACTTTCTCCTGAGATGGGACCTAGATGACTGTCTGTCTTTCAGAGGGGCTCTGACTTCTCACTAGGAACTGAGAAAAGCAGAATCTCCCTCCAGCTCATCCGCCTGCACGTCCCTGTGCCGCCGGATTTCTAGGACCTTCAGGGAGCCCCACCACCGGCTCCCGAGGACACCGGCTGCGTGCACTTGGCCGCGTGTTCCTGGGGAGCCGAAGCAGGGACTGTCCTGTGTGCTCCCTTGACTCTCCCAGGTGCTCTCAGCGCAAAGCCAAGAGGAGTCAAGACTCACCTTGGTCCTGAGTCACTCACCTTAACATACACAGCACTTTTACCATCACTGAGAAAAAGGCAAACCCACTAGAAAAACATCGTGCCGCTTATTTCTCAAAGGAGCAGAGCTGTGACCGTGAACACGAGAATGTCTCCAGCTTCCCGTGTCATCGGGGGAGCTTGCGCCTTGTCCTCTAACTGGAGCATGTGTGGGCGCCGGGCAGACCAGCACCCTCGGCTCCATCTGGACGCCTGGTCACTTAAGGTCCAAGTGGAATTTGGAGAGAGACAAAGACGCATTTTTGCCTTAACTTGACAACTTTCTTGCCATACTTGCTTTGCTTTTGTCTTTTCCTGAAAATTCATGACGAGTGGATGGCCGTGAAACAAGCACTTTTGGGCACTGCTGGGACAGATTTTTCTGGAATGCACTTTGGCATCCAGAAATTTGCACCAGGATCCAGCCATTCCAGTGGCAGGACCTGGAAGCTGCGTGAGTCACCTTTCCTCTCCCTGACCTCTGGTTGCTCACATCGGCACACCCAGCCCTGTTTTCAGGGGCTCTTGCCCCTCTTGCCAAACACAGTCCCTGCCCTGGCCGTGGCCCCAAATGGCCCTGAGGATGGAGCATCTTTCCTGTGTCCATGGATCTGGGCGGGGGCTGAGAGGGAGCCCCCCCGACCCCCGCCTCAGGTGTCCACTCTGCTTGGGCCAAATCAGACCACATGTCTCAGCCCTCTGGAGCTGTGAGTCTTGGTGGCCCCACCGCTGGGATGAACACAGCACAGCTGTGCTCCTGGAGGGAGCCTCTGCAGCTAGATCCCCACCACCTGTCCCAGCCCCGGCCTTCCCACTCCTGCGAGTATCCATGTGAAGGCTCCCAAACCACAAGATCAGAAACCCAGATCTGTCGGAATCCCTGTTCCCGGTTCTTGGCTTCCATTTTCTCTGTTGTCCTCCCTGAGATCACCCCCATGCCGGTCCCATGAGATCTGGACTTTGTCCTGTTCATCGCAGCTGAATCCCCGGCACCCAGGAGAGGCCTGCGCACGACATTAATCATGGTAACAATAATCACGATCATGTCTCCTGTACAGCAGACACTGTTACAAGCAGTCTGCGTGAACACAATCAATGGGTCCTCATGCCAGCCCTTGGGGGAGACGTCAGCTTCCTGTCCCGGTTTGTGGATGAAGCAGCAAGGCTCTGGAAAGCTTGCTCCCAAGCCTGTGCACCTCACCACGGGCCGAACTTCTTTCTTCCTTGGAAACTTGTCAAGTCTCCCAAACAGAAAGACCTCCTTGGAGAGCTGCACAAAGATCCATGGATGAGGATGTCCCTAACATATTTTTAATAGGGAATTTGGCAACACCCAAGTGTCTACGACAGAAGTGGGACTTGGGTGAGGGCGGCTTACCAGCACATCAGGGCTGTCTGCGGAGAGCGGCTTACCAGCATGACAGGGCTCTCTGTGGCCTTGGGAGTCCTGGCTGAGGGATTCTCATGTTCACGGGATGTATTTTAGTCTATTTTGTGCTGCTATCTTAGAATACCACAGACGGGGTAATTGATAATGAACGAAATTTACGGGCCCACAGTTCTGGAGGCTGGAAAGTCCAAGGCTGAGGGGAAGCATGGGGTGGGACCCTCTTGCTGTGTCATCCCATGGCCCAGGGTGGAGGGCAGCAGGCAGGGGGAGGAAAGGGAGTACCCAAGAGAGGGTTGAGCTGGTCCTTTAGTGAGGAACCCACTCCTGCCATAATGGCATTGACCCATTCCTGAGGGCGGAGGCCTCATCACCTCCTAGAGCCCCCACCTCCCCACGCTGTTGCTTTGGGGATTCCGTCTCCAGCACACGCTTTTGGAGAAACACATTCAGACTGTAGCGTGTGGAAGATGAGGACGCACCAGCAGTGAAGAAGCAGAACGCCAGGCGTTTTTACAGTATGATTCGCATTTAACTTAAAAGCACGTAAAGAAAAGAGATTGGAAGGAAACACACCAAAATATTTACATTGGTGACAGCAGGCTTGGAGAACACAGATGAATTCCACGTTCTCCTGTATACTTTCCTCAGTGCAGTACATTTTCTACAAATATTATCTGCTACTTCCTTAAAAAGGAAAATGCAATTTAGAAACTTTGAATTCCAGATTGTGTCTCCCTGAGAAGCAGTGTTCCCTCCAAAGATTCTCCACCCTTCACGTCTTTACACATGCGGGTGCCCGGTAGTGAGACTCTGCACGTGGGGTCAGGATTTAGGGGCTTCCAACCTGGCTGGCGGCTGCTGGGGTGGAGGGCAGGGCTCTGTGTTTCAAGTGGGGAATCCCCGTGCTCCCCAAGACACAGCAGGGTGCTGGGAATCTGCCCACCATGGGACCCAACTCTCCAGACCTTGCCTTGTCTCTATTTTCTTGGGGGGCTTCTCCGAAAGCCAGTTGTAAGGGCAGCGGGAGGTTGGAGGCTTAGTTCCCCAGGCCTGAGATTTTGGGACATAGAAGGCCTGCAAACAGAAGGCAGTATTGCAGCATCCAAACAGTGTCTGGTGGCACCTTAGCCAGAACTCATCTCAGACTAGGCATGGACAGGCACCTTGCTAACCCGCACCATGGAACTAACAGTGCCATGGCAGACACAAAACCAACTGTGTTCACTGATGTAGTGCCTGGACGCCACAAATGATGTGCTCACTTTTTTTGTTGTTGTTTAATTTTTTTTTTTTTTAGATGGAATCTTGCTCTGTTGCCCAGGCTGGAGTGCAGTGGTGCAATCTTGGCTCACCGCAACCTCTGCCTCCCGGGTTCAAGCGATTTTCCTGCCTCAGCCTCCCCAGTAGCTGGGACTACAGGCGCGTGCCACCACGCGTGGCTAATTTTTTGTATTTTTAGTAGAGATGGGGTTTCACTGTGTTAGCCAGGATGGTCTTGATCTTCTGACCTCATAATCTGCCCTCCTCAGCCTCCCAAAGTGCTGAGATTACAGGTGTGAGCCACTGCGTCCAGCCACTTACTTATTTTTACTGATTATAGAGATTATAAAGCTATTGCTTGTCTATAAAAGAAAATTTAAAAAATTATGTACGTATGTATGAATACATGAACATGCGTAGGTGAGTGCATGCACGTAACAGAATTTGCTTATAATCCACTGGTATAGCTAATGGCTAAACTCTTGGTACCTTGAGTCATTTTCTCATTATGTCCATAGATAAGTACTTTATTTTTACAAAATGAGAATTATGAGAAATGTACTATTTCATACAGTTTTTTCCTTTAATAATATACGTGGTCATTTTATGTTTATTAAATGTTTTCCTCTTATATACATAAAAATAATTGCATCTTATTCTATCATGTGGATGTATAAAGAATTTATTTAACAAGTTTCTGTTGCTGTGCATTTGACTTGGAAGTCCAAGGGGCCAGCATCTGGCCAGGGCCTTATTGCTGTGTCAGCCCATGGTGGAAGGTGAGAGGGGAGAGGGTGGGGAGATAAAGTAAAAGGTGTGTGTGGTGGGGGGGGAGAGAGAGAGAGAGAGAGAGGAAAGAAGAGAGGAGAGATTGGAGTTGAGGAAGAGAGAGAAGGAGAGAGAGGGAGAGACAGAGAGTGGAAGAGAGAAAGAGAGAGACAGAGGAAGAGAAAGGGAGGGAAACAAAGAGAGACAAACAGAGAGAAAAGAAAGAGAGGAGAGAGAGATATGCAAGAGAGGCTAAACTTGTCCTTTTATAAGGAACCCAGTGTTTGATAACAGATACAAACCCAATTGTATTCACTGGCTGAATTCTTACTCCTTTGTGGTTTCAGTTTTTTTCACTTTTTTCATGATGTTGATACACACATCTTTATATGGCAATCTTTGCATTTCATTATTTGCTTAAAACAAGTTTTCAGAAATCAAGTGACATGCTAAATATACCAACACTTTTTAAGGTTTGAATATACCCAGTCAAATTTGCACCACATGATCTTGAATCTATTTGTTTTCTTACCACATGATGGTGCTGATTTGCCATGTTCTGGACAACTGTGGTTTTAAATTATCCTTCAGTTTATACTGTAAGTGTCATAAAGCCTAATGGTTTTAATTGCTATTCCTCCGATAATCAGTGATGCTTTTTTTTCCTATCGATATTGGGCCCTCATCGTTCTTTTTTGTTAACTGCCTGTTCATGCAATTTGCCCATTTCTGTTGATGAAGAGTATTGAGAATTTTGCTGTCAAATAGGTTGTAAATATTTCCTCCAGGTTTTTCTTTTGCCTTTTCATTTTGTTTTGGAGAAATGAGTGGCATTTTTTCAAAATTTCCATCATCTTCTTTGCTTCATTGTATCTGTCTCTACCTGAAAGGGGAGCATCACTCTCAGCAGGATATGAGGCCAAGTGTTTCTTTTCATTTAACTTTTTCATCTTTAACATTTGCCCATCCATTAGGATTTTATTTTGGTGCAGGTGTGAGGTGAGCATCTAAATGCATGTTTTCTTGCCTCAGTTTTTAAGCAGGGAGGACCTGGCAGGGTGGGGGCTGTTCTTTCTCCCCTGATGAGAATCCCCACATTTTCACACAATGAATGGTTTGACATATGTCCCCCGACACCAGACTTTTCGTTCTTTTTATTCCTTCCTAGAACCAACATTTCAAAATTATCCTAGTTTTATAATTTGTAAATGTTGTAGTAAAATTGTCCTTACTCACTAATCTTATTTTTTAACTTTTTTCTTTTTTATTCTCACCAGTGAAAATGGCAATCATTTTGTGAGAGTCCCCTCAAACTTCCACTGCCAATATCATAGAAATTGCATGTAATTTATAGATAAACCAGCAAAGAATCATAATATTAAGTCTTTTTGGGTAGGAACTGGGTAGGTCGCTCCATCAATCCACAGGATAACTCATGGGTTGCTATGTCCTTTGATGAAATTGTGCCTTTTCTGACATTGTAGGTCTTGAATATTTACCCTGAAGTTTACTCCTTGGTATTTGATATTTTGTTGAAATCATGAGTGGGGCTTTTTTATGCCTTTTTCTAACGAGTGACTGTGTTCTGTCAGTGGGTGTAAATGGTCTGCAGGTGGGGATGAATTCTGATGTCATCAGCGTTTGAGGAGCACTGGCTCTGTTCTAACAGGACTGCAGCTGATTCTCTTAGGTGACAATGGCATGAATTATGAATAACAGTATTTCTTAACTCCTTTTTTTTTCTCCTGAGACAGGGTCTTGCCCTGTTGCCTAAGCAGGCATGGAGTGGCACCATCATATCTCACTGCAGCCTTGAACTGGCCTCAAGCGATCCTCCCACCTTAGCTTCCCAAAGCCCTGGGACCACAGGCATGAGCCACCGTACTGTTCCTTCTTTACTCCCTTTCACATGTTCATACCTCATCTGTGTGCCTACGCCTGTGTTATCATGTGGGCTGGATCATGGGAAGAGGCAGTGAGACTTCAGTGTCTTTAGTAGGAACAGCTTACTCACACGTTGGGGGACCCCAGCACTGCCTTTCTGCCATGCTCTCCTCCTCCCAAGGCCTGAGATAACAAAGCAAAATGAGAGTGGAGAGGCAGCCTCTGGGACGTGGGGGCTGGAGGTTCCTGGCCCCCAACACCACGGATTCTGGAACATTTGTAGTGGCAGCAACAGGGTGAGAAAAGTAATAGCTGCGCCTCTGGTGGCTGAGCCAGCCATGCCACTGAAACAGCTGCTGAAGACCTGGGTGAGGCCTGCCTGGCTCTCTGCACGGCCTCTCTCCAAATGCAGATGACATCAAAAGTGATCACCACCCGCAGACCATTCTGAAGCCCGCACCAGAGTGGCCTCGCCAGGGCCTGGGGTATTTCCTGTGGAGACTCTCCAGGCAAACTCTCTGCAGCAGATGTGGTGCTTTGTCCTTCAGGTCGCCCAGGAAGGTCTGGGGCAGGGTCCTCAGCCTCCTCCCCGCCAAGTGCACATTTCACACATGGAGAGAACGTTTACAGCACAAATCAGGTGGCAAAGTGCACATTGCACGGCCGGGTGAAAATGGACGACAATAAACCAAGAATCACATATAATTAGAACTCCCCTTCCTAGAAAAGCACATTTAAGTTTATACACAAATTTTGCGTTTAATTTCTGAGGTTTCACAGCTGCCTCACAGCAAAGAAATCTGTCTATGGCTTCTTTGATCAAGCAGGTTCTGTGCCATTGCATCATTTATTAACTCAACCAGGAAATGTATTCTGAAACATAGGTGACCTGGGAGCAGTCAGTATCTTGGTGGCATCCTGGGCCTTGCTGCAGAGGTGCTGGTGTCCACCTGCCAGTATCTTGGTGGCATCCTGGGCCTCGCTGCAGCGGTGCTGGTGTCTGCTTGTCAGTATCTTGGTGGCATCTTGGGTCTCGCTGCGCTTTGCTGGTGTCCGCCTGCCAGTATCTTGGTGGCATCCTGGGCCTCGCTGCAGAGGTGCTGGTGTCCGCCTCCCAGTATCTTGGTGGCATCCTGAACCTCACTGCAGCGGTGCTGGTGTCCGCCTGCCGGTATCTTGGTTGTATCCGGGGCCTTACTGCAGCAGTGCTGGTATCTGCCTCCCAGTATCTTGGTTGTATCCGGGGCGTCACTGCAGCAGTGCTGGTGTCCGCCTCCCAGTATCTTGGTGGCATCCTGGGCCTCACTGCGTGGTGCTGGTGTCCGCCTGCCAGTATCTTGGTGGCATCCAGGGCCTCGCTACAGCGGTGCTGGTGTCTGCCTGCCCGGAAGCTGGCCCCTTGACTCAGTCGAGGGAAAGGGACATCAGATCTGCAGCTCCTGGTATTTGGTTTTAAGAAAGAATAAACGCCAGGGCGGCTTAGGGCATCACGCTCTGTGGATGGGAGCACCAAGCACAGCTCTAGAGCGTGGGGAGGAGGCTCCCGTGGCCATGCCTGTTCATGAATCCCCATAGCTGGTGGAATTTCACGCATCAGAAACAAAGGGCAGACGAGGGCAGTGCCAGGAGGAGCACAGGTGAGTGGCTCTGCGGCTCCGCCTCGCTGGGTGGGGCTTCCCAGGCAGGGAGGGGCTACACACCTGGGCGTCTCACCTGAGCCACCTGGGACAGCCTTGGAAGCCCATGTGCTTTCCCCCACTGCCCCTGCCCTCCGGGAATTCCAGGCAGCAGGGAAGATCCACCAACAGCTGTTCAGGGTAGAAGATCTACAAGGCAGTCATGGGCCCAAAGTGGGGCCTGTCAGGGCTGCGGGGGGCCGGGGGAGGGCGAGGAGACCCACACCAGGCTTGCTTCAGAGATCCAGGCTGGAAGAGGAGGTGCAGACGAGGAGAACGACGGCTCGGCCGTCCCCACGCTGGCCTCCAGAGTCCTCCCAGCGGCCACTGTGGATGTTGTTGTGTCTTCTCTGTGGGCCACGGGTGCATTTCTCATGCCGGTGAGCTGGCATTGATGAACACAGTGCTTGGGTTTGTACAGGGCCCAAGAGGCCCATTTCTGTTGGAAAAATGGGAGGAGTAGGATCTTAGATGCATCTGGAAATGATAGAGTCCCAAGGCCAAATTAATTTCCCATAGGGAATATTGTCAAGAAACCTTCTTACTCTCTAAATGGAGGCTGCATTAAAATGTGAGTTTTAGAGGGTTTTAAAATTCATAATTCCAAACGCCGTCCCGGCTGTGAGTGACGCTTGTGCAGCAGGGCCCTGCCTGCAGAGCTCGGGCCCTGGGGGCCGTTCCTGGGGTCTGGGGCCTGCACCTGGAAGCTGTTCTGGGCAGCTGAGCTTGGCACTGGCAGGGCAGCCTGCAAGTCTGTGTCTGGGCACAGACCCGGCTCTGCTGCCCCCAGACCCCTGAGCCCCCTGGCCTTGGCCTTGCTCCTCAGCCTCTCCTGCCTCAGCCTCCCGGTCTGTGGGGACAGGAGCACTCACTCTGCAGGTTGCTGAACAGGAAGTGGCTTCAGTAGTAAGTGCTGCAGTCTCTGCCCAGCTCACAGGAAGCTGTGGAGGCAGGTGGGTTAAGGCAGTGTCTTCCAGGAGCCCGGGGCTACCCAGACTCACTCCTGTATCGTTACCCAGGCAGCTCCCAGAGCCCCCACGGCCCACAGACTCCTCAAGGAGCTCCCATGAGGAGCTGGGCCCTGCGATGCACAGGCCCCGGTGACACGTCGTGGCGGTGGGGTCCCTCTCAGCATGGAGTTGGGGATCTTTGTTGCACAGCGTTGATGTGGTCAGGCGTCACTGGTGGGGCGTCTGTCGAATGGAAACCTAGAAAGATAAAGACCTTCCGGCCGGTTCTTCCCTCCTCCTGCCTCCTGTCTACTGGAACTCGGTTCCTTCCATTCCCGGGCATTTTCCAGAGGTTTGTGAGTCATGTGTTCCTTGCTCCCAGGCTCCTTGCCGAGCTCTTCATCCCGAGGGCCCCGCTGCTGGGCTGCGTTCCCTGCTGAGGGTCCTTTCCCCGCCTTCGCAGCGGGGCTGTGGACGCTGCGGCCCCAGGGCCTGTGTGAGGCCGCCCGCTCTTCACCCCAACACAACAGCCTGGCTGGGGCCTCGTGTCCTTCCCTCGGAGCCTCGGAATCCCCACCGCTCCTCTCAGAATCTGTGCTGATAAAGGAGGTTGAAGGTGGCCTTCATTTCAGTCCTTGGACATGGCTTCGTGTATTTAATATTTAGCCATGATACTCACATATAGTTCTTTTGACTTTTTTTTTCTGTTTTTTGAGACAGGGTCTCGCTCTGTCACCCACTTTGGGAGCCAGATGGGGCTGAGTCTCCCTCTGGGCATTCCTGCATTGGTGCGTGGGTTCCGGGAGGCCAGCCTCGCACCTCCGTCTCCATCTAACATCTTGGGCGAGCGCGTGGTGGAGGGAGGGCAGGTGGAGGAGTGAACCACACACAAAGGAACGTCAGGGGCCTCTGTAGCCCTGATGGGGTTCAGCCTCAGGTTTCCCTTGCACCCCATGGGGAAGGGGCTGAGCCTATGCCCTGACATGCTGCCCGGGGGCTGGGAGTGGTAAGGGCTCCGGTGGCTTTGCGTAATTTTTCTGCCTAGGGGGAGTGTGTCTCAGCAAGTGGACCTGGAGGCCTTGCCTGGGGTCCGAGTGCCACTGGGCGGGGGTGAGTGGACGTATTTGGAGCCACAGGCCTGGATTCCCATCCGTCTCTGAAGGAGGCCTCCTGCCGGCCCTCCCAGGCACGCGTGTAACATCCGTCTGTGAAGCAGGCCTCCTGCCGGCCCTCCCAGGCACGTGTGTAAGGGGAGGGCCCTTTCTTCACTCACAGGGCCTCTGGCACCACGCATGGGGGGTCCTCCACACCGAGCAGTCCTCCTGCTCTCCAGACACCAGCTGGGCATCCTGTAACTCAGTTCAATTCTCACACCACCTTACTGGAACTAGCACAGACCCCGCAGGTTAAGGGCTCAGTCCCATAAGAGTGCTCCCACTTTAGACGCCCATTTCAAGCAGTGGCTCCCAGGACATCCACACTTCTGTCTGACTTGAACAGTCGGGGTTCCCACACCTCTCCTGGGTTTGATAGTTTGCTGAAGCAGCTCACAGAGCTCAGGGACATGCTTTGCTTACAGTCGAGGGTTTGTGATAGGGGACGGGTGCAGATGAATGGGCAGATGAACAGGTACAGGGGTGAGGTCTGGAGGGATCCCAAGAGCAGGTTCCTCCTTCTCCATGCAGTTGGGGTGGCTGCCCTCCCAGCGCTCCAGCCGGAAGCTCTCAGAGCCTAGTTTCGGGTTGTTACGGAGATTTCATCACATGGGTGTGGCTGATTTCATCCTTGGCCGTTGGCAGTTCACTCCATCTCCAGCTTTCACCACTCCCTGGAAGTCAGGGTGGGGCTGAGCACTCTGGTCCTTCTGTCTCACAGTCGGTCCCCCTGCAGCCAGCCCCGTCCTGGGAGCTCCCGGTGACCCTTTCTCTCCTGGCTCAGTGCGCTTGCCAGACACCTGTCCACAGTTGCCACTAACAAGGGCCCCACTCACAGCTCAGCACTGCGCCAGATCGGCCGTGGAGGGGCCGTCGTCATTACTCATGCTGTTCCAAGGTCGGGACTCAGGATTTAAGGCGACTATCCTGGATCGCACAGCTGGTAGGAGGTGAGGGACCCTCTGTGGAGAGCTTGAAGCTGGCCTGGGGTCTCCCTCTGGGGCCTCAGCTCACCCTGCCCTGCCGCTGCACCCCCTGCCTGCTCAGTGACATTGCAGAGTGGGGTACCAGAGGGTGGTGCCCTTTGGCCTCATGGACCTGCCAGGTGCCCCTTAGGGGTGCAGCTCTTACCCTAGGACCTGAGTGGGGCTAATTACTGCGCCATATTCCAGAAATCACTCCTCCGGCGTGTGTGTCTGTGTGTGTCTTTGGAACAAGTGCACTAAAGTGCTAGAGGGGCCTGGGCTGCAATGCTCCCCTACAGGTGCCATCACCTCCCACGCTGGCTGATTTTGAGGCCCCCTGTGGAGCTGGGGGCAGCAGATGCCAGGAAGATTTGTGCGGGGGCAGACAGAGTGCTTCCTGGGCCTCGAATCTGCATTCCATGTGGGACCCAGTGACATGGGGAGCCTGCGGGGCCATGGCTGGGTGTTTTCTAGAGCAAGTGAAAGATGCAGCGCCGAGGGTTCCCACCTTTCGCCCAGTGACCCAGCTGTCCCTGTCTCCCCACACTGCACTGAGCAACCCTTAGGCACCCAGTGCCCCAGCTGTCCCTGTCCCCCCACGCTGCACTGAGCAACCCCAATGTGCCCCAAAAGAAACCCACTCGCCAGGTGGGCAGTGTGTCTCTGCCAGGCTGGGATAGAGTATATCCTGCTGTCTTCTTCTCAACGATCTTCCATCCACACACACTTAACTTAAAGCACTGGGGTTCTCCAGGATCAGAGAACTAGTCAGGAGGCTGAGCTGGTTCTTCCTTGTGCTCCAGAGATGGAATCCAGCAATGTCTGCGTTAATCTTTTCCCTGAGGGTAAAGATGCACTAACTCTACCTAGAGGCAGGAAGATGGGCAAAAGGAACTTCCCAATATTCTAGTAACTCACAAAGCTTTCAGCCTACAGTAAAACCCAGTGATCCTGGTACCTAGTAGGTGGCAAATGAATGACTAAACGGATGAATGAATGAATAAATGGAGGACAGAAGGAATGAGGGAATTGGGGATGGGGGAAGGGGCATGGAGGATGAAAGATGAGAGGATAAAGGGAGTATAGAGGGTGGGGTTGGAGGATGGGGGGGATGGGGAAAGGGAAAATAGCAAATGATGTCAGATATTTGCACAATGCCTTGTAAGTGTTGTGTGCAGCGTTTTCAGCATTATTGTGATTATAACCACCATTGTCATCACCATCATTATCATCATCATCATCATCACCATAGCCATTATCATCTTCACCACCATCACCATCACTATCATCATCATAATCACCATCATCACCATCACCACCATCACTGCCATCATCATCACCATGATCACCATTGCCATCATCATCACCATCACCAACACCACCATCATCACCACAATCACCACTGCTATCAACACTGCCATCAAATTACTATCATCACCATCACCACCATCATCACCACCATCATCATCACCATCACCACCATCATCACCATCATCCCCATCATCACCACCACCATCACCACCATCACCATCATCCCCACTACCATCACCACCATCACCATCATCCCCACTACCATCACCACCATCACCATCATCCCCATCATCATCACCACCATCACCATCACCACCATTACCATTATCACCAACACCACCATCACCATTATCACCATCATCCCCATCATAACCACTACCATCACCATCACCATTATCACCACCATCACCACTATCACCATTATTACCACCATCACCATCATCACCACCACCATCACTAACACCATTACTACCGTCATCACCACACTCATCACCATTACTATTATCAAAAAAGTTGTTCTGTTGCTCTGATCTAGTTAAGGAGTGTTTTAAAACTGAACATATGTGAGTAGAGCACAGCTTTTCCCCATTTTTCTTGCCATTAATATTTCTTTACTAATTTTCCATTTGCTTAATCATCTGTTAATGCTCCCTAGTGCATAAGAAATAATAGGCAGTAAGTTTAAGAAAAAAAATGTTGGGAGACACACAACATTTTAAAAAACTAGTTTTATTTCATTGTCTCTGCATCTTGGGTTCTGAGTGATATTTTCCTGCTTCCTGGAGGAATTTGGTTAACTTACAGCACTGGGGTTCTCCAGGGTCAGCGAGTTTGTCCTGCTGGGTGAGGTATAAGTTGACATCCAAGGAGTTCAAAATAGTGCAGTCACAACAGCTATGAGCCTCCAAATGACAGCACCTTTTTTTTTTTGTATGTATATATTGCTGGTTTCTGCCTGTGTAAGATACAAGGTGAAGAATGCTGAATGAATCCTGAGAGTAGCTGGGAGTCAGGTAGATCTGGCCTCCAGTGAGTCTTCTCCCTTCCCAGCTGTGCTGACTTCCAATTAATAACAACATCTGTCACCAAGATGCTGGGGGGGATTATGCCAGTGGGGAGAGCGCTTGCACAGAGTCAGTACCTCGTGTGTGCTCCAAAATGCCACTCTTATTGCTATGCAGAAAGAAAACACTCTCTGTCCTTGGGGGCAGGCAGGGACAAATGAGGTCAAGCTAGAGAGATGAGGTCTGAAGCTACTGCATCAGTAGTTAGAGTTGATATCAAAGGTGGCAACATGATGTTGCAGGAACAAATAAATTTGAGTTTGGATTACAAGCATCTGATGTTTGCATGTAGAGGACAAGCAGTTGGGTTTGCATCTCCTTGCCACTCTCATAGCACTAGTATGTGTGTATGGGTGGAAGATCATTGAGAGTAAGAGAGCAGGATGTACTCTACTGCAGTCACGAGAATCCCAGCAAGGTTCTGCCTGCCTATGAGCTGCCTTCTCTTTGTGGTGGGCAGGCCTCCCTGGTCCAAGTCCACCTCATGTGACTCCTGAGCATCCTTCAAGTATGTGCAGTTGCTCTGTCACTATCACCAACATCATCAGGATCACCTCACCACCATCATTATCACCATCATCACCATCACTATCATCTTCACCATCACTATCACCATCACCATCATCACCATATCATCATCATCGTCATCATCATCGTCACCATCATCATCAGCATCATCACCATCACCACCATCAGCATCATCACCATCACCATCATCGTCATCACTACCATCACTATCACCATCATCATCATAATCATTATCATCACCACCACGTCATTAACACCATAATCACCATCACCATCATCATCATCATTGCTACCATCATCATCATCATCACTACCATCACCATCATCATCATCATCATCATCACCATAATCACCATCACCATCATCATCATCACCATCACCATCACCATCATCACCATCACCATATCACCACCATCATCACCATCATCATCATCATCACTGCCATCACCATCATCATCACCACCATCATCACCATCACCATCACCATCATCGTCACCATCATTACCACCATCACCGTCATCATCCCATCACCACCATCATCACCATCACCATCATCACCATCATCATCATCACTATCATCACTACCATCAACCACCATAGCCATTGCCATCTTTGCCATCATCACCATCACCACCACCATCAATGCCTTCATCACCAGGTGAACACATGTCCTCATGGTCTGATGCTGTGATGTCTCAGGAAGAGGTTCCTTGCACTGGGAATGCATTTTAGATTCCAGTGTGTATGGCCTGGTGATTTTCCAAAGTGTTTGGAGCCATTTCTACTTCCACCTGCAATAAGGAGTTGGTTTCTTTGCATCCTGCCAGGACCAGATGCGGATGCGCTTTACACAGCTGCCAGCTTGAGGATGGAAGAAAAGCGCATTTCATCATCTGTTATCCTGTGTTTCTGTGACCATACTGAGTCCCGTGTGTCTTCTCATGCTGCTGGCTGTGTGGATCACCTTGTCTAGCTTGTTCTCACTTAAACTACTGGATGGGCTCTCTTTTCCCTTTTCACCATGTTTCTTCGCGACAGAGGCCGTCTTCTGCCCAGTTGCCTCCCACATTTCCCCAGTCTACGGCTTGGCTTTTGACATATGCTTCTTCTCCCCAGGTCATTAAAGACAGCTTTAAATAGATCCACGTGTCCCTGACAGCATTTGAGTTTCCTTCTTGAAGAAGTGTATATAAACATTCTCTTAAGTTTTGGGGTAATATGGTGAGATTATTTATTACTTTCAGATTTTAGTCTATCTCTAGTTTGCTTTTTAATAAAATACTAGTTTTGTTCTTTTTTTCTCCCACGTGGAGAGTCAAATATGGAACCAGAATAGGAAATAGCCATTCTCTTGCCAATTCATTTCTGGATGTTTGCCTGATATATATGTAAATTCAGGAATGTCTTTGAACTGACTGCTTGTCACCCTGATTTTTGCTTATGTTTTGCCTGTCCATGTGCCAATGCCACACTGTTTTGACAGTTAGAGCTTTATTGTAGCCTTTAATTTCTGGTAAGGCAATGTCCTCCTCAGTTTTCATCTTCAAAATCCTTTGTCATTTATATCCTGCAAATTAAGGAGGGTAGAGAGCTTTTCTTATATCTGCTTCTTCTCAACTGCTTTCAGCTCAAAAGAATACCTGGGCCAAAGTGGTGCATTATGGAGTGGCAAATTCCAACACCCTTCAGCAGGAAAGGCTGGCCCTGAGGGAGCTGGGGGGCCAGGGCCACTCGGCTGTCCTGGCGATTGCTACCTGGTCATAGGGTCTCCCATGAATGGTAGGAGTTGCATGCATAGTAGCCTTGTGTGGACAGGGCCCTGTGTGTGGTGGCTGTTATCACCACTGTCTGCAGTCAGCAAGAGGAGCTTCCACAGGCAGAGTAAGGCTTGGGGCTGGCAGGATGGGTGATCGGGCAGGGATGTGTGTAGGGAGCAGGGCAGACGAGGTCAGGTCAGCTGGGGACAGAGAAGGAAGGTCTGGGTCCGGGTCCAGGTACCATGCTGAGAACTCGGCCTCTCTTGCAGGCGGTAGGTGGTCTGAGGAGAAGACTCTGCTGAGTTCTATTTGGGAAAGCTTTCTTGGGATGTGGGGAGCCCTGTCACAGACCAGGGATTCAGACGTGCCAAGGACTCACTCAGAAACCTGTTTCTCTCCTGGATTGAACAAATTCTCTTTTGGTCTCCAAATTCTCTGCCCTGAGGGACATCTGTAGGGGAGGCCTCCTGCAGTCTCTGACTTCTGCTGCCTGGAGCGGTGAGCTCCTCTTGGCTTCAAGGGGGCCGTGGATTTCCTCCTGAAGATGCATTGTGCCTTCAGTGGGGAAGCTAGGCCAGGCACCTTCACATGGGAAGATGCCCCTCGCAGGCCTGGGAAGAGCCATTGGGCCATCCATGTGTGTCTCAGAGACCGCTCCCCCGCTCTGGAACTACGTTTCCTGTCCAGGGTGAGGTGGAGATTGACACAGGTGAAGGGTGCAGTGGCTGGAAGGTGCTCTGTGCTTTCATTTTACTCCCGGAAGTTTCTGCCACTTGAAGGGGTGCCCTTGGGTTCCCTTCTGAGATGCCAGCAGGGAGAGAAGCTCTTACCCAAAGACAAATGGCACAGACATGGCAACATCTGTGGGCTGGGCCTCCCCAGGCCCTTACAATGGGAAGGTGCAGTTACATCTCACTGGTACATTCTATTCCCACAAGACGGCCCTGTGTCCCCTAGAGGCCGGTTCACCGATCCTTCCTGGTGGAAGTCATTCTCAGAATGAGAGCTGCCCCCGGGCGTCTGCCTGGACACTGGGTGTCCTCTCCTGTGGACGGAGACACAGGGTATGAGGTCAGACGCTTCTGGACAGGAAACAGGTTTTAAACACCATGTACAAGTGACTCAGACTCACTGAAGCTGTGATGTATGTTTGTCTTTAGAGGGCAGTTTCAGCTGCAAGTTCCCTGTAGGAATCAAGGCTCTCCAGAGGAGCAGACCGGCCAGTGGCAAGAGGAAGTCCCAGAAGAACAATGGAATAAGGTCCAGTCCGAGGGCAGGAGAAGGCTGAAGTCCCAGCCTGAGAACAGTCAGGCTGGGAGAGTGAATTCTCCCTTACTCCTCCCTTTTGTTCTGGGGAGGCCTCTTCTAAAGATTGGACGGGACCCACCCACGCCAGGGAGGGCCCTCTGTTTGAGCCATCCACTGATTCAAATGCATCACAGCTGGGAAGGCCAGACCCACCTGTGAGTGAGCAGCAGACACTATGATGGAGGAGATGCTCCCTCTAAAGACACTTGGAGTGGGAAGCAGGGGTTTGGGAGAACTTCCTCGTCAGCTAGATGGGATTATTATTATTTATTTTAAGGATAGAGTTTCAAAAGCCACTCATAGCTATTGGTCAGACACTTAGGTGGAAATGGGAAGCTTTCTGCTGGTCTATAGATACATACTGGTCGTAGTGGCTTTGGTCCTGACCTGTACGGGAAGGAAAAGGCCTTCACATTCTATGGGATGACACTTCCCACTTCTTTGCATTGAGTGATGATGGATTTCAGAATGAAGGAGGGAAAAATTCATGGGCTCATTTTTAGGACATGGATCAAGGAACTTGTAATTAGACGACAATCCCGTGCCCTGTGTCAGTGAAAAAGAGACAAACTCTAAAATATTTGAAGGGATTTATTCTGAGCCAAGTACGTGTGACCAGGGCCTGAGGCACAGTCTCAAGAGGCCCTGAGGTCATGTGCCCAATGTGGCTGGGTCACAGGTTGGTTTCATGTATTTTAGGGGACAGAAGTTACAGGCAGACATCAATCAATGCATGCAAGGTGTACATTGGTTAGCTCTGGAAAGGCAGGACAGCTTGAAGTAGAAGCTTCCAGGTCATAGGTGGACTCAGAGATTTTCTGATTGGCAGTTGGTTGAAGGAGTTATTATGTAAAGATCTGGAATCAATAGAAAGAAAGGAATGTCTGGGTAAAGATAAGGGGTTGTGGAGACCAAGGTTCTTATTATGTCGATGAAGTCTCCAGGGAACAGGCTTCAAAGGGAATAGAGGGCAAATGTCTCTTATCAGACCTAAAAAAGGTGTCAGACTTGGTTAATCTCTCCTCCATCAGGAAAATTAGATGACGGGAGGGGATCTTTCTGGAAAGGGAAGGGGATTCTTTACAGAACACAGATTTTCCCCATGAGAGACCACTTTGTGGGGCCATTTCCAAATATGTCAAAGAAATATATTTTGGGGTAAAATACTTTGAGTTTTTTCAGGGCCTGCTGTCTGTCACGTGATCATGTTAGTTAGGTTGGAATTGGTACCTCATTGCTAAAAGAGTCTGTTTTTTCAGTCTTAAGGTCCTCGTTTCAATGTGAATGCCGGCCACCTGTGCCTGACTTTCCAAAGGGAGGAGGGTAGAATGAGGCATGGCCTGAACTAGTGTTTCAGGCTTACTTTGGAATCCCCTTGGCTGAGAGGAGGGATCCATTCGGTTGGTTGGGATCTTAGGATTTTATTTCTGGTTTACGCAGGTGTGCTGGGATCACCTTCCCATGCCATCTCCTTCTGGTTCCACATCCCCCACTGTGTCCCCAGGAAATGGCTACTTGTGAAAGCAACCTTGGAGAATACATTTTGACAATAAAATAAAGCTAGGAACAGTTCTCCCTGACTTTTCAGATTAGGGCATGAGAGGATCTTTCTAGCAGGGGCATTGGAAACATTCATTCCCTTCTTGCAGCTTCTCTGTCTTCCTCAGTAGGTGGTGGGGGCTGGTCAGGTGGACGCTATGTGGCCTCGTTTGGCAGCCGTGCACATTGTCCTGCAGCCGTGCATCTCCCCACAGCCACGCATGTCATCCTGCAGCTGTGCATCTCATGGGCCTGTGAGGCTTTGCCCATCCCTCCCCTCCCAGTCTCCTCCCGTGTGTGGACTCAGTGCTCTCTGGATCTCTGCTGTGGGCAGCCCTGGCCTCCGGCCGCAGGATCCTGAAAGACAATGAGCCTCCTTCCAGCAGAGCTTGAGTCCACGCCGGGGTCTGGATGCCCCACTCTAGACCGATGGAGAGACCCCCCCAGGTCCACGTCCAGGCACCACGTGCAGGGAGCAGGTCTGGGGCATCCCTTACCTGCAGGCAGGGGCCTGGCTCCACTTCCAGGCCAGCCAGGAGCACGTGGCGTGGGACCCTCCTTGAGGAATGGCCCGGGGATGCCTTTTAGGGAGCGGAAAGCTCTGTGGCTTGATGAAGGGCCATTGCTGCAGGAACCCTCAGAGCAGCCCTGAGCTCTTCCCAGAGGCACTTTCTGTTTTGCGACACGAATTTGCTCTGAAGCCTTTGAAACGCTTTCTTGTGAATAGAGAGGGGCTGACTTGGTGCAGCTATGGAACAGAAGCGGCGGTTTGGCTTTTCCCACGAGAACTTTCTGGGAAATCTGCTAACCGCCAACAAATGAGGTGCGGATTCAGTCTGCCATCTCCGGGGTGAAGGTCCCAGGGTGGGGGCTGCTTCCTGAGAGCGCGGAGGCTGCAAGGCCGCCAGGCTCCTTCCCTACCCCGAGCACGACTGCCCACCTGCAGCCTCCCCAGCCTCGCCCTGCAGCCTCCCCCGCCCCACTGCACCTTCAAAGCTGTTCTGATGTTTGCAACAGACTAATCTCCCATCAGAGCCCTCCCTGCGAGGAACCGCTTAACAACGTGGACAGAAGTAAATCTCTTGGTTCCATCCCATTTTGTGAAGGTTCTGGTGGAGGTCAGCATCAGGGTTTTCCATCAGAACAGAACCAAAGCTATGGGAATTTTTTGGATCTGAGGTTGTGAAGTGATGAGGTCTTCTCTGGGTGTTTTTTAGGGAGCCTAAGAACCCTGTTTCAGACAAAATAACATGGAACACTGCCCCAGGAGAGATGCGAGGTGGGGAAGAAACGCCTGGCTGTGCAGACCCTGTGTGCGCTGGACGCTCCACCTGCCGCCGGGAGCCGGGCAGAGCAGGGAGCATTCAGTGTCTCATCTCAAGGGCCCCGACCTCCAGCACAGACACATGCACTGGTCACGCCGGAGGGCAGAGCCCACAGGGAGAATTCCCGGCCCCAGCACTGCCGTCTGCGGCCTCTGCTCATCACAGACCCTGCTCGGGCCTCAGGCTGCTGGGAGGCATGGCTGAGCTTGGGCTTGCCTGGGCCTGTGTCCCGCTGGACTGCCAGGTCATGGGGGTGAGTTTGGGGACAAAGAGGGGCCGGATCCACGGGACGCGTGAGAGTGGGAAGAGAAGAAGGATGGCCATGGAGGGAGGGACAAAGGGAGGGGGTAAAGAGGCAAGGAGGCCCCGCTGGCCCCAGGCCCCACATGGCCACCCTCCCTCACACAGGTGTCTCCAGGGCACCCATCTCCTGCCCCCAGCACAGCAGCCTCTCCCACGGCCAAACCCCTCGTGTGCTCAAGGTGGCTGCAGCAGCCCCGGGGCTCATATCCCATTAAAATATCCAAAGGCAGGAGGATCAGCCAGGGCATGTTCTTCTTGGGTTTCTCTTAAGATCCTTGAGGAACTGCACTGGGGTGGCCGGATCCTACACACATCTTGTTGCTGGAGTCACTACGCAGACCTGCACGGGTCTTGGTGAGGAACGGGCTCCGGGGCAGCTGAGACTCTCTTTCCTCCGCTGGGTAGGCCCTGTGTGAGGCACTCTGTGAGGAGGAGGAGGGAGCTATGTGTTGTGTGGAGGGCAGTGAGAGGTGTTTGCGGCAGAAACCGGGGCTCTGCCACTGAGCCCCGACGAGGGGGAGCTCACAGAGGGGCCCTCCCCGATTTCGAATCACTCAAATAGGTAAAATTCCTTCACCTAAGTCAATTAAACAGTAGTTCCCCTGTAGTTAAACCTGAGGTGTCCCCCAAATCCCCGATCTTTCCATGGTGTTGAACCACATCCTTCCCTGGCCTGGCTTATCTGCAGAAGCATCGCTGTGCATCTCTTGCAGACGGGCCACTCACCATCTATTTTTCCAATCCCTCTTTCCTCTCTGTGTGGGAGTGATAAAGCACAGCTCTGACTCAGTTTCCCCACCCGTGGGGGACAGGTGGTGGCATTTCCCCAGGCTCTATGGGGCGGGCGTGTTGACCCGGGGAGGGACTTGGTCTTGGAGGAGTTCTGTCCGCACACGGGAACCGGGTCTTGTCGGCTGTGTGTGTTGCTTGGACTGAACCCATGGGTTGCGAAGGAAGCAGATGCTGGGTCCAGGGACTGGCAGAGCGTGTCCCACCACCCTCGGGGTCCTGCAGCCCACAATTTTCTGTTGTCACCTGCAGAACCACAAGAACTAATTTATTTGACACACAGCCATGTAATAAAGTATTTAAACGACTGTAGAATTCTCCATATTTTATTTGTTCCTCTTGGAGCTTATGACAGATAACTCAGATTTCATGAAATATATATTTTAAATGTCTTTCCCCACCGAAAGAGCAATTCCCCAGCATGTTAATTAGACGGGAGAGAGGAAACGTGACCACAAAAGCGTATTTATAATGCACCTTATTAATCACCGACTGTTTCCCAGAAAATAATTATGCTGGACAAATGATAATGTTTTGCTCTTCTAACTGTCTCTCCATTTATTCAGAACTCTGGTGCTTCCTATTTGGTATTCGATTAATTATTCTTCTTAGAAAGACAGATTGTTTGTAACTTGTCTCATAGACATTTTTTTGCTAATATGTCTCCCAGGAAGCTAAACGGGGGAAGCGTGTTGCATCTCTGAAGACCTCCTGACAGGCAACCGTCGTCCTCTGAGGGCGAGGAAGGCCAGGGCGACCATCTGGGCAGAGGGTCCAGGGTGGGGCTGGGGGCAGGGTCTTTGCTGGGAAGGACCCCAGCCATGCAGAAACGTGGGTTCCCAGGGGTCCCTCCAGCCACCTCTGTTTTTGGTACCAGAGGAGCTGCAAGCTGGCTCCCCGGAGCTCCAAAGTCCAGGCACCCAGAATCCCAGAGACCTGGCTAGGCAGAGTCTTTCTGTGTCCACCTCCCTGGCCTCATTCACCCCCGACGAGGCTCCAGCTCCCACAGGCGGGGCCAGTGGCATCCAGGTGCTGGCTTTCCTCCCTCGGCTTTAAGGCGAGGTCAGACAGCCTCGGACAGCCTTGATCATGTTCCAAATGTAAGCAAAAAAGAGACAAAACACTTTATTTTGCATTTCTCAACTGAAGCCACTTTAAAATCTACCCTATGGGAGTTCTCTTTACAGACCCTTGGTTCCTTTTAAAAAAAATGGAAAAACAACAACAACCAATTAGGCCCAGTTTGTCAAAAGTTTGTCACTATGTGGAGCATGGGGCCCTGGGTGGGTTCCCAGACCTGATGGACATGGGTTGGTGGCAGCTGCTGTGGAAGATTCTCCGTCTCACCCGACCCAGGAACAGAATCCGCACAGCGGAAGCTCTGGAACCGGTGTTTGCGGAAACCGACCAACGCCGCCCAGTCCTTCTGCTTCTCAGTCAGGGGTGGGAGCCAGGGGATTCGGGGCCCCATGGATACAGGAGCCATGCCTCCCTCTGCAGAAATCCAGAGATGGAGGTGCCCACCTGCTGGCCTGGGCTGGGGAGGGCGGGCCTGGAGGGGTGGGCACGGGAGGTGAGGGGCTGGCTGGGCTGAGAGCCCTGGGATGGCAGAGAAGCTGGGCTGGGTGCCCCGGGATGGCAGAGAACAGGCCTCCTCCTCTGGGTGCCCCTCGTGCCTCATCTGAGGCCTGCACACAGTTGGTGCTAAATCACTGACCTGAAAGAAAAAATCATGGACCTCGCTTCCCCTCCTGTGTTCTTCCCGCCCCACCTCGGGAAGGGTGGCCGGGGTGATCGCTATCCTCTCAGTGGCTGGGTGGCCCAGTGTCTGGAGAGGGGAGGTGCCCCTGCCACCACTGCTCCCTGGCTTGCCAGCTTCTGTGCTCTTCACCTCCCTCTGCTCTTCATCAAAGGCAGGTCCTTGTTGTCGCCGAGGCGTGGGACCACCCAGGCGCCATCTGGAGGCCAGTCCCAGGCTTGTCGCACGCCCTCCTGATCCTCACACCACTGAGGCTTGGCCCATGGCCGTGCCCCAACAGCTGGGCCACAACCCCCTGCATCACCACCCCAAACTCCGGCCTTCCCACCAGACAGTTCAACCTGGGGCCCACGAGAGCAGTGGGTGCACCTGCATTTCTGGCCCTGCCCGCGTCCCCGGGCCAGTGAGTGTTGCCTCTGGCTGGAGTGGGTGCTTCCTCCTCAGGTCTCCCATTAGCAGAGAGGACAGAGCCCAGGGCTCACCTTGCTGCCCCTGCAGCATTCAGGCACATCCTGTTCACATTAACCAATCAGCAGATCACACAGAGCAGCACAAACACCGAGAGAACCTTTCTGAGTGCAAACATGCTGACGTCACGCAGACTCATGCCACCTTCCAGTGACTCTGTGCCAAGCACGCTGATGTCATGCACTAAACACGCTGATGTCATACACTAAGCACGCTGATGTCACACAGACTCACACTGTCTCCCAGTGACTCTGTGCTAAACATGCTGATGTCATGCACTAAACACGCTGATGTCACACAGACTCACGCCGCCTCGCAGTGACTCTGTGCTGAGCACTGAGTGAATGTGGAGTCATCACATGGCTGTGCGCCCTGACACGAGAGCCTGCGTCATCTGAGGTCCTTCGAGCTGCCTGGAGAGGCCCTCCTCGGGAGGCCTGTGGTCCCCGCCTTTCCTGGCTCCGAGGTTGACAAGTCAGGGTTCCTCTTGCTTGGCTGGGCCTGAGCCTGCCCTGGCTGGAAGACGTCTTGGAGGCTGGTGGTACCAAGGAGAACAGGAGATGCTCGGCGCGTTTGTTTATTCTCCTGAATCTCCCTGCCAGCATCGACAAGGGGTCTGTGGTGGGGACACAGGCAGCGCCTGGGCCGTCTCCCCAGGCCTCTGTGCAGTGGGTGGGAAGGTCTCTGAGCTCTGTTTTCGGAGGAAAGAATTTCAGGGCGGCTGGAGAAGAAAGCAGCCCAGGGAGGCGCAGGGAAGGTTCTTTGTCTCCAGTCCAGCGAGGTTTCTTTTCTCTCCAGTGCCCGCCAGCACCCCTGGGACTCACAGCACGGAGGGTGCTTTCGCTGATGACCGGTCAGCCCCGGCCCAGGGATGGGGTCACCCTAGACTGACCGTGTGACTGTCCGGGCTGCAGCCAGGACCCAGGCTGAGAGAAAGCGCCCCTGGGCCCTGGTTTCCCCTCTCAAGGGTGTTTGCATCTCCTGCTGCTCCCTCTCACCCCTGGGCCCTGAGGTCTGCCCCACCCGCATCTGGGTCCATGCACCGAGTCCCACAGCCCTTCCTCTTCCCTGCCGGGAGAAGAACGGCTTCAATTAGATGCAGCAGAAATATTAATCCAACTTCAGCTCTCCAAGTTTCTGCCAGGTGTCTGTGATGTGTGAGTTGGAGCTGAAATGGAAGGAAACGCAGGTGGAAGGAACAGCTGTTACACCTTTCTTATTAAATGAGGAACCGTTAACATGGTTTTCTTCACAGCCAAAGAGATTAAAAATGGATGAGAGAGGAACTTGGTTTCAAATTTAAGTGGAAACAAACAAACAAACAAACAATCTTAAACCAGGAATGGCCGGGACCGCCCTATTATCAGTGAGGGGCTTAATTCATTTCCAGAACTCAGGCGCTGACCCACATGTTCAGGATGCACTGACTGTGCGCTGCTCACACATTCAGAGGGAGACGAGACCACCTTCCTTCCGGGGCTCACAATTTACTCAGAGTGAATGATTTATTTATTGATAGCGAGCAGCGGCCGGCACTGAAGCAGATGCACAATCTCATTTCGCTTGCACCATTTTGCAAGGGAGGCACCAGTGCCACCCCATTTTCGGATGAGGGAATAGCTAGCTGGTGCCACCCCATTTTCGGATGAGGGACTAGCTAGCTGGTGCCACCCCATTTTCAGATGAGGGACTAGCTAACTGCTGCCACCCCATTTTCAGATGAGGGACTAGCTAACTGCTGCCACCCCATTTTCGGATGAGGGACTAGCTAGCTGGTTCCCCAGCTCATTAGGGTCACTGTTAGGGCTTGAATTCAGGTCTGACCACAAAGCATGACAGCTGTGGCCTCTTCCTCCCCTTGGGGATGGCAGGGGCTCTCCCTGCACCCTCTGGGGTGCTTGGCAAACACTATGAGCATCCTTGCATTTTAAGAAGCTCCAGAGAGAAGCTCTAAGGTGGTACAATTTTGTGTGTTGCTAAATCCTGCTCGGAGAAAGCTGCCAATAGGGTTTCACGTTTGTAGATGTTTATCGGAGGTATTGATTGACATTTCCTCATTTTATGGGTAGGATACATGGTTTTATGTGTCCTAAGGATACTGCAAATCGATGCAGACACCGGGCTTTTGCACTGGAAGGTTCTAGTGCGTCTCCTCCGTGCCGCAGGTGAGCGGTTTCCCCGTGTTTTGATTTTCTCCTTGTTCACTTTTAGCTTGTTCCAGCTGCCAGGCTGAGGGGACACCTTACGTCCCTCCCTCCTGAGAGCCGGTTCCTCATGGCTCCTCACACTTCCTGAAGGTTTAATTGTGGATTCTCCACGTTGTGTCTCAGCCTACAAAGACCTGCAGTGGTTGTACCTTGGTTTGAATGGATCCTCATGTCACCCTAAGAGTCTCTTTCCCCATTTGGCACAGTTTGCCGTGGGTGTCATTTGACATCACACCAGGTGGCTCCGGCTTTTCTGCGCGTCGGTTTCTGCCGCGCTGAGTTGCCGCCGCTTGCTCTCTGCCCCTCAGGTTTCCTCTGTGGTTTGGGCTCTGGCTGCCTCTGCAGCAGCTCAGGATATCGGCGTGATTGACACCCACAGCGCAGGGGCCGAACCCCACCGACAGCACAGGTGCCTCCAGAGCCGGCTCCAGGCCCCAGACCAGGAACCTCACCCACATTAACGCGTGACACCCCTGCGGTTCCTCTGAGTTGTGATATGATATGGATAAACATGATCGTCATTACTGTGACTCCTGTTTTCCTTATGTGGAAATCGAGGCACAGAGAACAGGTGACTTCCCCAGGGCAAAGCGGCCATGTGGGGCCCTGACGCAGCTGCCCGGAGCCTCCACCTGGCACGTCCCCTCGCCCATGGCATCGGTGACATTTTCTGTCTGATTTCACTCAGTGGGTTCATCTTTTCTCTCTAAGTGGGAGAGTGTGCCTTTTAGTTGTATTTTGGTAATAGAAGTGCATGGTTTGGGTCTCGCCCTATTTTGTTTTCTATTTACTGTCTCCCATTTCTTCTCTTTCTTTTGGGACAGTCCCCGGGAGTCTCGGCTGTGCTGCTTGTCACCTTTAAACAGTCTGGACACTCCACTGCTTGTTACATTCAACTAAAAACTAACTTGTATTCAAGACGGTGCTGTGAGCCCTGCTGGCTTTGAGAGTGTTCTCTGCTCCAAACAGTTAGGATGCAAGATGACGTGAAGAAAGTGAGAACAGAAAATACATGTGCGCTGCAAACATCCATGACCAATGGGAAGCATGCAGCCCTCTGTGGGCTACAGCAGACAGATGCCCAGCGCCAAGCGAGGGCCAAGGTGGGGCCCAGGGTCTGGACATGGTCAGGAACCGCCCAGGAGGGGAGGGGCCGTGTCCGCCGCCACAGGGGCTGCGCCAGCTTATGCCTAAAACTAGAGCCCTGTGGAGCAATTCCACTTTCTAAAAGAACCTGAAACCTGGTGAAACTGCCCCGAGTGTGGGTTATTTGCTTTTTAAGGCTGTGCTGCTTGGGGCAGGAGAGAGGGGATGCAATGCACGGCAGGGCATGGGCAGGTGCCTGCTGTTTGCATGGCTGCAGACAGAAGGCCGGGGTATTGTCCCAGGGTCCTTCGTCCCTGGAGCTTCGAGAACCTCAGGTCAAGAGGCCACCGTGAGCCCCACCAGGCCAACCCCACTCACCTGCTCTTCTTGCTTTTCACTTCCATCGCCCGGGACCAGGGCGGCCACTTGCATTCCTGCCTCCCATTCTCCAACAGCTTCTTCTCTATCAGCTCCCCCAAGGCTTTCTCCTTAGATGCTGCCTGGAGGTAAGAAACTTGCAGCCAAGACCCTGTGCCGAGGCTGTGCTCTGCGGGGGGCTCTGCCTCTGCCCAGTGGTCCTGGAGGAGAGAGTGGCTGGCTCCCCATCTGCAGGGCCCTTTCTCCCTAAAGGGTGAACCACACCAGGGGGATTCAGCCGCAGCATGTGGAGGTGTGTTCACGGGTCAGTCAGGGAGTAGCGGGTGGGTAATATCTTGCCAGCCACATGGAGCTTGGTGTATGTCAGTGGAGGCAACACGGGCGCGTCACGTATTTTCATATCGAAGAGAGGAAGGTGCACGGCTTTTTCCAGTCTGAAACAGATCTTTTCAGACTATGCCCTGGAAGTAGGGTGCTCACTGGCTACTTTATCTCGGTGTTGCAGTAACTCTACAAGGCCATGGCCTCGGCAAAGAACACTCTTGATATATTTAGGTTTGAATTTCCATGCGCAAGTCATTTTAGGTTCTCAGTTGCTTTCTTCATGTAAAGGGAGGATTGCAAAGATGTTGTTGAAATGTATGCGGTCATTTCTGCTTTGGAGACTCCAGAAGCACTCTGAAAAGATAATGGTGATTTTTAAAACGAACTCTTTGTTGGCTGTAGAATGATGCTTCTGTTTGTGCTTCCTGTTGCCATGGATACTGCCAGGAAAAGCTCCAACTACCCCAGGGCTATGTGTCCATCTCCATTCACAAAATAGCTGCTGAAAACTCCCAGCTGGGGGCTTGCTGCCAGGACACGGTTTTCCTAGGGCAGCAGCATCTTCCTCTGCCCTTCTAAACAAAGGAAACCTGGGGGTGTGTCTGCCTGGGGGGCTCAACCCAGGTGAGAATCTGGACAGTCATCCGGCTTACACTGAATCTACCCAGGAATGAGGCCTAGAAGGGGCTCCATGAATAAGTACCTACCTTCTCCTACTGCCGTACTTTGTCTGCATGTAATTCTGCATGTGTCTGTTGGATGGATGACTGGATGACTGGATGAATGGGTAGATGGATGGGTGGGTGGAGGATGGATAGATGGAGGGATGGGTTTATGGGTGTATGAAAGGATGGATAAATGAATGGGTGGATGGATGAATGGGTGGATGGATGGACAGATGAATAATGGATTCATGGATAGATGGAGTGATGAATGAAGGAAGGACGGATGGGTGAATGGGTGTATGGATGGATGGGTAGATGGGTAGATGGAGGAAAGGATGGATGGGTGAATAAATGGATGAGTAGATGGGTGGATGGAGAGATTAAGGGATGGAGGGATGAGTAGGTGGACGGATGGATGGGTAGATGGGTAGATGGAGGAAAGGATGGATGGGTGAATAAATGGATGGGTAGATGGGTGGATGGAGAGATTAAAGGATGGAGGGATGAGTGGGTGGATGAATGGATGGATAGTTGGGTGGGTGGATGAATAGATGAGTGGGTGGATGAATGTATGTATGTATGGATGGATAGGTGGATGGATGGATGGGTGGGTGGTTGGATGAATAGTGAATTGATGGATGGGTGGATAAATTGGTGGATGACCCACATAGTTTTGGGCTGGAAAACCAAAGCATATACTGAGATCTCCCCCTCTGCCTGCAGTGAGTTTTCTCTTGGAATTCCATCTTGCCCCCATGCCAATCCTAAAGTGTATTTCTGTGTTGCATGTTGCTTGCTGTGCAGACACTATCCCCTAGTAAGGAAGAGGAAGGCAGAGCCAGCCTTCATCCCATAAGTCAGCATTGACTTTCAAAAGTAAGATTTTTTAGTCAAAGCAGGTACAGCAGTCTGAAATCCATAGTGCTTTTGATTTGCCAAGGCCAATCATTGGAAGGAGATAATTTCTTTTTAAGTTATCCAAAAGTTTGCTTACAATGTAAGAATAGCTTCTCGATCCTCCTTATCCTCCCAGGCAAGCCCATGGAATTTTCGGAAAAGGGAGAGTCATCAGACGGGAGAGGACTGGGTGCTGGTGAGCATCCTGGAAAGTGCCCAGCACAACTTATGCCTGGCTGAGCGCCTGTGTGTGTGTGCCTGTATGTGTGTGTGCATGTTGTGTGTATGTGTGATGTGTGTGGTGTTTGAGTATATGATGTGGTGCGTGTTGTGTGTATGGTGTGTGTGTGCTATATGGTGTATGTGCGATGTGTGTGTGGTCTTTGAGTGTATGGTGTGGTATGTGTGGGGGAGTGTGGTCTGTATGCTATGTGTGTGGTATGAGTGTGTTGTGTGTGTATGGTGTGTATGTGGTGTTTGTGTATATGGTGTAGTGTGTGTGGGAGGGGAGTGTGGTATGTGTGGTGTGTGTGGTATGAGTGTGATGTGTGTGTGGTGTTCAAGGACATGGTGGGGTGTGTGGTGTGTTGGGGTGTGTGTGATGTGTATGCTGTTTGTGTGGTATGAGTGTTGTGTATGTGTGTGGTGTATGTGTGATGTGTGTGGTGTTTGAGTATATGGTGTGTGTGTGTGTGGGGGTGTGGTGTGTGTATGATAGGAGTGTGTTGTGTGTGTGTGTGCTGTGTATGGTGTATGTGTATGTGATAAGTGTGTGGTGTTTGAGTATATGGTGTGGGGTGTGTGAGAGGAGGTGTGTGGTGTGTTTATGGTAGGAGTGTGTTGTGTGTGTGTGTGTGTGCTGTGTAGGGTGTATGTGTATGTGGTGTGTGTGGTGTTTGAGTATGTGGTGTGGGGTGTGTGTGTGGGTGTGTGGTGTGGGTATGGTGTATGTGTGGTATGAATGTGTTGTGTGATGTGTTTGTAATCTCCCAGTTAGGCTTGACTATCTAGGGAAAAACATAAAGGCTGACATATTGTAGCTAAGGAGGATTTAACAGGAATTCAAGGCTGGTTCAACATTGATTAATTGACCAGTGTAACTTACCATACCGAAAAGCATATGATCATCTCAATTCATAAAGAAAATGCATTCGAGAAAATTTGATATTCATTTATAATTAAAAAAAAACCCCAAACACTCAGAAAAATAGGAATAGAAGGAAACTTCCTTAAACTAATAAAGGCCGTGGTGTTAGTCTGCTCAGACTGACAGAAGCCACAGATTGGGTGGATTAAACAACAGAAATTTTCTCACAATTCTGGAGGCTGTAAGCCAAGATCAAGGCTCCAGTACAAGGCTGGTTTCTGCTGAGGGCCCTCCTCCTGGCTTGTAGGTGGCTGTCTTCTTCTTCTTCTTCTTCTTCTTCTTTTTTTTTTTTTTTTTTTTTTTGAGAAAGAGTCTCGCTCTATCACCAGGCTGGAGTGCAGTGGTGCAATCTTGGCTCACTGCAACCTCTGCCTCCCAGGTTCAAGCGATTCTCCTGCCTCAGCCTCCCAAGTAGCTGGGACTACAGGCACGCACCACTATGCTTGGCTAATTTTTGTGTTTTTTAGTACAGATGGAGTTTCACCATGTTGGCCAGGCTGGTCTCAAACTCCTGACCTCGTGATCCACCAGTCTTGGCCTCCCAAAGTGCTGGGGTTACAGGTGTGCACCACTGCGCCTGGCCAAGTGGCTGTCTTCTTCATGTGTCTTCACGTGTTCTTTCCTTTGTGTGTGTGTGTGTGTGTGTGTGTGTGTGTGTGTGTGTGTAGAAAGAGAGAGAGAGAGAAAGTCTTTTTTGCCTCTCCCTCTTCTTATAAGGACGCCAGTCCTATTAGATCAGGGCCCCACCCTTACAACCTCATGTAACCTTAATACAGTAATATTCAGGGTTAGGGTTTCAATATGTGGATTTTGGGGGGACATAATTCAGCCTGTAACAGGATTTATAAAAAATCTTTGGTTATCATGGTCTACAACGGTGAGAGAATAAATGCTTATCTTAGAGATAGAAAACGAGGCAAGGATGTACCAGATAGGGCTTGGCTCAGTGTCCCCACCCAAATCTCATGTTGAATTGGAATCTCCAATGCTGGGGGAGGGACTGGGTGGGAGGTGATTGGATCATGGGGGCGGATTTCCCCCTTCTGTTCTCGTGACAGTGAGTGAGTTCTCATGAGATCTGATGATTTAAACGTTTGAGGCTCTCCCTGCTTCGATATTTCTCTCTTGCCAACAAATGAAGATGTGCTCACTTCTCTTTGCCTCTGCCATGATTTCTCAGGTAGTTCTTTACAGCAGTGTGAGAATGAACTAGTATATACCACAAGTATCCTACATCCTGCTGGAAATTTTAGCAGTGAAAAATGTAATGGAAAGAAATAAAAAGATCTATATTTTGGAAAGGAAGGAACAAAATTATCTCTATTCTCAGAAATAACTGGTCTTAGACAAATAAGTTCATTAAGAAAGATTGCAAAATACAAAGTCAGTTTATAAAAATGACTTGTACATCTGTATACCAGCAATGCATAATTGCAAGTCAAAAATGTAAAAATACACGACTATTTACAATAAACTAAAAGAGGGGTACGTATGTCTAAATCTCACAAAATACATGTAGGATCTGTAAGGTGAAAACTATCAAACACTGGTGAAAAAATTAAGAAGACATCAGTATGTGAAGAAGTGAGCCATGTTAATGAGTTAGAAGATCGATCCTGTGAAAATGTTGGCCTCCTGAAACTTATCTGTCGTTTAACACAATCCCAGTTAAAATTTCAGTTATTGTAGAAATCAGTGAGTGGATTGTAACGTAATGTTACAACGTAACAAATGTAATGTAACAATGTAATATAATGTAAATGTAAACGTAAAGGCGTGAGAACTCCAACAGTCAATTTTGTGAAGGAGAGCTACTGGGAGAGTCAAATCACCTGTTTTCGGACTTACTCTAAAACTACAATAAGAAATGTAGTGGTATTGGTAAAAGAATAGAGACACAGATCGATTGATTAGAGCAGAGAGTCCATATATAGGCCCATACATGGATGGTCAATTGTTTTATGCAAAGGTACAAGAGCAATTCAAGGAAAAAAGGACGGCGTTTTCTGCAGTGATGCTGATGGCACTGAATTCCGTAGGCAAAAAAAAGAACCTGGATCCATACCTTGCACCCCTACAAAAATCAGCTCGAGAGGTTCGTGTTGACTGTATTTGTTCCCAAGTTGGTCTTGAGGCCCCTCTCTGGAGAGCGGCTATAAACTCTAGTCCTGCCCTGGTGGGGCCCAGGGTGGGGGGCAGTGGGTGTCTACGGGCTGTCTCTCAGGGGATTCTTCTTTATCTTTGGTAGCAGAAGGCCTGATACTCAAGTGCCCAACCTGTGACCAGATGTCCCTCTCTCAGGACACTTGTTTATCCTGCAGATGCCCTGGGGGCTCCTGTTGGACCTGTGTCCAGTTTATTCCCACAAGACTAGACAGCCACTCCCTGGGAGAGCGCTGGCTGGGAGGAGGGTTCAGTGGTGTCAGTCAGGTGAGGCACGTGGGAGCCGGCGCAGCATAGAACAGCACGTGGAATCACAGAGGCCGTGCGTGACTCACAGAGCCAGAGAGGAGAGGGCAGCATGGCCCACAGGGCAGGGGTGTGGGGAGCCGTCAGAGCCGTTGGGACCCATTCAGCCAGGGCGCGGGGAGAGAGGAACTGTGGGCCAAGGCCTTTGCTGGGGCCTGGGGCGTTACCCAGGCTGTGGGGAGAGAGGGACTGTGGGCCAAGGCCTTTGCTGGGGCCTGGGGCGTTATCCAGGCAGGTTCCTGCCAGGAGTTCTATCTGGTGCCTTTGGAGCAGGCAGGCACAGGCTCCGTGGGGGCACGCTGGGACTGAGGGGTCACTGTGATGTCTGTGCAGGCTCCGTGGGGGCACGCTGGGACTGAGGGGTCACTGTGACGTCTGTGCAGGCTCCGTGGGTGTAGGGGTGAGGAGTGAGTCAAGTGGGCTGTGACCAGCTGTCCCATAGGGAGTTGGACACCAGGGCCAGGGTCACAGTCTGCAAAACATTTAGGATCCTAAACATAAGAGAAAAAGACAAGCAGACCAGCAGAAAAACCGGCAGAAAAGGAGCGACGGGGAGTTTGACAGAACAGGAACCATGCCTGGGCTCCTGGGGGTGCGTGTGAGCAGGAACCAGGGTCCTGGGGGGACGTGCGAGCAGACCCTCAGCTCCTGAGTTGACCAGGGCAGTGCGGGGTCAGCCTGCGAGGAAACATCGTCCCACTGTAGGCCCGGCGGACACTCAGCAAGGAGGACAGCTCTGCGCTGCCCATGGGACAGGAGTGGCTGCAGCCACAGGGGGAAACACGTTGTCATCAGCTGGTGAAATGAGGGGTCCGAAGACCCCCCGAGTCCTGGAGATGTGCGTTTGGCGACTTGGAGGTCTGAGCGGGAAGGTGTGTGCGGGGCTGGTCTTGGCAGCACCATTCGTGACAGCAGATGCTGGACACAGCCTTGGTGTCCTGTGACCAGAAAATAAGCATGAGATCATTGTGTGGCCACACCACGCAATGGCACTGAGTAAACTCGGCTGTGTAGACAGACGTGGCCGGGGCTCAGGGACTTGTGGCTGGGTGGAGAGAGGAGTGTGCAGTGTGCACATGGTTTAGACGGCATTCACAGACTCAGACACCTGAAGTCAACGGCTTGGGGTACGCACACGTGTGCTGGGTGATGCCCTGCAGCTCTGGTTTGGGGTTAACGTGGGTGGGAGTGAGGGTGCCTGTCAGAGGACGGGGAGAGGGGCTTCGGAGACGTGGAGGCAGGCTGTGGGGGAGCCGCCTGTGCGAGTCTCCACTCGTCACAGTTGTATCAAGATCATTCTTTGAAGGGCCTCTGTCCTGCTCCCCCCTGGGGCTCCCACAGGTGGCCCCTCAACCTGGGGCTGTGCCGTGAGTGTGATCCTGTGCCCTCCTCATGCAGGGGAAAGACATGCTTTCTGGAGCCTTTGGATAGAAAAGATGAGACCCAGGTAGGGTCTGATGAAGTGGAGCAGAGATCTTTGATGGCACATGTGAACAGCTGCGTTTCTGCCATGCGCAGCGGGGTGACACCAATAGCACGCGGCAATGAAACCGACTCCAAATGTTCCTTTTGTTTCAAGCTCTAAGGAAATTACAGACCTAAAAGTACAGTTACATTTTACCAAAACAACCCCAATGCGACCCTAGCTGTGCTCCCGGGGCACGTGGCGCTGCGTGGGGCGGGATGGAGGGAGGCTGTGGCCGGAGGCTTCAGGGTCCTCACTGTGCTGCCTGTCCTCGGGATGTCCCGGGGGCGAGTCCCCAACAGGCCTGGTCCTGGGGAAAGAGCGCAGCCCTCAGCACAGTCCTTGCTGCCTGGACAGGAGCGGGGCCGGGGATGCTTCCCCGTGACAGGAGGGAGAAGGGATGAGCAACAAACCTGAAGGCTGCGTCTCACCCCAGACGTGGATTGTTTGAACCCGGAGATGAGCGAGTTAGCCCGGAAACGACTAAGCCAACATTTCAGGAGTTTCCTTTTCCTTGGGCCACCAAGTGTGCAGCCTGAGAACCGGATCTGTTGCCTGCCCTGGGCACAAGGGGAGGCGCCTCCTGGCTCTTCCCAGGATGACCTTCCGGGCACAAGGGGAGGCGCCTCCCGGCTCTTCCCAGGATGACCTTCCGGGAACAAGGGGAGGCGCCTCCAGGCTCTTCCCAGGACGACCTTCCGGGAATAAGGGGAGGCGCCTCCCGGCTCTTCCCAGGATGACCTTCCGGGAACAAGGGGAGGCGCCTCCCGGCTCTTCCCAGAACGACCTTCCAGGCCTCTGGGATGAGCGTGTCCCCAGAATCTGCTCTGTTCACCTTCATCCAGGCCTTTGCCTCTGAAGGTGAGTCCGAGTCCCCCTTTACACCACAGCCTGGCTGAGCGGAGTCTTGGTGCCCCTGGCAGCTGTTCATCCCCATCACTGGCCAACTCCCTCCCAGGGCACTCCCTTCTGCCCTGATCCCATGACAGTCCTTGACGTGACTCCGAGGCACTGCCTGAGGCTCCATTTCACAGCAATCTTGGGCCCTGCCACGCAGGCTGCAGCCGTGGTCAGCTGGGTGTCCTGGACCCCTGGCACGGGCCATTGCTGTCCTGGCTGCGGGGAGATGAGCCCGCAGCAGAAAGTTTGGGAGAGTTTCATTTGCACTGGTCACCCTGCGTGGGCAGCAGACCCACGGGGCAGGCTGGCCACTTCCTGTGGTCTGGGGAGACACACTCACCCCACACATTCCCTGGCTGATGGCCTCACAGAGCCCGACCCCAGACCTGTGCGCGAAGTGTCCTCTTGGTCACATCCATCGATCACCTTGCCTGATTCCGCTGTTCCGGTGAAAGAGCCTTCTAAATCTGGATGCCCCGGTACTAATTATAGCACAGATTGCGTGGGGAATTCGGCGGCCTGCACTGTGGCAATCCAGATTAAGCAATTAACCTTGATGTCACTGTAATTATTAAGATGCGTTAGCAAAATGAACTAATTTCCCCACAGGATGTTGAACCGAAATCAACTTTCACTCTTTAAGATGCCAAAATAGGAAATGTTAATGGAAAATTACGTGCGAATGTTTAATAAATCTCCCAGGCCCGTGGCTCCTTGTGAGTCTGGGCTGTGGCCTGGTTTTCAGGTGCTCACAGGTGACGACTGAGTGGCTGGGGCAGGCACCCATGTCGGGACGGGATGTCGCACCTGTGGACTCCAGGGGCCAGGAAGAGGATCCTTCAGCGACCTGCCCGGGAGCCTGGAAGCTTCCACAGGGCAGGAGGGTGTGTTCTGCAAACTGTACCGTGCAACTGTGAGGGCAGCTGCTGCCTGGCCCCCCGCAGGCCCCGAGGCTCCCGTGCTCCCCTTGCTCCGTCCATATCTTCCTGGCTTCCCTCCCACAGGCTCAAGGGCAAGAGTGTGCACCATGTGGACACCGTGTCCACCCGCTGGCCGTGGGTGCTCCGGCGTCTGGGGAGCGTCTCGGGTGCTCCGGGAGCCATCACTCTCCAGTTTTCTCTGCAAAGGTCCATGATGATGTTGTGGCTGAGCTTAGAAAGAGACTTTTTTTTATCTGCCCAAAATGCTTGGACGTTTTCTGTCCCCTTCACTTCACTCCTGGAAAAGACAAGGCTCAGGACAATCTGTGGGTGTCTCTCTTCTTCTGAAGCCAAGAGCCACTTTTGGGTTTTTTTGTTCGTTTGGATGGAGTTTCGTTTTGTCGCCCAGGCTGGAGTGCAGTGGCATGATCTTAGCTCACTGCAACCTCCACCTCCCAGGTTCAAGTGATTCTTCTGCCTCAGCCTCCTGAGTAGCTGGGATTACAGGCATGTGAGACCACGCCCGGCTAATTTTTTTTTTGTTTGTAGAGATGAGGTCTCCCTATGTTGCCCAGGCTGGTCTAGAACTTCTGGTCTCAAGCAATCTGCCCGCCTCGGCCTCCTAAAGTGCTAGGATTATAGGTGTGAGCCATCACGCCAGGTCAAGAGCCACTTTCTAAAGTAACCTTTGGACATGCTGCCCCCCCCTACCCAGGCCCTGGGTCCCCTCCCAGCTCCTGGGGCTCCTCCACCTTACAGGGCTCTCCCGAGGAGGCCTGGCCCACCCACCCCACTCTCTGCATGGATGGGCAGAGGCTCTCTCCCTGCCCACTCTGGGCCTTGCTGACACCTGGGCCTTGCCTCCATGTCCCAGGTGAGCCTGGCCTCTCTCTCCGGCTTTCAGAATCACACACTAGCAGGTCCCAAGCTAGCGGCACAGAGCTCTTCCTTCTGCCTCAACACCACCCACCCTTCTCAGCAGAAGGCCCAGCACATCCTGCCCCTGCTCCTCCCACCGGGCTCCAGAGAGAGCTGCCCCGTGATCCATGCACACACCAGTGCACAGGGGTCCACACCGCCAGGCGACAGCACGCTGGGTGCAGTGTCTGCTTGCTCTGCCTCCTGCCTCAGGACCTGGGCCCCTCAGACACCCAACTGCTCCCTCCCGGAGGCTCGAAAGCCAGCAAAGGAAGGGATAACCATCATTTATTCATCTATCCATCCATCCATCCATCCATCCATCCATCCATCCATCCATCCATCCATGCATCCATGCATCCATCCATCCAATCCATCCATTCATCCATCCATCCATCCATCCACCCACCCAGCCACCCATTCACCCATCTGTCCATCCATCCATCCATCCATCCATCCACCCATCCACCCACCCATTCACCCACCCATTCACCCAACCATCCATCCATCCATCCATCCACCCACCCACCCATTCAACCATCCATCCATCCACCCACCCATTCACCCACCCATCCATCCACCCATCCATCCATCCATCCACCCACCCACCCAATCAACCATCCATCCATCCATCTTTCCATCCATCTATGTATATTTATGTATTTTAAGGAATTTCCTCATACAATTGTGGAGTCTGAAATCTGCAAGGCAGGTGGCAGCCTGGAGACCTAAGGAGAGCTGCAGTTGGAGTCCCAGGGCCTCTGCTAGCAGAATTCCTTCTTGCTTGGGGAGGTCCATCTTGGTTTTCTTAAGACCTTCAACTGATTGAATGAGGCCCACCTGCATTTTGGAGAGCCACCTGCTTCCCCAAAGTCCACTGATTGAAATGTTACTCTCAGCCAAAAAGCACCCTCCCAGAAACATGAGAACCAGAATTAGTGCTTGACCAAATATCTGGGCACTGTGGCCCAGCCAAGTTGACACAATTACCCATCACAATGCTGGTGCCAGGGAAGGGAAGGAAAAGCTCTTCCCTGTGAGCTGGTGACCTGGGGTCCTGGGCTGGGATAGCTCAACAGGAAGTAAATGTCCCTCTCCAGAGACAGCCCCTCCTGTGTCTACAGATGTCCTGATGTAACATGTCTTTTAAAATGAGGGTTTGTTCATGAAATTTTTTTCTTAACCAATAAAATGGATTAAGTAGAATGCATAGTTTAAATGTTTAGTTCTTTAGTTATGGGTAGGGTTGAATCTTTCTGTACCTTATCAGCCACTTGTATTTCTTTTTTACTTTGTTGCCTATTCATATTGCTTTCCCAGTTTTCATGGGCACAACATTATTTAATAAATACATTTTATAAATTAAGAATTAAAAATTACTTCCATTCCCCACCCCCCAAGTAAGGCTGTACACTAAAGAAAAAGTGAAGAATTGCAGAAAATCAGCACATGCTTTCGGCTGTAGCTGGTGGAGTCTGATTTTCAGTGGTTTGTGCCACTAGGGTATGTATTGTCTTCATGGTGGGATTTTAGGGGATGGGTGGTCCCAGCATTGGTTGAGGGCTCAAAGATGCCCCTGGGACACAGACTGTGTCCCTCCTGTGTGACTGCGCTCAGCTTGCGGCCTGAGTCCCGCCCCACTCACCTCTGGGCACTCATCCCCACATGACAGCAGTATCGAGGGCAGGAAGGGCCGGCGGTGGGGAACAGGCCTTAAATGTCTTTGATTCTCCTGGCCTGAGTTTCATCTGGGATGACCCAGGGAGGTTCCAGAATGCTCTCCTGGGTCTCCAAGAAGAGCCACTGGGGCTACAGCTCTGGATCAATCGTGAAACTGGCCTCCATCGGAAGGCCTGGCGCCTCTGATTCACACGGGCTTCCCTGTTCCCCTGACCTCAGCCACCTGCCTTGGGGTCCCCAGTGGAGCCCAGCGCTTGCCCGCAGGGTTAGGCTTACGTGGGAGGCAGATTGTGAACCTTTGCACCTGTGAAAACAAGCTGCCTGCGCGTCGGGCACACTCCAGGGCCTGCAGTTTGCGTTTCTAAGTCCCTTCCTGTCAGGGTCTGCACCATCCACCCTCCTGCTTTTTAAAAACCCTGCTTTCAGCCAGGCGCGGTGGCTCACGCCTGTAATCATAGCACTTTGGGAGGCCGAGGCAGGCGGATCACGAGGTCAGGAGATTGAGACCATCCTGGCTAACACGGTGAAACCCTGTCTCTACTAAAAATACAAAAAAAAAAAAAAAATTAGGTATGGTGGTGGGCGCCTGTAGTCCCAGCTACTGGGGAGGCTGAGGCAGGAGAATGGCTTGAACCCGGGAGGTGGAGCTTGCCGTGAGCCGAGATTGTGCCACTGCACTCCAGCCTGGGTGACAGAGCAAGACTCCGTCTCAAAAAAAAAAAAAAATGTAGAGGTGAAAACCCTGCTTTCGCATCGAGGAGGCGTTCTGGGAACTAGTGGCTCCACGGCGGGTCTTGGGCCAGAGCCCGGGGTGTGTGAAGTCCCGAGTCACTTTTCCTTTGCCACCAGCAACTGAAGAAAGAGCAGTCCTGACCGTTCAGATTTGAGAACCCACGTCCGTGTTCGCTGCTCAGCTCCCTGGGTCTGTTGGAAAGGGTTAACAAGCTCAAGTAGCGGGTTTTGAAATCACCGTCATCATGGTAACTGTCAGTGAACTGCAGATGTCACTGCATTCAGCATGGGTGCCTGCGGGACATGGAGGGAAGGGGCCGGCTCTTTGCGGCTTCCATAGACGCTTGGGTGAGGCAGGCAGGTAGGAGGGTGGCCTGTGAGGTGTGAGGGGATGAGGGTCTCTGCTGCGGGAAGTCCTCCTGGTCACAGGGCTCAAGTGCTTGCAGGAAGCCAGAGGCTGGTGGGGGGGGTGGTGGCCATGGGGGTGTGGGGGCCAGTCAGGCCAAGCAGAACTTGGAATTCCTGCCTTAGTGACCTTATTCCCCATTTCAAGATGTCATTCCAAGGCCTGCAACTCCACCATGCTGGGGCTTCCCAAAGGCGGCTGACATGTGCATTTGGAGGAAGCTCTCCGAGCAGCAGGGAGACAGAACATCTCGGCCCACGTACCCTTGCAGAGAGAGGTTTGGCTGTCCTGCCTCTGCTCTGGGCCTCATGGTTACACTGAGCCAAGCCCAGTTTTCAGCAGCCACCAGGAGAGAGGGTCACCCTGCGCTGCTCCCCAGAGTCAGGGGTGCTCGGAGAGGCTGCACGAGTGAGGGGTCCCTTGTGGGAGCTTAGGAAATGCAGGGGATGTGGCCCTCAGGTGTGCTCAGTAAGCACCTGATGTCCCTGACTCCCCTTGGAAAATTGCACGATCGGCGTTGGGGTGTAGCCACAGAGGAGGTTTTCAAACAGCATCTCCCGGAAACGTGGTGGTGTGGGGAGCCCTGAGCGGCTGCATGGGGGACCTGGGGGCTAAGGGGCAGGGCTGGGTGCCTCGTCCCCTGCAGAGCAGCCCTGGAGGGATGCCTCGCTGCGGCTGTGATGCCGCTTCCTACACCAAACGCGTTTCTGCTGCTCCCTGCGGATGGAGTCTGAGGCCCTCTTGCCGTCTTTCCAGGACCCCGGGCACTCGGGCCTGCAAGGCTGATTCCTGGCCCCCTGCCTGCTCTGCCTGCTCTGCCTGTTCTGAGCGGGGCCGCTGGGCCAGGTGCACAGCACGCGTTTGCGTTCACGCTGTTCCCGCGCGTCAGAAACCTCCAGCCTGCAGTCCTGGCAGATCGTCCTGGGTGGGCCTGACCCCATCAGGTGAAAACACTTATGAGCAGGGAGTGCCCTGGAGACGCTTCCTTCCCCTGCCAGCCTGGAAGAGGCCGACAGCCATGCCGTGGGGAGGGAGGGCCTCCGGAAGCCAGGGCCTTGGTCCTGTAGCCACAGGGAACCAAATTCCGCCAGTGCTCCGAGCGAGCTTCCGAGGGGACCCCAAGCTTTAGATGCAGCCCCAGCCCTGGCCAACACCTGGATTTCAGCCTGGCGAGACCTGCACGGTCCCCCGGCAACCATCTGTGCAGGTGAGCATCTGCCGGCCTGCGTCTACCACACCAGCCAAGTCGGCCTGAGCCCTACATGTCGGGGGTCACAGAAAACTTCAGGGAGGAAAACCTGGAAGCAAAACTAACTTACACTCCAGGGGAGGATGGGAGCGTTTGGGCCGGAGAGACTCAGGACCCATGGGGCGTTCAGAGGGCAGTGGGTGGAGGGGCCTGCAGGGTTGGCATGGGGAGCTGGCCAGGAACCAGGTCCCATAGGCTCTAAGAGTCAGTGTCTCCCAGGAGTTCAGGCTTTGGCTGAGACGTGATTGGTTTTGAGCACAGAAGGCTGTGCTCACGGGCATGGAAAGCTGAACTCTCCTGGTCCACCACGGCCTGAGTTAGAGCTGAGGTGCAGGAGGAGCCGGGGCCTCAGGATGCTGTTCTCTAGGGGGAGGCAGGCTGAAGGTGAGGGCCGGAAGCTGTGGCTCCTGGACGTTGCTTCTTTGAAGCCCAGAAGAGTCTGAAGCACCCTCAGCATGAGACAAATGTCCTCTGCACAGAGGAGAAATTCTTTGGCCGTGGCCCATGCAGTGACCTCTCTGCAAGGCCACACAGAGGGAAGCGGCTGCAGGGAGTTGTCGCATCCTGCAGAGAGCGCTGATGTGGATGACTGGACCCCCGGCAGGCTGGCACGGAAGCAGATGGAGTCGACAGCTGGGCCCTGGGAAGGACTCCGATGCCTGTGGCACAAAACCCTCGAGAAGGGCAGAGGCACAGGGTTGAGGGGACGTGGTGCCCAGAGCTCTCCTGTCTGCCGGGAGTTGGCCCTGGGCCTGGGACAGGGTTAAGGGGACACGGGGCCCAGAACTCTCCTGTCCGCTGGGAGTCGGCCCTGGGCCTGGGACAGGGTTAAGGGGGACACAGGGCCCAGAACTCTCCTGTCCACTGGGAGTTGGCCCTGGGCCTGGGACAGGGTTAAGGGGACACGGGGCCCAGAACTCTCCTGTCCACTGGGAGTCTGCCCTGGGCCCAGGACAGGCTTCTGTGTGCTTTGCGGCTGAGGCTGTTGGAATCTGAACACGGATCAGAGTTGGATGGCGCCGTACGGCCCCACTGCTGCAGGGAGTGCTGGGCTCATTCTGCTGGGGAAGGAGGGGGCCTCCAGCCATTGAGGGGAACAGACAGGAGGGTGCAGACTCAGAGGTGGGTGTGTGCAAGCTGACTAGCATGAGGACCATAGGCAGGCCAGGGAAGCAGCCCATCACCATCCTGATGGGTCAGAAGGCTGCCAGCACAACCCAGGACGCAGTGGTGACATCAACCAGGCTGCTGCCTGGACGGGGAGGAAGTGGCCTGAGCGTGGGAGAGGGAGATGCATCAGAACCTGGTGGCTGGTGAGATGTGGCTGACAGAGCAAGGGGCGTGGGAAGATGGCTCGTGAGCTTTGGGTCCCATGGCGGAAACAGGCAGCTCTGTGCCGAGCCCTTCAGCTTTCCACGGCCACAGTCTTTGTCCATCCTTGGGCACCGGACAAGGATCAGGCGTGGAGTGACACTGGCTGTCGGTGTCCATGATTTCGCTGTCACTGTGTCCGTGATCTGACAGAGCTCTCCAGTACACAGCCTCCCCGTCCTGAGGACCGAAACACTGCAGTGGGCTTGTCTAGTTTAGTAGAAATAGAAAAGAAAATCCCGTAAAATCCTACCTACGGTTCAAATTGCTCAGTGTCCAACCAGCTGCAGGCATCCTTTGGGGAAAGGTAAAACCAGCTAAGGGTGCTGTGGGCTGCTACTCTTATGACACATTGAAATACATTTTAAAATTTACTATTACAAATTGTTGGCCGGGTGCGATGGCTCACGCCTATAATCCCAGCATTTTAGGAGACCGAGGCAGGTGGATCATTTGAGGTCACGAGTTCGAGACCAGCCTGACCAACATGGTGAAACCCTGTCTCTACTAAAAATGCAAAAAAATTACCTGGTGCATGCCTGTAGTCCCAGCTACTTGGGAGGCTGAGGCAGGAGAATAGCTTGAACCTGGGAGGTGGAGGTTGCAGTGAGCTGAGATTGCACCACTGGACTCCAGCCTGGGCAATAGAGCGAGACTCTATCTTAAAAAAAACAACAAAAAAAATTGTCACGAATCCTTTTTAGCCAACTCCAAACAGGTGGCCCGCAAAGGCTCTGCATGCCTGGAAATGAGCGTGAGTGTTGAATGGTTGACACCTGCTGCCTCCAAAGGCACAGGGGCTTGGGAGGTGAGTAGAGTCCAGCAAAGCTCCGGGAACATGGTGCCAGGCATACGAGGCTCAGAGACTGAGCCTGCGAGTTCACTGGTGAGGGGCGCCTGTGGCTGCACAGTTACTTTTCTTTGGGAAGAATAAGGACAGAGAAAAATGGAATGACATGAACACATCACACACATGCGTTTCCCGGCTCCTACTCCACCGTGAGCTGCTGGAGGGGCACTGGCTCCTAGGCTGTTTATTCCTGGTAATAGAGCCTGGGAACTGGCATGCATTCAGCCCCTGATGGGCGCTGGCTCGGGCTTTATATGCCTTGTGTGGGCTGCAGCCCCGGAAAGCAGGGCTTACCATTATTGCCTGCAGTTTACCGATAAGGAGACGGGGACCTTGAGCAACAGACCCACCTGCCCACGCTTTGCCACTGCAGAGGGCGGGACTATGACCAGCCTGGGGCATTAGCACCAGCGACCCTGTGCTCAGGGCTTCTCCCCACGTCTGTTATCCCTCATGACCAGCCCCTGGGCCACACTGCTCGTGGGATGTGGGTGGTGCCAGCCACTCCCCCAGGCCTCCAAAACTAGGTTGTCTGAGTTTGAAAACACACAGGTGCCGACGTATATTTTTATTTGTGCAAAAACTGCTTTATTGCTCCGTCTATCCCCCAAACAACTGGCTGGAGTGCTCAGGGAGGGGTGGCGGCCATCTGCGTGGGGTGTGTCTTGACGCTGCACACGGTGACTCGGGGGTCACCGTGCAGCAGTGGGATGTGGGGTCCTGGGAGCTCCTTACAGGGCTGGGTTTGCACCAAAGGAAAAAAGACACAGGGAGGCCTTTGCCTGTAGTGCATCCACATGCCTGCGTGCAGGTGTGGCTGTGCACCCAGGGCCCCTGTGAGTGACTTCTGCATGTGCTGCTGGTCGGGAGGCACTGGGGGCTCCTCTGAACTTGGTCCCCTGCCTCAGCCGGGCAGCCTCACTAGCCTTCGTGCCCACAACACAGCAGGTGCCTCAGTAGGGGCTGAGGGCCATAAGGGTGAAGTGCTAGCCAGCAGCACACTCCCGGCTCCTCCGTGGAGGGTTTCATTCATAATGAGTTCTGGCCGCGCCACCTGCTCGCCATGTCTCTCTGCGGCACTGGGGATCCAGGGCAGTTTTACAATCCCAATTTATTAGCTTGCCATGCTTCACTTTTGACCTCAGGAGCTTATTTTTTTATTGAAACTTTAAATAATTTCTCAGAGCTTAAAGGAGAATGTAGTCCATAAAATTTAAGGAAGAAGAACATTTATCAGCTCATGTTGGTCACAGTGACCTCAACGCTCTTTTCCGACGCTCCTGGTGGCCTCAAGGCCTCATGAGAAGGCTGTCTTGGAGGTGGCTTGGCGGCTGGTATCCCCACTGTGACCAGGAATGATTTTCCTGCCCAGCATTTGTGCTTTTCTGTCCTGGGGCAGATCTGCAGTTATGGCCTTTGTGTGGTCCCGACCTCTCCTCCCCAGGACCCCTCTGTAGAGGAGGAAGGGAGGGCCTTGGGCCTCGCCCTGTTACCTCTACCCCAGGGAGACCAGCGTCACCTGCCTGTCCCCATGTGAACGCTGGGGTTCCTGCCTGGGCAGCTCCAAGTCCTCAGTGCCTAGAGTAGCACTGGATACACAGTTGGTGCCTAATAAGTGTCTGATGGATCCCACTCCGAGAAGCAGTGAAGAGTATGCCTGTTCCCTACTGGACTGGCTTTGCTCCCCCTGCCAGCATGTGCATCAGCTCAGAGACGCTTCTCAGCCCAGGGACCCTCCGCTGCAGACCACCTACAGCTCACAGAGCCACTCTCAGTTGCTGCGTCGACCGGGCCTCTGCGCCGGGCACCTTGTCCATTGTGGCCCCTGCTTTCCCTCTGGAGGGGACGTGCCACAGGCTGCAGGACCTGGATCCTGGGCTCTCCTAGGGGGATCCCAGCACTGATGGTGGCTGGGACACAGGCGCATGGGGGACCTGGGAGAAATGGAGCCCTGGTGCAGAGGTGGCCATGCCCTCCCGACCTCACCACAGGCTTCCACAGTTGGGCCATGCATTGTACAGGGGCCTGGATGCTGCTGGGCTATGGTGCTGTCCTCTCGCACACATAGGCCACTGTGGGGTTAGGACTTCCCGGGGCCACTGTCCCCGCCCCCCACCAGTGTGTCCTCATCCGACTTGCTCCTTGTTCACATGGGGTCTTCACCACTCTGGGCAGGCAGCAGGAGAAACAGGGGAGGTGGTCCCATGGATGATGCTGAGGGACAGGGCCTGGGAGGATCGCGCCTGCCCAGCCCCTCCGAGTGCCACCATCTTCTCTCACTTCCTCGCCGTGTGCACTTCCATGGTGAAGACGGAGCCTGGCGTTAAGAATCTCGGGTCCCCGAGTGAAACAAGAAAGGAGAGCGGTGTGTGGCCCGCATGTAGGGGCAGTGACAGGGCGAGGGGGGCTTGCTAGGAAGTGAGTTGGTGGGCTCCTGAATCGGGGCCAGGATAAATGACAATTTACCCAGGGTCACTGTCACATGGTGGCTGTGGATGCTGCCACCGCCCAGCACAAATTCACAGCCTGCCCTGTGGCTTCTCCTGTGGTTCTCTTGTGGTGGTTAAATTTTCATGCAGGGATGTCTTGTTTCACCAACCAAATTATAAAAGTCCTCAGGGCAGGACCGTACCTTGCATCTCTTACCCTCTACCTCTGACGGAACTTGGCATGCATGTTGCTCTCAACGGTGCCCGATCAATCTGTGGGGTTGAACTGAAGAGAAGCCAGATGATGACTGAGACCCTGAGGGACCTCCATGGAGGTGGGACTCTGGAGCCAGGGGGAGACCACACACAGCTGGGGGTTGGTGAGCAGTCTTGTGTGCTGGGCTGTCTCTGCCAGAGATGGCTCATGTTCCCGTGTCCCCACATTTTTCAGCTTTGGCAAAACTGAGTTGGGAGAGCTGAACTTTAAGATGCCCTCCAGCTTGAAGCTTCTTGCTGGGGGAGCAAACATACAAAACGGGGGTGGGCAGGAGTGTCCGGCAGAACTGTGTCTAGCGCTTAGTAACTGCTAGCCCGTGACTAGTGAATAAATTAGTGGACAGCCAAGGGAATGGTGTGTGCTTTAAATGAGGGAGAAACTGGCAGAAGGCATGCTTGATTTCCTTCATAATTTTAGCTTCCAAGTCTCCCCAGGCTGAGGGACTTATAACAAAAGCATTTATAGCTGAGGCTACTGTGTCCCAGGTACCTCATACGTGTTATCCGACGGATAGAGTTTGGATATCTGCCCCTGCCCAAATCTCACGTTGAACTGTAATCCCCAGTGTTGGAGAGGTGAGGCCTGGTGGGAGACATTTGGATCATGGGGGCGGATCCCTCACAAATGGCTCAGCACCATCCCCTTGCTGCTGAGTGAGTCCTTGCTCTGTGTTCATATGAGGTGTGGTCGTTTCAAAGTGTGTGGCCCCTCCCTCCTCCCCCTCTCTTCCTTGTTTCTGCTTTCGCCATGTGAGGCACCTGCTCCTACTTCACCTTCTTCCACGAGTCAAAGCTCCCTGAGGCCTCCCCACAAGCAGATACTGCTATGCTTCCTGTACAGCCTGTAGAAACTGTGAGCCAATTAAATCTCTTTTCTTATAAATTACCCAGTCTCAGATATTTATAGCAATGCAAGAATGAACTAACACACCTACTAATCCTCATTCTCCAGCATCCCAACTGTGCCCTGTGTGCAGGTTAAATGATATCATGTGAGAAAGCTCCCAGCAAGATCTCTAATAAGAGGAGCCATTATTACTATTATTATCATCATACAATGGTGAGAAAGAGGAAGGCTATGAGGGCATTGATAGTGATGATAATGGAGATGGCGATGATGATGGTGGAAATGAGGGTGATGGTGATGATAATCTTGATTGGGGTGATGATGGTGGTAGTGGTGGTGACTATGACGATGATAGGCATGATAGAGATGGCGATAATGGTAATAATGATAGAGATGGTGGTAATGATAATATAGTGATGGTGGTGATGATGACAGTGATGGTGGGGATGATGATGATGATAGGCATGACGGAGATGATGATGGTGGTGATGATGGCAACTGTGGTGATACGGTGATGATGGAGATGATGGAAAAACGGTGGAGATGATGGTGATGGTGGAGATAATGGTGATGGTGGTGGTGATGGTGATGGTGGTAACTATGATGATGATTATGGTAGACATGGTGATGATGATGATGGCAACTGTGGTGACAATCATAGTGATGATGGAGATGATGGAATAACAGTGGAGATGATGGTGATGGTAGTAACTATGATGATGATGATTATGGCAGACATGGTGATGATGATGATGGTGATGGTGAAAACTGGTGATAATCATAGTGATGATGGAGATGAAACAACAGTGGAAATGATGGTGATAGTGGAGATAATGGTGATGGTGATGATGATGGTGGCAACTGTGGTGATAATCATAGTGATGATAGAGATGATGGAATAATAGTGGAGATGACGGTGATGGTGGAGATAATGGTGATGGTGGTGGTGATGGTGATGGCAGTGAGCTATGATGATGATTATGATAGAAATGATGATGATGATGATGATGATGATGGTGATAGTGGCACCATAATCAAAGTGATGGAGATGACAGTGATGATGCCAGAAATGATATTATGGACAGTAGGAAACAGATTTCTTTGAGGAAACTGGAGATCTGTAGGGGCCACAGAGGAGAGACATAAATACTTCCCCAAACTTCAAAATAATGGGCTCCCAATTCCACATGAATGAGACCCAATAAATTTCAATTCCATTTAAGATCAGATTAAAGACATTTCCAACTCTTGTAGGATGTTGAGGGAGAATTTTAGTTCCCCTCATTGGTCCAGACACACATTTGAGCAACTCACTTCCTCATTATGGACATACCACCCCAGATATCTGGACTTCCTGGGCACAGAAGCACTACCAAGACCACAACTGATGCTGACAGCAAACAGGGTAAGAGTTCAACCGTGGACTAGATCACCCCGGCTTTGACCTAGCGGAGACCTGGCGCCCACTGCCGGAATCCTTGTCGCTGGTGGTATATCTTCTGCAGCTAAAAGCATGAACATTTGCATGGAAGCTGGTTTTATGAGACATGTAAACATTTATTTAAAGAGAATTGAAAATAGCAACATAGAAAATAACTACTTCCTGGCTTTAAAATGCCCTCACCATGAGTCTTGGCAGTATAATTATGCTTGTGGAAATTTTGCAGCTACTGTCAAGTACATCTATGAGAAACACGATTTTTAAAGACTTTATAATGCAGCAGTGAAATTTCTGCTCTGGGCTAAAATATCATGGATCAAGATGTCAGCCCAGCAGCTAATAATATTATAGCCTTTCAACTCACATCTTTAGGTTTAAGTTGTAAATGGAGAATTAATATCAAGGTAGGCATTTTCAACAACTGCAAGTTTTTCTGTCCCCAAATTTGGTGTTGTCTAAGTTAAGAAATTCTTAAGTGTGTCAAATGCTAATTTCATCCTTTCAGAAGTGTTTCCTTTACAGCCCTCACCCCCTGTTCCTGTCTCTCCCACTTCATGATCTGGGCACACTCTGTCTCTTGCCGTGACCTCTGATGTCACCGGGTGCAGTCTTCCCTCTGGCTTGCTGTGCTCCAGTCACACTGGCTTCTTTCAGCCCCTCCTGCCCTCTCCTGCACTATCTTCTCCTGGGCTTTTCATGCAGTTTTCTTGTTGGGTCTCAGTGTGCACATCATCACCTCCAAGAAGCCTTCCCTAGGTACCAGACACACAGCAGCCCTCCCGTCTATATTGTCTGTCTGTCTCAGCTATCGCCTTAGTAAGATCTAACTGGTTACCTTTATTTTGTTTACTTGACTTAGAAATCTGTCTTCCACGTAAGAATATCAAGCCGTCTTAGTCTGTTTTGTTCTGCTATAACGAAATACCTGAGACTGGGTAATTTACAATGAACAGGGTTTTATTTCTCACAGTTCTGGAGGTTGGGAAGTCCAAGATCAAGGAGCCAGCAGGTGTACTTGTCTGGTGAGGGCCACTCTCTTGGTCTCCAAGGTGATAGCTTGTTGCTGTGTCCTCCAGAGAGGACAAATGCTATGTCCTCACTTGGCAGTGGGTGGAAGAACAAAAGGGATGAATGCTGCATGAAGCATTTTTTTTTTTTTTTTTGAGATGGAGTTTCACTATTGTTGCCTAGGCTGGAGTGCAATGGCGTGATCTTGGCTCACCGCAACCTCCACCTCCTGGCTTCAAGCAATTCTCCTGCCTCAGCCCCCCGAGTAGCTGGGATTACAGGCATGCACCACCACGCCTGGCTAATTTTTGTATTTTCAGTAGAGAGGTGTTTCTCCATGTTGGTCAGTCTGGTCTTGAACTCCCGACCTCAGGTGATCTGCCCACCTCATCCTCCCAAAGTGCTCGGATTACAGGCGAAGCCTCTTGAATAAAGGTCTTAATATCATTCATGAGGGAAAAGTCCTCATGGTCTAATCAACTCTTAAAGGTCTCGCTTCGTAATACCATCACACTGGCTATTACACTTCAACCCCTGAACTGTGGGAAGAAAGCATTCAAACCACAGCAGAGCCCCAGCATCCCAGGGCTAGCAATGTCCCTGACACATGGTTAATTCATACACATTTGTTCATTGAGTGGATCTTTGCAATGACTTTCCTGATTCACATTTTCTGTGGATCTCTCTACACCCTGGACCCACAAACCCTGAGACTCTTGTGACCTCCATGACACCTAGTACTGTGCTGGGTATTGAGGGAATGCTCTGTAACTCGGTTGGATACAAATTTGTGGATTCTCTCCTGGTCACCGCTTCTTTCCTGTTAACCACGCTACACTCTATTCATTGGACCATGCACATGAGCTGCTCCGTGGGTACTTCTGATACTACATTAGAGAACTCAAACTATGCTTTGTCAATTCTGAACATTCTGGACTTATTTCGGGGTTATATTGGTTTACTATATACTTACGGTTTTAATGTTATATTTTATGATTAGAGTATTTGACGTTCGCATAGTTATAACTTTGAATAATCTGTAAGCCAATTCCGCTTTTAACATCAGTGTTTGCAAAGATACTTGAGGTCTGAAATCAATAGAAATGTCTTTGAGTATATTTTTCTAAGAGGGTATGTGAGTAGATGGCGTCTGCATGCTCATACACCTGTATTTCATTCATGGGTGATTCACTTTTGTGAGGTTAAGAATTCAGAGACCACAGATATCATCCTCAAACTTGGTAGCTGTAGCTGCCTTGTCAATTGCCATAGAGAAATTAATTCATAACCTTGAGATTTTTCTTTCTCTGGAAATAACATGTTTGTTTTGTCTGTGAGATTAAAATATTCTTTATATTCTTGGAATAAAATAAGCCAACCATTTATGCCTAAATATTGGTCTTATTTATTAATTTTGCCTGAAAGGGAGTAAATATTTTCAATTTACAGTGTCAGGAAATTTTAAAAACATCTTTTTGATCACAGCTAGTGCTCCTTTTCTTAATGTGATGTCTTTGTCATTCCAAAAGTCCTACATTTTCTGCCTGGGTCTCTGTGTAATTTCCACAGATCTGCACATTTTTTAAGCTGAAGGAAAATGATCTCACATGGAAGCTTTTGAATGTTCATGGATGAATGAAGAGCAAAATAAAGAGTAAGTTATAAATAAATGCAAAGACTCCCTTAAAGTTCTGTCTCTCCGTCCTGCCACACTTTTTTTAAACAATATTTGACAGTTTATAGAAAAAGCAATAATGCATTGAAAGATTTATGACATTTGTAGAATTAAAATATATAATTACATGAACATAAAAGCTTGGGAGGGATAAAATGGAATTTTACTGTTGCAAGGATTTTGTGTTATGAAGTAGTATAAAATCATTTGAAGGTAGATTTTTATCAGATAAAAGTGCTGTAATCTCTGAAACTTTGTAGGGTAGTGACTAGCCAATAGCTAAGTTAAAATTAAATTAAAATTAAATATTAAGTTAAAATTAAATATTCAAAGCTCAATTCTTCAGTTGCACTAGTCACATTTCACTATTAAGTGGCTGTATTGAATAGCCCAATTATCAGAGAAAGTTTATTGGGAATAGCGACTCTAAGTGAAGAACTAAAATAATAACACAAAGAGGCATGGCTATAAAGTCAACAGAGGAAATAATATGGGATATTAAATGTACTTAATCCCAAAAAGGCAAGAAAAGAAAAGCAAAGAGCAAAATAACCAAATAAGACAAATAGAAAACAAATGCCAAGATGACACTTTTAAAACCAACCCCAAAAATAATCACAGTAGATATAAATGGACTAAATATTACACACAAAAGGCAAAGATTATCAGACTATAAAACAAAACAAGACCCAATTGTCTGATTTTCTCAGGATCTGCATTTTAACTCTGAAGATGCCAACAGTTGGAAGTAAAGGGATAGCCAAAGACACAGCATGCAAATATTAAGGATGAGAAAGCTGGAACCACTACATTAATACCAAAGTAGCCTTTAAGACAAGGAACATTACCAGAGATAAAGAGTAATATTTCATAATGATAAATGGTCAATTCATCAGCAAGACAAAATAGCTCTAAATGTGTAGGTACCTCATAACAGAACTTTAAAATACATGAAGCAAAAATTGGCAGAACTAAGGGTAGAAATAGACAAATCTACAATTATGGTTGATTTCTGCACCTTGTCTTACTAATTAATAGAACATACTGATATACAACTTAGTAAGTATATCCAAGATTTGAACAACAGTATAATTGATATTAGGAGAACATTACAGCCAGGAACTATGGGGGACGTATATCCAAGATTTGAACAACAGTATAATTGATGTTAGTACAGCCAGGAACTATGGGGGACGTATATCCAAGATTTGAATAACAGTATAATTGATGTTACGAGAACATTACAGCCAGGAACTATGGGGGACGTATATCCAAGATTTGAACAACAGTATAATTGATGTTAGGAGAACATTACAGCCAGGAACTATGGGGGACGTATATCCAAGATTTGAATAACAGTATAATTGATGTTAGGAGAACATTACAGCCAGGAACTATGGGGGACGTATATCCAAGATTTGAACAACAGTATAATTGATGTTAGGAGAACATTACAGCCAGGAACTATGGGGGACGTATATCCAAGATTTGAACAACAGTATAATTGATGTTAGTACAGCCAGGAACTCTGGGGGACGTATATCCAAGATTTGAATAACAGTATAATTGATGTTACGAGAACATTACAGCCAGGAACTATGGGGGACGTATATCCAAGATTTGAACAACAGTATAATTGATGTTAGGAGAACATTACAGCCAGGAACTATGGGGGACGTATATCCAAGATTTGAACAACAGTATAATTGATGTTAGGAGAACATTACAGCCAGGAACTATGGGGGACACATTGTTTTTCAAGTGCATACAGAACATTTACTAAGAGCGTATCATGGGCTGTTAAATAAATCTGAATAAGTTTCAAAGCACAATAACATCAAATTAATTATTGCTAATAATAAACTATAATAAGAAAATCACCAAACATTTTCAAATTAATGAACATATTTGTAAATAACCTGTGGATCAAGGTAGAATCAGAAAGTATTTTGAACTCTCATAAAACAGGACATATCAATGTTTGTGGTATGCAACTAAAATAGTGGCTGGAGGAAAATTGATGGCTCTAAAATGCCTGTTTTAGAAGAGAAGAAGGGCGTAAATTAAGTGATCTAAACTTCCATCTTAAAAAGCTAGACAAAGAAGAGGAATTACACTAAAGTAGAAAAAAGAAGATGATGAAGAAGAGATCAATAAAATAAAAATCAGACAAAAAGGAAATTGACAATGTTGAGAGTTTTTTTTGTTTTTTTAAAGATTGATCTGGTAAATAAATTACTGGTAAGACGGACCAAGGAGATAAAAGAGGAAACAAAAATTCCAATAACAAGAATAAACGGCATCTCTGCATTAAAAGAAATGTCACAGACAAGTCTATCCTCATTAATCCTGCAACTTAGATGTGAAGGACAGACGCTTTGAAAAACACAATTATCAAAACTGTCACAAGAAAAAACATAAAACTGAAATAGCCCTGTACCAACGAAAAATATTGGACTTACAAAAAACAAACACAAAGCTACCCATAAGGAAACGTACGGTCTCAGATGACTTTGCCGTAAATTCTATCAAATATTTAAGGAAGAAATAACGTCCAGGGTATAAAACCTCTTTCAGAAAATGAAGGGACCACTTCCCAACTCTATGAGGCCAGTACAACATTAACACCAAAACTGAGAAGCACATTATAAGAAAAGCAAACTTCAGACCAATATCCCTTATGAACTCAGAGGCAGAAATGCTTAATAAAATATTAACCAATGAGATCCAATTCTAGTAATATCTACACATTATTACATTATGACCAAGTGGGGTTTCTCTCAGGAAAGTAAGCTCGGTTTAACCTTCAAAATCAATCAGTGTCACTCTCCATAGTAACAAAGTAAAGGAGAAAATAACCCCCTTATGATGACCTCAATAGAGGCAGAAAAAGGACTTGACACATGTTGACACCCATTTGTGATTTTAAAAAACATCAGAAAGCTGGGAATAGTAGGAAACTTTCCGGATCCGATGAGAGGCATCTGTGAAAAATCTCCAGCCAGTATCTTTTTTTTTTTTTTTTTTTTTGAGATAGAGTCTCGTTCTGTCACCCAGGCTGGAGTGCAATGGTGCGATCTCGGCTCACTGCAACCTCTGCTCCCACGTTCAAGCGATTCTCCGGTCTCAGCCTCCCGAGTAGCTGGGACTACAGGTGTCCGCCACCACACGCAGCTAATTTCTGTATTTTTAGTAGAGATGGGGTTTCACCATGTTGGCCAGGACGGTCTCAATCCTTTGACCTTGTGATCCACCCACCTTGGCCTCCCAAAGTGCTGGGATTACAGGCGTGAGTCACTGTGCCCCACTGCCAGCCAGTATCTTAACGTGAAACAGCAAACACGTACCCACTAAGACTGGGGATAAAGCTGGGCTTTCTGCTTTGACCACGACTTCTCAACATTCGACTGGACATTCTAGACAGTGTGTGAGGCCAGAAAAAGATGTAAATGTATAGAGCTGGCTGGTCAGGGTTTAGGCTCGGGGGAAGCATGAGCGAGCGAGAATGGCAGCTGTCTCTGTGTGGCTTTGGCGTGAGCCTCCAGTCAGAGGAGCCACCTCTCTGGATGTGCTTGGGGCTGGCCCAGTCTCCTGGAGGAGCTGTGGACCTCATGTTCTTTTTGAGGCTGTTTTTACAGCATGGTACCTGGGCTGGGGAGTGGTGGGCAGGGGCAGAGGTGACGGGAGGCCCTGGTCAGTGTCGGAGGCCCATGCCAATGGCGGTGAATGTGCCTGGAGGAGTTTGCTTTGCTTCCACATGGAAGGACCACAGGCTGGGAGCAGGAACTCACTGCACAGGTCTCTAGAGGCCACCTGTCCGAGGTCAAGGTGTGGGCAGGGTGGGTTCCCTCCAAGAGCTGTGAGGGAAGGGTTGGTTCCAGGTCGCACTCCGAGGGCTGTGAGGGAAGGGTCGGTTCCAGGCCGCCCTCCGAGGGCTGTGAGGGAAGGGTCGGTTCCAGGCTGCCCTCCGAGGGCTGTGAGGGAAGAGTGGATTCCAGGCCGTCCTCCGAGGGCTGTGAGGGAAGGGTCGGTTCCAGGCTGTCCTCTGAGGGCTGTGAGGGAAGGGTCGGTTCTAGGCCGCTCTCCGTGGCTTAGAGAAGCTTCACCCCGATCTCCGCCTCCGTCCTCCTATGGCATTCTCCCTTTATGTGTCCAGTTTCCTTCTTTTTATAAGGACACCAGTCATAATAAGCTAGGTGTCCCCCTACTCTAGTATAACCTTATCTTAATGTAGCCAATGATGTCTTTGATGACTCTATTTCCAAATAAGGTCATCTTCGGCAGTGTTGGGGGTTAGGACTTCAACATATGGATTTTTGTGGGGACACAATCAAACCTGTAGCCATCTGAGGTGCCTCCCCTGCGTGTCTAACAGCTGACATAGGGCCGCCCTCCACACCTGGAACTGCTTGGTGCCGGCCCTCCGCAGTCCACCCCAGCCCTAGCAGGGCCCTGGCCCCACATCCCGTCCACCCTAATGTACCCCGTTTGCTGCTGTGGAGAGCCGGGTGGGTGCAGGGAGGCAGCACCGGGTCCCTGATCACCGTGGGTGCACCCGGGGCTGGAGAGAAGGCCGGACTCTGCAGTGGTGGCCTGGAGAGCCATGTGCGTGCAGGGAGGCAGTGCTGGGTCCCTGATAACCGTGGGTGCACCCGGGGCTGGAGAGAAGGCCAGACTCTGCAGTGGTGGCCCTGTGGCTCTGCACCTGTCTGCCTCTACCTGGGCCGGGAACTGCCCGCCGTACCCTGTCAGAATCAATGGTGGGAGGTGTTTCGCTCACAGGGGTTCATGATTCCAAAGGGGACCAACAACATGCCTCCAAAATGAAACGTACTTTTGGAACTTAATAATTGTCCTGTGTTTCTTATTTCAGAGGGAGAAATATACTTTGGTTTGTTAAAGGCCAGAGAATGACCAGTTTTTGGGTTTTGGTGAACTGCCGTCTGTCAGTTTCTCCCTCAGCTCGCGATGCTGTCTCAGCTTTGCTTTCTCCCGTAGGGGCACTCACGTTTCGTCTGTCCTAGTTGGCCTGGTGGGTGACTCTCCTCCCTGAGGCCCCCGGCCCCTGGCCAGCACCTGACGTACTGCACTGTGCACAGATGCGGTCCTGTCTCTCATGATAATCCCAGACTCTCCTTGGGTGGAGTTCCTCCGGGAGAACAGCAGCCCCAGTGTAGGAGCCCTGGCTTCCTCCTTGGAGATCTCACTGGGTCCCCACCCTGTCCCTGTGCCAGGCCTGGCTTCCTCCTTTATTCTCCTTCACGGCCAGATTCTCCTGGGTCCCGACAGGCCCAGGCAGCTTCAGAAGTCTGGCTTGCTTTCTGGCCACAGCCTCACAGAAGGTAGTGGGCGGTTCTGGATTTGGGCAGTTCTGGTCTCAAGCAGCTCATCAACTGAAGTGACACAGGACAGAATGGACCCCAGAAGGCCGGCGTCCATGGGCCACACTGGAATGTTCTGGAGGAACTGAGTAGCCCCTCTCTGGACATCAGAAGGCCGGTGTCCATGGGCCACACTGGAATGTTCTGGAAGAACTGAGTAGCCCCTCTCTTGGCCCAGGCGCCAGCCTCCCTGCTGGCCCTCTCTCCGGACATTTCAGGGACAGGAGCAGCTGGGCTGGCTTCTTGCGGCAGGTCGCTCTGGCCAGGCATTTCCGTGATGCAAGGGGGTACTGTGTCCCTGCTTAGCTTCCTCCCGCCCCATGTCTCCATCTTTACTTTCCGTGTTCCCGGATGCTGCGTGTTCCTAGGATCACGGAGGCCTGGGCTCTGTGCTCCCTGCTGTCCATGGTCCTGGCCTCTTGTGTTTGGGTGGCCGTGTGCTGCCCACTGGCTGAGGGACTGAAAGGGAAGGGACAAGAGCACCTCTGGGGCCTTGTGAAGACAGAGCCACAGGATGGGAAGACGAGGGCCCTGAGTGGCATCCCGAGTTAGGCCGGGACCTGTGCAGGGAGCTGGCACCCCTCTGTTGATTTCCTGAGGGTCTGAGGTTGCCTAGGCTGCAGTTAGCGTGCCTAACATTATGTGGCTGAAGCCAAGCAGTGATTTCATTTCACCAACGAGGAAATTTCTCCCAAGGAATGAATGCCCTGCCCAAGGTCACTGCGGGTGAGAAGTGCAGGACCTGGCGTCCCTCCTGCAGCTGAGCCCCATGTGGCCCCACCCTCACCCTGCTGGGCTGCTTCTGCAAGAGTGGCGGTTGGAACTCTGGGGACATCCCACGGCTGAGGCCTGTGACTCCTGGTGCCAGGCGGCCTGTGTGGGGGCTGAGCCCTCCTCCCCTCCCTGCCCACAGGGCTGTGCCCGAGGAGCTTTCCCAGCCAGCATCCACAGCCCACCGTTCCCTCCTGCTGGATTTTGAAAAATGCATCAGTGCTTTCCTGTTGTTTGTACCTCAGACGAGGCTCCCAGGACGTGTCGGGTGGGGTACATGTTCCTGCAGGCAGGTCTCCCCCAAAGCTGCTCCGTGGGGTACATGTTCCTGCAGGCAGGTCTCCCCCAAAGCTGCTCCGTGAGGTACATGTTCCTGCAGGCAGGTCTCCCCCAAAGCTGCTCCGTGGGGTACATGTTCCTGCAGGCAGGTCTCCCCCAAAGCTGCTCCGTGGGGTACATGTTCCTGCAGGCAGGTCTCCCCCAAAGCTGCTCCGTGGGGTACATGTTCCTGCAGGCAGGTCTCCCCCAAAGCTGCTCCGTGGGGTACATGTTCCTGCAGGCAGGTCTCCCCCAAAGCTGCTCCGTGGAGCCCTTGCAGGGCTTGGTACCAAACGCAGTTGTCGAAACTGAGGTCAGCGCATCCTCTCAGTCAGATTATTTTACTCAGCTCAGTACAGGAGTAACTCCGTGTTTACTGGTTCTTGGGCAGAAAAATAAATGAAAGAAGGTGGGTGTGCTGTGTTTCCCTGGCATCCCCCAAGCTGCACACAATTAAAGTATCCTTGTGGGGTGCCATCCTGTCTGCAGAGCCTCCTGCCGGGCTCCTGTGTTACCCTCTCCTGGAAGCAGACAGGCAGGAGTTCCCCGGGGCAGGGGCCTCCCCGTCAGCACATCTGGTTACCTGTCACTTTCTTTTGATCCATAATGTCATAGGGAAATAGCTTCACAAGCTAATTACTTTGTGACATTCACGGGGGAGGTGGAGACGGGGCCTGCGTGGTGCAGGCAATTGCAGCAGCCAGTGAGTCTGGCCATGCTCCTCAGTGAGCTCGGGCGGAAGGGGCTGGGCACAGCAGGGCCTCTGTCCTCACTCCAAGTGAGCGCAAGCAGAGATCTGTCCCTTAATACACACAAAAGGAGACTTTATATTTTGAATGTAAACTAAATTATGTGAAACGGAATGAGCCCCCGAGAGTTGCAAATGTGCCCTCCAAGCTGGTGTCCTCTGGGTGGCTGTGAGAGCCCCAGCTGTCAGGATGCATGGCAGGTGCTCTTCCCGGGCATCCCGGGGCCTGGTGCCCGGCTGAGGCTGTCTTCTGGGAGACCCTGAGCCCCAAGTCTGCACAGAGTCCCACTCAGACGAGCAGGGCTTATGAGGGGGAGAGTGGCCTGGGGAGACCCAGTGCTCCCCCATGCTGTGCATCCTGGATGTGGGTCTGTTCACAGGTTTCAGAGCAGTGAGCACCATTACTGAGCATGGTGCATCCCTGCATGGTGTCCTGGGACCCTCTGAGGCAGAGGGAAGGCTCAGCACCCAGCTTTCCATCCTATCAGAGATTCAGACGCAGGATAAGGGAAGCGGTGACCCTGCTCGCAGGCGCTGGGTGGCCACAGCCCATCCCTGGCCTCTGTCATTGCTGTGATCACCCAAGCCTGCCAGCTCTGCCTTCTCCTCCCGAAAACCTGACGTGAGCAGAGGAAGGCCACTGCGGCAGCTTCATGGCAGCACAGCAGGCACCCTGTGAGGCTCAGGAGTCATCCCCGAGGGCCTGTGCTGAAGCTGTCGTCAGGGAGGCTCCCTGGGGCCTGGGCACTGGCAAGGAGGGAGGGTCCCTGCTTCTTTGCCCTGAGAGCTGGATCCACATGGGTGGTCCCTGCACCATGGGAACCCCTTCTGCGCACCAGCCCAGCTGGGGCAGCCTGGAAGAGCGGAACTGAAGCGCCCCCAGGCAGCTAATGACAACTATTATTATTTTAGCATCTTCCCTGAGGCAAGGGCGATGACTGAGATGTAGTCTTTGCCCTCATGGAGCTTATGATCCACTGGGGAAGAGACAGAGAGGAGACACATAAATAGCCAAACCAGATAACATTAGGAATTCAGCAGTCAATTGCTTGCAAAGTGATGATGGTCATCCCCTCCCAGAGCCTGCACCCCGTGAGGTGATACTGCAGCCTCTGCCAGCAGGGGGAGTCACTCTCCCTACCCCTTGGGACTGGGGGCCTGTGGCCACTTTGGCCAACAGCAAAGAGGAAGGACAGGGTGCACATTGGAGGTCTCATCCCTCTGCTTCTCTCTGCCTTGTGTATGGGGATAACCAGCTGGGGGTGCAAGTCCGTGTGAACCACAGCAAAGGCCAGAAGAACCGCCCGGCTGAACTCAGCCTCGGTGTTGGCCCACATAACTGTGAGCTGTTGCATGAAGCCTCTTAGTTTTGGGATGGTGAGCTGTGCAGCAGCCGCTAAGGATGATGAAGTCCCGGGAGAGCACGCCGTAGGGGCTGCTCTGGCCAGGGTGACAGTGAGGGTGCTGCTGAGGAGACGATGATGCAGGGTCCAGATCTGCAGGATGTGGAGGACAAACTCGTGTGATGGTACTGGGGTAGGAGACAGAAAGTTCCAACCAGACAGAAAAGCAAGTGTGGAAGGACTCAGAAAGACTGAGCCTGGAGGTGGAGTGTGAGGTGAGGACAGAGGGATGCACTGTGGGCTGAGCACTGGGAGAGGACGGGGCTGCTGAGGGAGACGCAGAAAGCTTGGGGAGAGCGTGTCAGGCAAGGGCAGGGGACTTTGTTTGTGGCTTGGTCATCTAAATTGGAGATATCCTTTAAATATTCAAGTGCATGTGTGGATTAAGAAGTTGTGAGTGTCAGAAGCTCAAGAGGAATATTTAGAATCACAAATGAAGGAACTGTCTAGGACAAGCACAGATGGGGATAAGAAGAGGCAGAGGCCTGGCCAGGCACAGGAGGAGCAGGTGGGGCCCAGAGCTGATGAGGAGGACCTGAGGAAGACCAGACCATCCAAGGGCAAAAGGCGGCCATGGCCATGGGCTCCATGCCTGGCGCTCTGCACACACCCTGCCCTCTGCCCTTGATCTGGGCCACTCCTATTTACCCTGCAGGATCTGGCTTTAGTTCTACTTCTCCGCAGCAGCCCTTTCTGGCCCAGGGTCAGAAGCATCCAGGACCTGGGCCCATAGTGGCCTCTCCTTCCCTCTCTCGTCACCTGGAGCCCTGCCTTGTGCTTTCTGGGTAGGCTGCCATGGCCTCCACTGTTCTGTGAGTCTCAATCCCATCCTCAGCTCACTCCCTGCCGTGGAACAGGTGCCCCAGGAAGGCTCAGAGGAGGCTAGCAGTTCCCAGTGCAGGGTTCAACCAAAGTGGGTCCTGAGGCATCCCCTACTTCCTCCATGCTGACGTCTACTGGGGAAATGGTGAAGCCCACTGTGTCTCTCTTCCCCTTCCTGGCTGGCACTCAGTCTGGCAGTCTATGGCTTTAATTATAAGGTGCTGCATATTAAACAGAAGAACTGGCCGGAATCCAGCATTTTGGAAACTATCGGCTCAGAACGCTGTCCGTGTTCCCTCAGCAGCATCTCTGCAGTGATTTCAGACATGCTGGCTGGTGACAGAGCCACACGAACTCCGGCTGCTGAGCTCACTCAGGTCAGCTGGAGGATGGCAAAGTCAGAGCGAGTGCCTTAAGGGGAGCAGCCCTCTTTTTGGAGGAGAGCACCGCTCTGGAGTTCTGAGATTTGAAAAAGGGAGAGGGGGAATGGGCCAAGGAAGCCCGGTCTGCAGGAAGCCGCCCCCGACTCTGCATCAGGCAGGGTCCCCCACTTGCCCGCTGCTGTGAAGCCACCTCTGCCTATGCGAGGCCTTGTCTGTCACCATCTCCAACATCAGCATCAATGCAATGATGTCCATCGGGTGCTTTGCGCACCATGGACCACTCAGGAGGAAGAGCAAGGGCCCCATTGGCCCCCAGAGCTCCGTCCTCAAGACCCCTCCTCTCCATCTTCAGACACACGGCCCTCACCAATGGCTGTGCTGTCTGCACGTGGCCTGCAGAGTTGTAAGGGGGCAGTCGGAGTCCTGCGTCAACTCTGTGCTTTCCAGGTGAGATGAGGAGAAGGCACACCTGGCAGGGAAGGGGGAAAGTGCTCAGGGCTCCTCAGTGCAACGTCAACAGAGGGGACTGTGCTCCAGCCACCAGCACTCAGACAGGGGGTCCAGAGAGTGAGTCCCCTCCCGACCTCTCCTCCTCTGAGATTTCCCGATCTCTTAACTACCCACAAAGCAAAGGGCTCAGGTAGAGGGCGCTAGAGACAGAGACAGATGGAAGAGGGAGAGAGAGGACGTGCCCACCTCCCTTTCAGAGCCACCTGGGCTGTGTGGACGGTCCCACTGAGAGGCCCAAGGTGTGTAGACAGAGAAAGCAGCAGAGAGCCGCTGCTCCTCCCTCCTCCACCCAGACCTCCGGGGAGCGGACCCTGTAGTGGGTGGGAGAAATGGCCACCTTGGTGCCTTGAAGGGGGCGCTGTGCCTCTGTGCCCCTGCAGTAGAGCCCAGGGGGCAGGTCCCTGCAGAAACTCACCTGCCAGTAGCCCCAGATTCAGAGAGGAGCTCCTGCATCTGGACAGGCCACGGTGAGAGCAGCCAGGATGAGGGTTCATTCCCAGGGCCACGGAGGGTTTGGCAGCAGGGCTGGAACTCAGTTTGCATAGGTTGCAGGGATATCCTGGGTCAGGGTGCAGAGCAGCTGTGGGGCCGTAAGTAAATAGAAGCTGCTGCCTACAAAGCACATATTGAAGGCAGTGGTTGAAAGCTTGGTATTTGGAATGAAGTTAAACAGGATTCGACCCCACCCTGCTATGCTGCAGCTCTGAAACCGTGTCACTTTCCCTCTCACCCTCCATTTCCCACCTAAGAAATGGAGATTACAAGCCCACTCCAGAGAACGGCAATGGGGGTTTCAACAAAAGAAAAACGTGCAGGGCTCTGGGAGCCCAGGGCGTGCTCAGAAATGATAGCTACAATTCTAGCTCCTTTTCCCCTTTTTTGAAAGATACGCATTCAAGACAGGTGCAGTTAAAATAAAAAATTAAACGGGACACCTTCAGATGCACCACAGAGCACGACTCTGCCGACAGAAGGGAGTGCCCAATGCAGAGGTGCGCTGACAGCGGCGGGACTTGTCTGGGAATGGGGGCCAGAGCAGGGTGGGAGCAGAGCCAGGTGTGCCCGTGCCACCCCAGGGGAGGTGATGCGGCAGGTGTGGGACCCTGGAGGGAGGCGGCCGCGTTGCTCTGAGCACAGGGCAGGGCCCCCGCCAGAACAGGGGGCCGGATGTGAACACAGGAGAAACTAGGAATGTGGATGAGGCCTTCCACTCTGCCACGACTCACCTTCATCTCAGGGACTGGATTTCCTCTGGCAAACGATGGCCTGGCTGGTTGACTCAAGCGTCACTTAACGACTGATGACTGAGCATCTATGATGGGCCAGCACTGGCAGGCACCTGGGGTACATGAGCATCAAATGAGAAGGTCCTAGCCCTCCTGGAGCACTGCCAGGCACCTGGGGTACATGAGCATCAAATGAGAAGGTTCTCGCCCTCCTGGAGCACTGGCAGGCACCTGGGGTATATGAGCATCAAATGAGAAGGTCCTAGCCCTCCTGGAGCACTGGCAGGCACCTGGGGTACATGAGCATCAAATGAGAAGGTCCTAGCCCTCCTGGAGCACTGGCAGGCACCTGGGGTACATGAGCATCAAATGAGAAGGTTCTCGCCCTCCTGGAGCACTGGCAGGCACCTGGGGTACATGAGCATCAAATGAGAAGGTTCTTGCCCTCCTGGAGCACTGCCAGGCACCTGGGGTACATGAGCATCAAATGAGAAGGTCCTAGCCCTCCTGGAGCACTGGCAGGCACCTGGGGTACATGAGCATCAAATGAGAAGGTTCTCGCTCTCCTGGAGCACTGCCAGGCACCTGGGGTACGTTAGCGTCAAATGAGAAGGTGCTCGCCCTCCTGGAGCTCACAGACTAGCACTGCGAGGAGGAATGAACAGACCCAATACCCACATTCCCTGGTCACTGAGAAGGGGACGTGTGCTTGAACACAGTGAAGAGAGGGCAACCCAGGCTTGGTAGGTAAAGATCAGAAGGAGGGATCATGGCAGAGGCACATGGGCGATGAGATCGGGCTTCACTAAAAAGGTGAGATTGGAACAAACCTGAATGAGAGTTTGATAAGTTAGCTATTGCTGCGTGACAAGTTTCCCCGAAGTTAGTGGCTTCAAGCAACACACCCGGCCGTCTCACATTCTCTGTGATCAGGAGTCCGGGTGCCTAAGCTGGGCCCCGCTCAGGGTCTGACAAGGCTGCTGTCAAGATGTCAGCCTGAGCTGTGGCCTCATCAGAGACAGGGCTGGGAGGAATCTGATTCTCTGCTGACTCAAGTCACTGGCAAATTTTGGTTCCTTAGGGTTGTAGGACTGAGGGCTGCAGTTTCTCGCTGGCTGCCAGCCCCAGGCTGCCCTTGGGTCTCACAGGCCACCCTGTTTCTTAGAGTACCGAGTTCTCCAACGTGATGACTTTCTTTCTATTCTTTCTTTCTTTCTTTTTTTTTTTTGGAGATGGAGTTTTCGGTCTTGTTGCCCAAGCTGGAGTGTAGTCGCGCAATCTTGACTCACTGCAACCTCCGCCTCCCAGGCTCAAGTGATTTTCCTGCCTCAGCCTCCTGAATAGCTGGGATTACAGGTGTGCATCACCACACCGGGCTAATTTTTTGTATTTAGTAGAGGCGGGGTTTCACCATGTTGGTCAGTCTGGCCTGGAACTCCTGACGTTAAGTGAGCTGCCCACCTCAGCCTCCCAAAGTGCTGGGATTACAGGCATGAGCCACGGTGCCTGGCTGACTTGCTTTCCTAAAGCCAGAAAAAGAAGTATGTGTGTGGGAGGTGGAGAAGAAGGGGAGAGATAAAGATGGAAGCTCAATTCCATGTAACATAGTCACATAACCATACACAAGGGGTCGTGACCTTGACTGTGGGCTCCCCTTAGAAGTTGGCCCCAGGTGCTGCCCACACTGAAGGGGAGGGGTACACAAGGGTATGGCCAGGGGGCAGGAGATGGGGGTGACCCTGGAGTCTGTCTACTACAGAGAAGCTGAGACGCTTCCTAATAAAACACTGTCAGTCTGGACAGCCAAGGGATGCTGTCCGATTAAAGTGGAACAAACCTGAGGGGCTGCTTCTGGCAACATTCCTCCCTAAGCCTCCTCTCTTTGGTCTTTCAATGTCTACAAAAGTAAAGGCTGCTTAAATGCAAGCAGCAAGGCCTCAGCGCTCGTCCATCTCCAGGATGATTCCTCCCTGGCAACAGTCTGGGCCTCAGGGAGACCGTAAAGAGGGGCCAGCAGAGGAGCCTGCAGGACACAGGCAGGAAGAGCCACGCTGGCCCCTGCAGCTGACACTACGGGGGGTGTGGAGAACACATGCAGGAACAGCCATGCTGGCCCCTGCAGCTGACACTACGGGGGGTGTGGAGACCCAGGGTCCCTGCCTGTGGAGACAGGCTGACTTGGGTGCCCAAGTGTGACCCTACCATCTCTCCCTGAGTTTCGGGGGACCAAAGGAACCTACAATTCCACAACTGACACGGTAGACACAGGGTATCTATCCAGTGGTAACTAGGAGTGAGATGTGATGTAGCCTTGCTATTTTTTTTTTTTTTTTGAGACAGAGTCTTGCTCTGTCGTCCACGTTGGAGTGCAGTGGCGTAATCTCGGCTCACTGCAAGCTCCATCTCCCGGGTTCATGCCATTCTCCTGCCTCAGCCTCCCAAGTAGCTGGGATTACAGGCGCCTGCCACCATGCCCGGCTAATTTTTTGTATTTTTTTTTAGTAGAGACGGGGTTTCACCGTGTTAGCCAGGATGGTCTCTATCTCCTGACCTTGTAATCCACCTGCCTTGGCCTCCCAAAGTGCTGGGATTACAGGCGTGAGCCACTGTGCCCGGCCTATCCTTGCTATTTTATAAGCTTTATTGAGATGTAGTTCACACACCATATAATTCAACATTTTAAAGTATATGAATCAATCATTTTCAGTTTATTCACGGATACGTGCAACTCTCACCACAGGTAAACTTTAGGGTATGTTCATCACTCTGGAAAGAAGCCCCATGCCCTTTAGCAATCACTCTCCCTACTCTACCTCACCCCAGGTTCCCAGTCTCAGCTCTAGGAAAACAGTAAGCTACTTTCTGTCTCCATAAATGTCTTTGTTCTGGACATTTCATATGAATGGAATCACAGAGTATGTGACCTTTGGTGACTGGCTTCTTTTATTTCGCATAATTTTTTGAGGTTCATGTGTGGTGTGCATTGCCTCACCAATTCATTCCTTTTTACTGCTGATAAGATGCTACTGTATGAATTTGTGACATTTTGCTGTCCATCCATCCTTGGATGTGTACCTGAGTTGTTTCCATCTGTTAGCTGTTTGTTGTGAAGGGTGCTGCTAGGAACATTGGCGTGCCAGTTTTGTGTGGACGTGTTTCCAGTTCTTTTGGGCACCGTATCTTGGTTGATCTGCATCCATTGTGCTCTACCCTGAGGTTTATGAACCACAAAACTTGAAAATACCTCTTGTTGGTTCCATGATTGAAACCTGCTTTCTTGCTAACGTGAAGGTGACTGTGTGGTGACCGAGCTCCACGTTCACACTCATAGCTACAGCCATGTTGATGACGGGTCTCCAACATGCCACAATTTGAGCCAAAAGAACCTTGGCCTCCACACTGCAAATCATTTCACTCTGTTGCCGAAATGTGACTGGGGAGACAATTATCTCAGCATCAATCACAGATAATGTTGGAAGGCAGGCCAGCGCCCTGGGGCATTCTCAGAGCTGGAGATGGTAGAGGCTGTCAGATTAAATCACGTTTTACAACTCTTGAAGCTAAATGGGGATCTGAGCAGGAAAATCAGAACTTTTCGCTCTCAGATACGTGTGGCGTTTATTTGGAAGATTACAATGTCCATCTGATTTGAACTATCCCTACAGATCTTATCTTCTGCCTGTAAGGTCGAGAGCCTGAGCCAATGGTGTGATTTTGCTCACGTGGGATTAAACAAAAGCTCCCAATAAAGGTTCATACAGGTGGACGCTGCTGGTTACCCTCCCACTGAGTTTCCATTCCCGCACCCTCCTTTCCAACGGATCCTGACTTTGTTTAGCTATCCACACAGCCAGTGCCTCAGGGGAAGCCAACCTCGCAGCTCGGTGCAGCGATGGGGTGCAATGATCCAAGTGACTCTAGTTCCCCTTGCCAATGGGGAGAAACGGGCATGTGACCTAGCTCTGACTGGTGAGATATGGCAGGAGCTCCACTCTAGGGATTCAGAGAAGTTTCGTCACTCCTAGGAGATATCTACAAGAAGAGACAGTCCTTCCTGAATTTCTGAATGTTTTGCATCTGGATGTGATGCCTGGAACTGTTAAGGCTATCTTTCTCCCAGCCTGAGGATGAAACCCACATGGAAGATGCAGAGGACAGGAGAGGACCTGGACCTTGGTTCGCATCCTTGCACTGCTTGATCAGCCACCGGAAATCCACCTTACACCTTACTTCTGAATTTCCTGTCTTTTGAGATGCTGACTTTCTGTGGTAGATTAAATACGGTCATATATTCTTTGCTGCTCCTCCTATCAAGAATTGGGGTCTTCTCCCCACCCTCAAATCTCAGCTGGCGACTTGCTTTGACTCCTAGAATGTGGTGGGAATAACACTGTATGGTTCTGAGCCTTGGCCTTAAAAGGCCCCTACTCCTGCTGTCTTAGATGCTTCCATAAAGAAGTCTTATCTAGCTTCTCTGAGGATGAAAGACCCATTGAGGAGAAGGTTCTGCTGGCTGAGAACCTTCCTCTCCATGGGTCTTTCATCCTCAAAGAACAGTTCCCAGCCAACCTGCCAGCTAAACACAGCCACATACCTGAGCCCAGGCAAGAAGATTCACCTAGGAAACCTGGATTCACGAGAAATGATAAATTGTGGTTATTTTAAGCCACTAAGTTTTGGGATGGTTTGTTACACAATAAAATCTAATGGACACACTTTCCTTATTGTTCAGGCCATTATGAGTCTGCATTGTTTGTTCCTCATTGGTAGAAGCATCCTAATAGGGGACAATTGTCCAGCTCAGGCTCCAACCCAAGGCAGGGTTTTCATCTACAGAATCCGGTTGCTGCCACTTTGCTGATGTCTCTTCAGAGCAGGCTGTCATTGCTAAACTACATCCCTTTCTCTTTTGAAAATGCTGGTGCGTATTGAGTAGAGCCCTCCGTGTCATGCCCATGAGTTTGCCTGCTCACCTAAGCATCATAGAGTGAACCTCGTGTTTCCTTCTGCAGAGCAGCCAGGGCTTGCTTCCCCCTAGCCTTTTCATCTCCTCTGTGACCTCTTTCCTGAGGGTGAGCTCACGGGACCTACTCAAGGTCTTATGACAAGGAGGCTACCACAGGGGACCCCAAACCTTGCAGAGTGTGAGAGATACGTTTACTAAGGCCTGGGTTTATGTTCTTAAGATCCGGCGAGATCCTTAAAAAAATTATTTTTAATAAAAATATTTTATACTGTTAAGTAAAACAAATGAAGAGAATTCTGGAGAAAAATGTCAAAGCATATGTATAGAAAAAAGTCCTCCATTTTTATAATTAGTGCTAAAATAAACCCAACATTGACTGGGCACAGAGTGCTGGGCACCGTTCTCTGCAAAGGTCACAGAACAGTACCCTCTGGTCTTTCATGACAGTGCTGCCCAGAGCTGTTTCTGTTGCATGAAACCTGAGACATGTTTGTCATAGACTACATGACATTTAAACCTAACATTTTATAATGAGCATTTTCCACAACTATTAAAAAAACTTTCAATGTAACTTTTTAAAGACTCCATCGCATTCTGTTTCACTCTTTGATGGTTAGACACTTAAGCTTTTCCCTACACCTCGTTTTTATAAACAGTGCTGGATTCACCAGCTCATTCATTCCTCCAATCAATAAATAAAATCGTACCAGCTACACTGCCAGGGATTTTGTAATAAACCGCGCTTGGCCTGGGCCTCTTGGGGCCTAAAGCTAGAGAGAGGCCAGCAGGAAAGCAATCGGGTGCCTGGGGCCAGGCTTCGGGGACTGAGCTGCTGGAGGGGCTGATGGCCCCATGAGGGTGGCCTCCTGGTGGCAGTCATGGGGAGAGGGTGGTGGGGCAGGTGGGCCGTGACAGAAGCTGATGACGTGAGGACCGTGAGCCCAGCAGCCTGGGGGGCGGGGGTCAGGGTCAGCATTAGCGGCCAGGCAGGGTCATGAAGGGGGCCAGGATGGCACCACTACCACCAGCCCTGCAGCCCTCTCCCTGTGACTGCCTCTAGGAGGTCAGGGTCAAGGTCAGGGCCCAGGCGGGGTCAGCAGGGGGATGCAATGACACCATGGCCATGTCCCCACCTGGCAGCCTAGGGGTCAGGACGGGTGGGGACACAGGGCAGCAGACAGTGGGCTGGACACAGGGAGGATGGCGGGGTCAGCAACCCTCTGGGCCATAGACCTCAGCTCAGGCGGACACAGCCAGCGGCCCGCCCCGGCGTGAACAGCAGGTCCCGGCGTCTGAGGCCCTGAGCGGAAGTCCCAGCGCGAGCAGAAAAGATGGTGGGAAGGGGGTGGGGCTAGAGTCGTCGCGTGCAGCCGCGAGGGACGACGGGAAGAAGGTGCCCAGGAGCCGCCCTCCCCTCGCTGGGCAGCCAGGCCTCAGGCTTGGCGGCCTTAGGGGCTGGGCCGGGAGCCCGCGGAGAGGACAAGGAGGAGGCTGCGGTGATTGCCCCCGAGGGCTCCGTGGGTGCGTACTCACCGCCCGGGGCCCTCGGGAGGCAGCGGCCTGCTCTCCACTCCACACCCCCAGGGCCGCCATGGATCTGGCTGCTCCGCGCGGGAGCTGCAGGTGAGGCGGACTTGGCTGTGGGCTGTGGTGGGGCCGCGCCCGTCCGCAGCTGGGCAGGCCACGTGCCTCGCAGGCTGGACCTCCCGGTGCCCGCGCCCTGGGCACACCCTGTCTCTGTCTCCGCTTTCTCCGCTGCCCCAGTCACCCCCTTCTCACCCCTAAGAATCGCGCGTCAGCCTGTGACCTGGGTGGACTGCAGCCGCCCAGGGACTGCGCATTCGCTCCCCAAGTGCGCAGCTGAGGAGCGAGGCCGGGTTCGGGGCTAAGGAGCCGGGAGGAAGCGGCCGGGCTCCTGACCCTATACGGAGGTCATCTCGGAGGAGTGGGATGAAGGGCGGCGTGGTGGACTGTTCTGACTGCTAAATCTGCTGTAACAGTAAATGCATGACTTCCATCAGGAGGGAAGACACTCTGAATGAGTGGAGAGGCAGCTGGCCTGGAGGGGCCGGCCCAGGCCATTCCTGGCCCAGGCAGAGCGTCTGCACACGTGCGAGGGCAGATGTGAGACCCGGTGCCACCTAAGAGTGCTCTCCAAGAACCTGCAGCTGCAGGTGCCGTTGATCCTCCACTGGAGCCGGCTTCCACCAGGAGTGGGGAGCAAACAGGAAACTCTGACGCTCCTGTGATGGCCCCATTACTCCGCGTCTGACTCCTCACCCAGCAGACCACTATCGTGGCTTTTCGTGAATTTCCCTCAGACCCTGTTTCTACCCTGACTTTGTCTGTGAAGCTGAAGGCAGCCTGGGGAAAACGTGCAGTTTCTACAGGACATGAGCTGGTGACTTACATAATGGCTTATATAAGCCCCAAACTCAAATAAGCTAGAATTCCCTTGGCCCATCAGAGGCCCATCATGAAGTTCCTAGTTCCATCAAATGAAGTGTGAGAAGCCCATAAACATTTAGCATTGAGCTCCTCTCTGATGCAGGAGGGAAAGCAGCAGGAAGGAAGGCACCCGGGAGACCCAGAGGAACATCTTTGTTTATCCAGCGTGGCTCTGTGGTCCTCCTGCGCTTTCTCACCGCTGGGCTGGGGTAGACAGCAGCCCACCACCAACATCCTAAAATACAGACGGTAGTTCTGCTATGCTTGAGGTGGCTGGAGGTCAGGATGCCAGGCTGAGGGCAGCCCGCAGATGGGGGCCGGCTCTTTCTTCCAGAGGAAGAGTAGGGAAACATTCACTTCATTGCATAAACGAGTCCCAATTTGCATTTTACTGTATCGTAAAACCCGAAGGCCTTACTTTAGTGTCTGATTTAGGCAATCACAGTTTCAGTAGGTTTTATTTTAGCAATATTGGAGTATTTTACTGACAGAATGGCATAAAACTTGACAAGCAAATTAAAAATGGAAAATTAACTCCAACTGGTCATCTTCCAACTGCCATCAGTAAACAAGAGGATGAAGGTCAGAGAGATAATGTGTGTTCGCGAGGGGAGTGTGTTTGAAAGGACCATAAGCAGTTGCAGTTGCCGTTGGAATCAAGATAATCTACTTTATCTCACCAGGCGTTTTATCGGTATTTGTTTTACATTAGATTGGGAATGGGATCCATTCCAAATGATGGTTTTAATCTTAGGAAACATAGTTGAAAATTGCTAGCCAGAGTGCTATTAAGAGGTACACACACCACTGAATTTTATACAGTCCAGTTCTGTTTTCTTTTCCATTTCTAAGTTTCTCCCTTGGCAGGTCTCTTCTTCATTTTGTGGGTGTGCCAGGATTGGAGGCTGGGACTACCTGGTGAAAGGATGGAGATTTCCTCTGCAGAGACTGGAAGGACAGCAGGTGTGGGAAGTTGCTAGAGGGTGAATTGTGTTCCTTCCCAGGTTAATATGCTGAAGCATATTAAGGTCACTAAGCATAAATAATGTCACTAAGGTTGGGCTCTGTAGGAGATAATTGAGGTTAAATAAGGTCACTAGGGCTGGGCTCTGATCTGATGGGACTGATGTCTTTACATGAAGAGGAAGAGACACCAGTGGGGCTCTTGTCTGGGGAAAAGGCAGAGTGAAGACACAGTGAGAAGCCAAGGAGAGAGGCCTCGGGAGAAACCAGCCCTGCCAACACCTTCATCTTGGATTTCTGGCCTCCAAAACTGTAAGAAAATGAATGGCTGCTGTTAAGCCACCCGGCCTGTGGTGCTTTGTCACTGGAGTCCCGGCAGGCACATACCGAAGCTAATGATGGAGACGAAGAGAAGATGAACTGGGATGTGTCTCCGTCAACCCTCAATTGTCCAAGGACTTAAACACAGAATTGAGCAGGGTGGGGATAGTGTCCTCGTTTTGCTGCCCTGGGAGAAAGCTGGCTTAGCCAGTCATGAGAGGGCGGCACCATACCCAGGGTGGCTTGTAGGGGTCCCATGGTGTTGGAGTTCTGAAGAGCTGGCAGTGCTGGGGCTCCATTTGGTGGGTCCAGCTATCACATCATGATGGAGGGTAGGGGGCAGGAGGAATGGCAAGTCCTCTGCATTCTCTGTTGCTTGTCCAGACTCTGTGCTGCCTGACTGCAGGATCTCAATACCACAGTCACCTGGAGAAAGGCCCCAACTCTTCTCCTCAGCCCCGTGGGGGTGCAACTGTCAGAACCCCCTGAGAAGGGCCCTCCTCACCTTTGTCTTCCATAACCTCCCAGCCTGTCTTTCTGGATCTCCTCCTGCTGGGATTAAGCCAGATCACTTGGAGCCAAATCACTAACTGTCAAATCACCTAAAACTAATTGGCTTAATTATCAATTTGCCTAATGGTATATTTAACTAAAATCTATATTTATCAAATTTACATTGCTCACATGACAGAGCAATTCCGGCTCCGTCAGAGGTTCCACGTCGATTCAGTTGTCTTCTGTGTTTGCTTGTTTTTGATAATATCACAAATTTTTAGCTGGTCTAAGGATATTTCTGTCTCATTTTAATATTTCAGATAAGAATTGGTCAAATTTGTATTCACCTTATAAGTGAATATAAATAAGAATTGATCAACTTTATATTCACCTGGTAAGTTTTTGAGAAGCCTTTTTGTCGCCTTTGTGAACCGTATTGTTTGTTTGCTTGTGTTTTGAGACAGGGTCTCAGCTGTGTCAGGCAGGCTGGAGTGCCATGGCGCCACCATGGGTCACTGTGGTCTTGACTTTCCAGGCTCAAGTGATTCCTCTTCCACGAGTAGCTGGGATCACAGGCGTGCGCCACCATGCCTGGCTAATTAAAAAAAATTTTTTTTTTCAGGAGAGACAGGGTCTCACTACATTGCCCAAGCTGGTTCTTTTTCTGTTTTTAAGATTGTACTGATTTCCTTTTGTTTTCAGCAGTTTTATTATGATGGAAATAAACATTAGTTTTCTGTATGTTAATCGAGTTTGAGATTGACTGAATTTCTTAAATCTGTGGGCTGATATATTTCATTCCTTTTCTCACGTGCTTGGCTGTTCTCTTTTCATACCACCCTCTATTCTGTTTCCTCTCCCCAGACCTTCTGACTGATGGGGCAGGGGGGGAAGGGGTCATCTGTCAGAATCTCATTTTCATTTTATTTTATTTTTTATTTATTTTTATTTTTTTGAGACGGAGTTTTGCTCTTGTTGGCCGGGCTGGAGTGCAACGGCGCAATCTCTGCTCACCGCAACCTCCTCCTCCCGGGTTCAAGCGATTCTCCTGCCTCAGCCTCCTGAGTAGCTGGGATTACAGGAGTGCACCACCATGCCCAGCTCATTTTGTATTTTTAGTAGAGATGGGGCTTCTCCATATTGGTCAGGCTGGTCTCGAACTCCTGACCTCAAGTGATCCACCCGCCTCGGCCTCCCAAAGTGCTGATATTACAGACGTGAGCCACTGTGCCCTGCTAATTGGGTCATTTTTAATCCTATTATGAAATGATAGGCTGGGGCCGCAGGGGGAAGGATCATCTGGTCAGAATCTGATAATTGGGCCATTTTTAATCCTATTTAATTGTGAAATGATACGAATTATGGCATGTAAACATTTTGGTCTGACCTAAAGTATATAACTGATTGTTTTTATTTAAAAGGTAATAAATGCTTATTAAAGGAAACGCCATAGAACTGAAAGAAGAAACCGATGGCCCTGTAGATCCAGGGAAAAGTATCTTTTAAAAGTTTAGATCAAAGGGATTTTAAAAATATCTTACATGAGAACCAGACATTAAACTCACACTTCTCTCTCATCTGCCCCAGTGTTTACTCTGTTAGAAGTCTTCTTCAGGAATGTCTTTACTTAACATCCTGTCACCAAGGAGCTGCCTCTGCCTCCGCATGGAAACCAGCACTGAGGTCTCCCCTCGCCTCCCACCCTGTTAATGTCCTTGCTAGCAGGAGCATAAAGGCCATCACGGCGGGGACTCTGCAGTGAAGAGGAGGCCCCGCTCGTGGAGCCTGCTGTAGAAACACTTGCTAACTGTGAGTCCAGGGATTTGATTCCTGACAGAGATTCTCTCCTTGAGAAACTCCACGCAGCCCCCCTGAACTTTTCAATGAGACCTCAACTTTTGGACTTCTGTGGTTGTCTCTGCCTTGTCCGCTTTTGGCAAGAACCCCCACCTAGATAACTGGTCAGGAGACGCCGCCGTCCCCGGGTGATACCCTCACTTCAGCAAGAATCCTGTTAGGTTGGTTTCACCAGAACCCTCTGAGCGCGGTGTTTTGTCTTGGTAATTTCCCGTCCCCTGCCCCCACGCTGCTCCTTGGCTGTGATCCCCTTATTCCTGCTGTCTTCAGAGCTGAATCCGGTCTCTCTCCCCCTATTCAGGAAGGACTGAGTAAAATCTGCTTTTACTGCTTCGACTACTGCCCAGCTCTGGTTTTCTTTGACGTCTCCCTATAGCCTGGTCTTCCAGGCCATGTTTTAACCACTTTCTCACTCACAAAGGGATGGCCTGGGGTTTCCTCCTTGCGTCCGCAGGGGGCACTGAGGGCTTCCGCCAGGCATTAAAAAGACGTAGTGACCATCTTTCTATAAAGAAACTTTTCTTTTACTAGATTCTCAGAAATATGGAGTCTGTGGTAGATGTGTCCAGATTCTTAGGTTAGTACAGTATGATTTTTGTTCTTGTATTTTGTTTGCCCATTTGCAAGCAGATACAGTTTCCTGCAAACTAATCCAAGAGTCTCATGATGACCCAGTCCTGTTCTTCCTCTGACTTAATCTGTAAACTCAGGAATCTTTATGCTAAGATGACTTTTTTTGGATTTGTAGAAACCTAACAGGAAAACCCCTTAGCCTCCTTGTAGCCTTCTCCCGTCTCCAGTTCTGTAATTAGGCTCAAACTCCCAATCACGCAGTTGTTCACTGCCCCGGCCTGGCTTCCTGAGGCTGCGGTCTTGTTCCCAACCTGAAGGATGCTCCTGCTGCCATGGCCCTTGTCCCTCTCCTGGGGCTCGCTCGGTCCCGTCCCTACTCTCGGGGCTCCCTTGGCCCCTGCCCAGCCTCCCGGGGCCCCCATGGGCCCTGCTCAACCTCCGGGGATTCCCTCAGCCCCCTGCCCACCTTTCTGGGGTTCCCAAGGCCCCTGCTCAACCTCTGGGGATTCCCTCAGCCCCTTGCCCATCCTCCCGGGGGCTCCCTCGGCCCCTGCCTACCCTCAGCCCCTGCCTACCCTCCCGGGGGCGCCCTTTGCCCCTGTCCACACTTCCGGGGCTCCAACGGCACCTGCCTACCCTCCTGGGGCTCCCTCAGCCTCTGCCCACCCTCCTGGGGCTCCCTGGCCACCTGTGTCTGAGCTGGTCTCTGCTCAAAATCCCCCTCAGGGTCTTTTCCTTAAAGGGCCAGACCTCAATTCCATTCTTTACAAACACTGGGAAAACCTCACATGCAGGCCTGAGTGTCCTATCCCACTTCCCCTCACTTTGGCACAGGCATTCTTTGGTCCTTTGGAAGGTGCATATCAAATCATGACAGCAAAAAATGAGGACGAAAATTTAAACCAAAGGAAGATTGAGCCTGCAAAGCTTTTGCCCTGCAGTCCCTGTGGCCCCGGCCCTGTCTGGCAGCTCCTCAGGGCTGTGCAGCTCCATTGATGCCGCGAACGCCCAGCGCCGGGTTGATGTTGCTGTGCACTGGGGGCCGTCATCACCATTTTCTTTAGAAGTCCATTTGGTTCCTGTAATTTGGTAACAGCAATACACAGGGCTGGAAAACTGCCACGAAGCCAGACAATTACCCCTGGCTTCTGTCTGGAAGATAAGTTGAGGATTATAAGGACTTGGTGTTTTGAGAAGTTTACCTTGAGGAGCTCTATCAAACAGCAAATATCGTTAGCAAAATGAAATGTTCTTCGCACCAGCGAAAGGCTGGCAGGTAAATCACTGCTCCTGCTTGCGTGGGTACCTCATGGCTGGGGGGAGAGACCAAATTAAAAAAAGAGGAAGAAAGGAATTAAATTGGTGCTTCAGGTATACTATGTGTCAGCTACAATTTAAAGAATAATGAAGCATATCTTATTGCAGAGGTTAAGAGATTAGCAGTCTCTTAATTATCACAGAGATGTACTAACATCCCTTCCAGGCTCCTAAGTAAATCCCTTAACTCAATCATCTTGCTCCACTCTATGTGATTATGAAAATCTGTTAACTTAATACAGTAGAAGACATCTTTTAAGCACGTGTGTGCCTATAGTTGCTGCTTGCCGTTATACAAATTAGTTTTCTCACGTTTAACCTGCCTGACCCTACATACCTCGTTAAATGTCACGCTGAGCGGGGTGCGACGGTGACCGGGCAGATGGGGTTGTGCAGTCACACGGGGACTCCTGTGGGGACAGGCCAGCTGTGCTGGCGCTTGGTGCGGCCACAGGCAGGCTAATGAAGATGCTGCCAAGGACGGAGAATATCGTGAAGACAGAGAACACCGCGTTCCAGCTCCTCTGTGTGTTCCCAGTGCCTGGGAAGGTTGGGTGGGGTGTCTTCTTACAAATACTATTAAGCTTGTCAAGAAAATTAAGTTATCAGAAATAAGGTAACAACAGAGGCCAAAACATGTTTGCTGCTGAGGCGAGTATAGAGAAATGTAAGATGTTGCTTCCTAAGACTAAATCTCAAATAAGAGGACTTAACAAAAGAGGGAGGCGCAGGGGGTGACGGCGGCAAAACAGCTCCAGAGTCATCAGCGTGAGGGCCGTGGGACCTGTGGGTGTGGCCACGTGCACCTTAGGGTCAGACACAGAGCCAGATGGCTGCTCCATGGTCCCTGCGGCTCAGGGCCTTCGCTCCCTCGGGTGCAGATGTGGTGGCTGGGAGCATGGTGTCGCCAACTTTTTACTGTTAGCCCCAGGCCATGGGGTCTGGGTGTAGGGGACACTCACCCCCTTCAGCCTCACTCCCCCAACTCCCTCCGCTTGGTCCTCCGCTCTGCTGGCCGGGGCAGAGGGTCCCACAGAGGACTCCAAGGCTCTGGAAGAGGCAGGACCCGAGGTGGAGTGAGGTGTCGCCGCGTGCTACGGGAATGAACTAGCGAGACGTGAGGTTATAATGTGTACGATGTTCTGGAAAACAAATCTCCAAGATGCTGCAGGTTTTGTGTCTATGTAGGATGGACACATTTTTAAGCTTCCAAGTAATGAAGAAAAGATTCATTTAACTATATAAACATTTCAACCTTTGGGCCAAAGACAACTCTCACACCTAAAATAATGGCACAAATGGGCTGGGTGAAGGTTTTGCAAAGCGTGTTAAAGGGCCAGCATCTGTATCAGTTGAAGGGCTTAAGAGAAGTGGGCAGTGGGAGCGGGTGGGGCAGCGCGTCCTCCGTGAGTCCTCCTGGTCCTTCGGCTGCTCCAACACCCTCCACAGCTCCAGAATCTGGAGACGGCACGTGCAGGAGCCCTCCTGGGTGTTCCAGGGTGTCTCGGGCTCACTGTGATCAATACCGGACCACATGCCTTAGTCCACCCGTCTCTCTCCCCACTCATTTGACTTCCAAATCCCATGGGTTCTGCCTCCTGCTCCCTCCAGGATGCTTCCATGGTCAGCGTGCCTACGGTGCCATCCTCTTCTCCCACCTGTGACCGGCCCTTGTCCACTCTCAAGGGTCTGCTTTCCAGGGAAGCCCTCCCTGGCTACCTGCAGGGAGATGCAGTCCTCTTGGGCCCCTGCCTGTGTTAGAGTCGGTGACAGATGGCCTGGAGGATGCTGGCCACCGTTACGGCTGTGTGGAGAAGGGGCCGGGGTGGGACCCACTTCACAGCAGGGCGAGGGACCCTGGGCAGTTGGCCTGGAGCCCAGCTTCATCTGCTGCACTTTGCTTCAGAGCCCACACCTGTCTCTTCAAGGCTGAAGCTGGTGTCAGCTGGACTCTGTCACTGGCAACCATTGCTTAATGACAAATAAAACAGGACTCATGCAAAACAAACGCCAAACCAGAAAATATTTGCTCCTTTGCTGTGACTGTGGCTACAGAGTGTGAATTTTCACCTGAGCTGGGGGCGGGGAGATCCCAGGTGAACGTGGAAACTTCATCTGTTGCAGGAGCAGAGTTCCTGGTGGTGGCTACATGTTTCCGTCTTCTGTTTTTGCTAATTACGTAGAATTTGTGTAATCTTTAGGCAGAATTTTAAAGACAGGTCACACCTTCACTTTGGGCGGTCGGGGTGCTCCACCCCACAAAGACTAAAACCCCCTTGGTTCCGTGACCCATGATCTCATCCAGGCCCAGAGTCATGGGCGTGGGGGGGCAGACCATGAGTTTGCTCAAGAGTCCCACTGTGGGGAGTGGTACTTATGAGCCCGTGTCGGTGAACACAGCCTTGATTATGGGTTACATGATCCATAGGTAAACCGTGAAATCAGAGTCTGCATGCTTGGGTCTGGTACTAGACACAGAAGTGATCAATCACACATGAATGTCACAGGTTTGCTACCTGCAAGGAACTTAAGCCCGAGTAAGGGAGAGAGGCACAGAGATAGAGACACACCTGGGTGGGGGAGAAAGGCACAGAGATGGGGACACGCCTGGGTGGGGGAGAGAGGCGCAGAGATGGGGACGCGCCTGGGTGGGGGAGAGAGGCGCAGAGATGGGGACGCGCCTGGGTGGGGGAGAGAGGCGCAGAGATGGGGACACGTGAACTTCACTCATGCTGAACTCCAGCTGCATTGGCTTCCCGGGGTGGCCACAACAAGAGGCCACAGACCGCATGGCTTAAACAACGGAGACTGATTTTCTCGCTGTTCTGGAGGTGGCTTTCTCTTGGGGCTTCCCTCCTTGGCTTGTGGACGGCCAAGGGCTGTCACATGGCCTCCCCTCTGTGTGTGTCCTGCCTGTGACCACATCTCCCCTTGGATGGGATTTCCAGTGATGGGTGGGGGCCCACCCTGATAACTCCACCTTAACACTATCATCTTCGAAGAGGAGACCCTACTTCCAAGTCAGGCCACAGTCGCAGTACTGGGGGTAGGGACTTTAACATCTTTTGGAGGCACGATTCAGTCTGTACACCCACGGAGAGGCTCTCTGTGGTCATCTTTGGCTGGCAGGCTCGATACATCTTGCAGGGCTTCAGAGGAGGGCCAGGATGTGTGTCCAAGTCTGGGAAGCTCTGGAAAGATGTGGGGCTTCAGTTCCCTGTTGGAGGAAGAGCAGAGTGTGCCGGGGTTGGGTAGGGCGGGAGGTGGAGGCAGGGAGGGCTGATTGTTGCCAGCTCGGAGGCTGTGCGGCTGGCAGGGCCTGAAAGTTGGCATGGATTAGAAACAGACAGCCAGGGCTGCCCCTGCCTGGAGCACCCGTACTCGTCTGTCTCCTGAAATCTGTTAGAGTTTCGGTTGCTGGCTTGCTTTCCCCCAGTATTTTCTCCTTCAGAGTTTGAGCTGGTGCAGAACACGAGCACAAAATGTCTTCTTTATAGCAGAGAGTCGTGTTCCCCATGCAGGGGAGAAAGGCCCAGAGGAGAAGGTCTAATACCAGATGTGTGTGGCTGCTGCTCCCCTCTGGCTGCCTTCACTAGGAACTTTGCCAGCTCCTGATTCTTCACGCGGGCCATGCTGTGGCCAGCCTGCGCTTCCTCCGCGGTGCCCTGCTCCCCATGGACTCACGCTCATCTGATGCACGATGCTTTCCTAACGAGTTTCTGGCAGGTCCTCCAGAGACAGGACGGGAAGCAGGGTGTTTTCTTCTATCAGCCGCTCGTGGAGAGTAACAGGTGCACTTGGCCTCCTCCTGCTCTGGGTGCAGTTCAACCATGGGGACCTGACTACACGGGCCTATCCAGACGCCCTCCATCCACAGGCAGGGGTGGGTGCAGGGCTTGCAGGCTCAGCCAGGGTCAGGCCAATGCAGTGAGCCTGGGAGGAGGAAGTGGGACCTGGGACAGACCGACTTTCTGTGTTTGCCTGTTGTGCCGTCTCTTGCTCATATACCACTGGCCTTCGCCCTCCTTCCTCATCAATATGAAATCAAGATAATTGTGGGTCAGGACTGATGGCCTCTGTGCCCAGATGCAGAGTGGGCCTGCTCCATGCGCCAGCTAGGGACGGCCGTGCTGGGCTGACACAGACCCAATGTCGCCAAGCATGGGCTCCTCCAGGAACTGCCAGGGGCATCTGGTGGATGTGTCTGCAGGTGCATGGGCACAGCCGCCTTCCTTGTGGCCCTTTATTTCATTAAAGCACTGGACATGAAAAATTAGGATAAAATGTCTTCACATTGAGAACTAAAAATAAAATCCTAAGTCCCCCAACAGACTGAACAGGCCCTGACTTGACCAAGGGGATCCCAGAGGAACCTCAAAAACTGAGTTCCCAGCCATAATGAGACAAGAGGTCAGACATGCCTCATGGTATAGACAGCAGCGGAGCAGCATTTGTGTTAAAATAGAGATCAGACAACCAGCAGAACGGAGCCTTGTGGCCATAGGATACCAAGCTATGAACAGAGTCTAAGGCCAGGTCAGACAAGGGTTAGGTCATGTACCCCTAAGCTGAAAAAACAAACTGTGTTTCAACTGCCACAAGGTTTTATTTTTTCCTTTTTCTCTAACAGCTCAACAATCACAGGACTTACACAATATCAAACAATTCCAGCTCATGAACCATCAGACAGTGATGGACTCCCCTGCTCTGCCAGCCATGGCTACAGCTTTGACTGGTCAAGAGGCTGATTGCAGTAACTTTCTTCTGGTAGGAGACGCAGACATGACTGGATCTGGCCAGTTTACAGAGGCTGCACCCTGAGGGCCATCGTGTCCCGCTTGCCTTTTGACCTACAGGGCCTAATATAATGTATTTAAATGTTACTTCTCCACCTGCAAATGACAAGGGATGCGTGGAATATGCATGTTTGCTTACCACGCATGTGTGTGACTCCCCCATCATGAATATTCATAACTCCTGTAACCTGTTACATACGTATCCTTGACCAACCATTCAACATAAAGCCCTGTTTCACCCTCCCCTCCTTCGAAGCACCAACTCTGACTTCAGCCAGAGGCTACGCTTCTCAGCCTGTCAAAAAAGCCACCTCACAGATGATACTCTTTATGAAAAGCAAAGTCTGCTTTCTAAATTTATAATTTTTAAATGTACATATTTGGCGATGAGGATGGGATTCAAACCCAAGCACGCATGAGCACTAGGATAAGATACTTAATGTGAGGATGGCCTTTGCTTTAACTTTCTCTGAGTTGCTTAGTGAGGAAGCAGGCCAGCCTCTGTCCCGCAGAGGCCCCGCATGTGGGTTCTAAGGAGCCTGTGGTGTCCTGGTGAAATCTGCAGAGTTCAGCTGTTGGTACTGAGGAGGGGGGGCATGCCAGCCCTGTGCCCACCCCCAAGCACGGGCCATGAGAGATCACAGTGGCAACTCCCTTCCTAACAAAGAAAGGTCAGAGTGAGCTGTGGCCCAAGGCCCAGGGCCTTCCCCACCTGGTCTGGACTCACCTGCCCAGGTGTCACAGGGCCTCCTACAGCCCCCTCCGGACTCACCTGCCCAGGTGTCACAGGGCCTCCTACACCCCCCTCCAGACTCACCTACCCAGGTGTCACACTGCCTCCTACACCCCCCTCCGGACTCACCTGCCCAGGTGTCACAGGGCCTCCTACACTCCCCTCCAGACTCACCTGCCCAGGTGTCACACTGCCTCCTACACCCCCCTCCAGACTCACCTGCCCAGGTGTCACACTGTCTCCTACACCCCCCTCCGGACTCACCTGCCCAGGTGTCACAGGGCTTCCTACACCCCCCTCCGGACTCACCTGCCCAGGTGTCACAGTGCCTCCTACACCTGCCTCCGGACTCACCTGCCCAGGTGTCACACTGCCTCATACACCCCCCTCCAGACTCACCTGCCCAGGTGTCACAGTGCCTCCTACACCCCCCTCCGGACTCACCTGCCCAGGTGTCACACTGCCTCCTACACCCCCCTCCAGACTCACCTGCCCAGGTGTCACAGGGCCTCCTACATCCCCCTCCGGACTCACCTGCTCAGGTGTCACACTGCCTCCTACACCCCCCTCCAGACTCACCTGCCCAGGTGTCACACTGCATCCTACTCCCCGCTCCGGACTCACCTGTCCAGGTATCACAGTGCCTCCTACATGCCCCCCCACAGACTCACCTGTCCAGGTGTCACAGTGCCTCCTACATGCCCCCCGCACAGACTCACCTGCTCAGGTGTCACAGGGCCTCCTACTCCCCCTTCCCAGACTCACCTGCTCAGGTGTCACAAGGCCTCCTACTCTCCCCGCCCAGACTCACCTGCCCAGGTGTCACAGTGCCTCCTACTCCCCCCGCCCAGACTCACCTGCTCAGGTGTCACAGTGCCTCCTATTCCCCCTGCCCCGGACTCACCTGCCCAGGTGTCACAGGGCCTCCTACACCACCCCCCCGACTCACCTGCTCAAGTCTCACAGGGCCTCCTACTCCCCCTGCCCCGGACTCACCTGCCCAGGTGGAGGGGGAGGCTGAGCAGCAGGAGATCTGTAGGCCACCATGCCGCTCCCTTGGAGAGAGGTGGCTGGGAGAGGGGAGGGGAAGGGTGGTATTGATCCCACCCCAGGCATCAAAGGAGGGTATGGCATTTCAGCTGCTGTGTTCTGGGGAGGGTGGCCTGCCCCTCTCAGAGGCTGGAGCCAGGCCCTACTTCCAGAGGCGCTGGTTTTCCTTTGTAGTCTGAGATTCTCCCTTTCATGGCAGGCAAAGCCATCGTCAAACTCCCTGCTCCTTGCATACCACCTGTGGGGCAGCCACAATCTCAGGTAAGAAATTCTCACTGTGGAGGGCAGACTGGGCTGCGCAGCTTGTCTGGGGTCATCTTGCTCCAGCTTCAAGGATCACTTCGTTCTCGCAAAAGGAGGGCCAATCTCGTGGAGGTGGAATGGCTCTGCAGCAATTTCTCGAGTAAATGTGGACATGCAGACCACAAGACCACAGACTGCTCCCACTGAGGTTTGGGAGTGACACTATGTCAGGCAGTGGCCTTGCTTGTTTACAGATCTGCACGTCTGTGCTCGTATATGCACAGGTCAGCATCCTTGCAGGCCCACGTGTACCTCACTCTGTGTGTCTGTTCATGTGCACAGATGCATGCATACAGCTGCATGTGTGCACGTGTCTGTGCATGTGTGTGCGTGTGCCCATGCGCAGGCTTATGTCTGTGTGCATGTTTGTGCGTCTGTGTGCATGTTTATGTTTATGTCTCTGTGCATGTTTGTGCGTCTGCATGTTTGTGCATCTGTGTGCATGTTTGTGCGTCTGTGTCCATGTTTCTGCGCCTGTGCATGTTTGTGCATCTGTGTCCATGTTTGTGCACCTGTGCATGTTTGTGTCTCTGTGCATGTTTGTGCGTCTGTGTGCATGTTTGTGCGTCTGTGTCCATGTTTGTGCGCCTGTGCATGTTTGTGTCTCTGTGCATGTTTGTGTGTCTGTGTGCATGTTTGTGTATCTGCATGTTTGTGCATCTATCTGCTTGTTTGTGCATCTGTGTGCATGTTTGTGTATCTGCATGTTTGTGCATCTGCATGTTTGTGCTTCTGTGCATGTTTGTGCGTCTGTGTGCATGTTTGTGTGTCTGTGCATGTTTGTGCATCTGTGTGCATGTTTGTGCATCTGTGCATGTTTGTGTGTGCATGTTTGTGCATCTGTGTGCATGTTTGTGTGTCTGTGCATGTTTGTGCATCTGTGGGCATGTTTGTGCATCTGTGCATATTTGTACGTCTGCATGTTTGTGCATCTGTGCATGGTTGTGCATCTGTGTGCATATTTGTGTGTCTTCATGTTTGCGTGTCTGTGCATGTTTGTGCGTCTGTGTGCATGTTTGTGTGTTTGTGCGTGCACATAAGTGTCCAGGTCTCCTCAGCCACATGGGCTCCTGGGTGAAGCTGCTGACACTGAGATCCTAAGGAACACGTGCACCTTAGTCTTTGCAAACACTTCTGTGTCTATCACAACGTAGGTCCAGATGCCCCTGGAACCATCTCATTCCCTGACTCTTTGTCCTCTACATGTCTTGACCCTAAGAAATACTGAGGAATCATCATTGAATTTTAATGTCAATTGCTGTTATTTAATTTATACCAAGAAATTCAGGAAAGGAAAAAAGTGCATATCCAAAGAAGTGTAAATCTGATACCTGATCAATCCTTTAAGAGGTGATAAATACAAACAGCCTTACTTTTGACATTTATAAATTATTTGGTTCATTACAACAAACAGCGTGTGACATTTTGTGAGCTGTGCAGGGTGTCTCCAGTGTCAGGGTGGAAAGAAAACCATTAGGTGGGTTTTAGGTGTGTGAGCAGATATGGTTGCATTCATTACGGCAGGAAATGCCAATTAGAACTAGAAAAATGAGAAGAATTGGTTAAATTTTTCTCATCAATTGTTACTTATTTGTGTGTCTCATATGACAAGTCCAAATCTGGAATGCCATTTCTGCTTGATTGATTTAGAAACCGTTTCCCAAAAATAACGAATGCCAGCCTGCTGTAAAACCACAGCAGACAACAGCAGCCTATGTCACGCATCGTGAGTGTACACAGAGCTTGGTGCCTGCACACACAGGTGCACACACACACCTCTCACACAAACTCAGATGCATGCCCCCATGCCCACACGGCTACACACTGCACACCCAGACCTACACCCAGCCCAAGCTCACAGCACATGCCCCCACCCCCGCCCCGATACTTACACAATTTGTCCAAGCCTCATTCAAAAGCCTTCCTGCCCCTGCCAGATAACAGAATCTTAACTGCAAATTTCATATGGGGTTGTACCTTCAGGCATGTTGGGGGCTTTGGAGTGAGACAGACCAGGAGTCAAATTCTGGCCTTGCTGCTTGTGGGTTTTGTAACTGTCAGCAAGTCACGTAACAGTGGAACTGACCTCCCATTTGTGGTCAGCCCTGAATGAGATGCGGCAGATGAGGGGTGAGCACGGGACTGCGGCCACGTGGTGTCCACGAGAGGCTCTGGGCACACTGTGCACTTGGCTGTGATTCCAGCCACCACCCTTTGTCCAGCAGCGCCTGGACTGGCTCCTTTAGTGGAATGTGAGCTCCCCAAGGCTGTCCTGTTCCAGCTCCCATTACTGTCCCCAGGGTCAGCCTTGTGCTAGGCACGTTAGGCAGCCAACAAATATTTGTGGAGGGTGAAGAGGCGTGGTCAGTCGGGATCTCCGAATTTGGGGTAAAATGCAAGTGAGGCCGTGGTGTGCTGTGCCCCCAGTCACCCCTTCTGAGGACCATGGGGCATCCTGGTCACTGCCTGAACCTGAGCAGCGGGAGAAGCAGATGCAGTTTCCTAACAGGGAGGTGGTCCCCTTCATCCCAGAGAGCTGGGAGCAGAGTGGGAGTGAGGACAAGAGGATGGATAGGTACATAGAGAGCTCCTTGGACAGGCCTATCCGGGGCAGCACGTGCGAAATGCAGAGCTCTGGTATGCAGCAGCTGCCTCCCCAGCACATGGTATGCAGTCAGCAGCTGTATAATTTATTTATTTTTATTTTTTTGAGACGGAGTCTCTGTTGCCTAGGTTGGAGTGCAGTGATGCGATCTCAGCTCACTGCAACTTCTGCCTCCGGGTTCAAGTGATTCTCCTGCTTCAGCTTCCCGAGTAGCTGGGATTACAGGGACGTGCCACCATTTTTGTATTTTTGTATTTTTCTTTTTGGATTTTTAGCAGAGGTGGGGTTTCACCATGTTGGCCAGGCCAGTCTCGAACTCCTGACCTCAAGTGATTCGCCCACCTCCCAAAGTGTAATCTGAAAGTGTTGGGATTACAGGCGTGAGCCACTGCACGTGGTCAGCAGCTGTGTATTTTAAAGCAGAGTGTGGTGTGTTCTGACAGATTGTGTGTTTGTCTGTGTACGTGTGTGTGGTGTGTGCATGCATGTGCGTACCCATGTGTGCATGTGGATGCATGGGATATTTGTATATATGTGTGTGTGTGTGCACGCACAATTGTATGGCATATGCATGTGTGCACTTGTGTACGAGCATGTGTGCATGTGGGTGTGTACGGGTGTGTGCCTGTGTATATAAGTGGTATATGCATGCGTGCACTTTTGTGTGAGTATGCATGCATGTGGTGTGTGCATGCTTCTGTGCTTGTAGGTGTGTATGGATGTGTGCCTGTGGATACGTGTGTGTATGCACAATCATGCATGTGTGCAACTGTGTCAGTGTGCATGCACGGGGGAACCAGGGAGAGGAAGATGGGGACAGGGTCGTGTGTGCACATGTGTGAGGTATGTGTATGTGTGTGCACTTGTGTGAATGCCTGTGTGTACATGTGTGAATGCATGTGTGTGCACTTGTGTGAGTGCATGTGTGTGCGTGTGTGCAATGCCCATGTGCACTTGTGTGTTCCAGGGTCAGGGCCTTGGCACTCAGCCCAGTCAACCCTGAAGCTCTTTTCTTTAGTCGGAAGTGATTTTAGAAAAAGTAAATAAAAACGGAACTGAACTCCCTCCTCCCTTTTTCATTCATTGTGAAAATGTTAATCTACTGTGTATGAGGCTTAACAGAACCTCATGCATTACCAGGCCTCCTGCTCCACTGGGCGCTGCTCCATGGAGCTAAAACAAAACGATTTATTTATGTGAATGACCACAGCGTTTAGGCCTCCAGTGATGTCTGTCTTTAAACTCGGTCTACAAGATGAATTGAGGTGTACAAGCGAAATGGAAATGCTTTTATGCCGGGGTGCAGGTGGGAGCATGCTGTCACCTTGTTAAGCTCAGCCTCCCTCAAATCACAACATGTACTCTCACCGTTATGGGGACAGCTCCATTCCAGCCGGATGATGCCTCCGTATAAAACACCAGTTTGTCAACAAAGGTGGCCTCTCTCCTTGAACCAGAAGAGAAAACAGAATAAGAATGAGAAGCTCCGGCGTCTTGTGCTGCTGTGGAGCTTGTGCTGTCTCCTAGCATCTTGGCCCCTAAGTAAGCTCATGCCCCCCACCCCCCACCCCGGGGACCTCCCTGAAGGAGCCTCCAGGAAACTCTGAGGCTGCGCTGCTGCCGGTGCTGGGCCTGGAGCAGGAGACCAAGGCAGGGAGAGCCCACAGCACCCCCGTGGTACCTCCCGGACCTGCCTGGCTCCAGGATCTTGAGCCTCCAGGGCAGGGGCACCACGTGTGCGCAGCAGAGCACACGCCCACCACATTCCCCTCTGTGGTCAGATATCAGCTCAGAGCCTGGTGAGGGGTGAGCCATGGAAGTTGCTTTCAAGTCCTCCTGCCCAGGGCCCGTGTCGTGCACCTTCTGTATCTTGGCTTGGGGGAAATGGGAGGAAAGCACAGACCCAGAGGGAGTTGATGGCAGTGCTCTCTATGGATGTCAGTGCTCCGCACAGAGAACCAAGGCAAGCCCAGGAGGACAGTGCAGGAGGACTGTGCAGGAGGATGGGCTGGCAGCCTGGGAAGAGCCAGGAAGGGTCCCAGGGCTCACTCGACAGAAACACGGCGGTGCTCTCAGAACCCCAGGGAGCTTGTTAGCATCGGTTTCTGTTGTGGCAGGCAGGCCTGGAATGGGCTCTGAGGCTCATGTTTCTACGAAGCTCCAGGGGATACAAAGTCTGGGTCCCTGAGCTGCATGTTGCATGGCCAGAGCCTGGGCCAAGGGGCCGTGGGCTTTCCTCCAGGCTAGAGCTGTGCAGTTGGCTCTGTCCTTTGGAATAGAACCTTCTGTCCTACACCACCTGCACCCAATCCCCTCCCTCCACACCCTTGGCATGACTGTCACCTTTGAGACCCTGCATCTCACCCAGCAGGACCCTTCTCACCCTGATATTCTGTCAGTATTACAGCCAGTGTGGCCTCCTGCTGACCCCCTAATGCAAGCTCCTTCGCAGCCATGAGCTCCTGTGCCCCACCCCAGGACGGCCTTCAGCTGTGCTGGCCTGGGTCTCCTGGTCCCCAGTTCAGTCACTCAGCAAAGCACAGTGGATGACTGAACCCTGGAACTGAGCTTCCCTGAGGTGGTGAAATCTCTGAGTCAGCTGGCTCGGCTACGATGCCCAGAGGTGTGGTCAAACACCAACCAGATGCTGCCGTGAAGGTATCTGCAGGCGTGATGCACATTTACAGCCAGTAGACTTGGATGAACCGTGATGTGGGTGGGCCTTGTCTGATCAGTTGAAGGGCTAGAGAGCAGAGACAAGAAAGACTTGTCCTCCAGACACAACAGTAACCTGCCCTGGTCTTCAGCTGCTGCTTGTCTGCAGGTGTCAGACATGCCAGCCTCCATGATTGCATGAGCTCAGTCTGTAAATCTCCCTCAGCCTCTTCTCTGCATGCGTGTGTGTGGGGGTCTGTGTCTGGGTATTTACATTTATATTGCACTGGTTGTCACGCACACCTGTCCTGGAGGCCTTGTGGATTCCACTTTGCTGGAGGTCTGGTGGCTGCACTCTCTTATGCCTGTAGATCTCCAGCAAGGATTCTTTCTAGGTAGGTGCAGCTGGTGAGGAAAGGGGATCTAGGGGGACACCCCTGCTCTCCCATCGGTGTCAGCTTGGGCTGCAGAGACTTCAATTATGGGGACAGTGTCAGCCACCTTATGTGGCTGCACACATCGGCCACAGCAGAGGCATCATATTTGTAACACATCTACAGGCAGAGATCCACGTGGCTGTTCTGAAGAGCAGAACATCCTGAATGGTGAAGCAAAGGCCTGAGAAAACTCTCCACAAAAGCAATGAGAACATTGACAAAATATGCCCAAGCCAGCTTTTTCAGAACATTGGAGGCTCACCAAAGGCTTGCAGCTGTTCAGGGAGTATTCAGGAAAAACAGCTGAATCTTGGTAAGAACAGTGAGTTTCATGGCATTTTAATATCCTGTCCCCATCTTCCTCCCCCTGGTTCCCTCATCTCATTGAAAGCCCATCTCCTTGCAGTCATGGAGCTGGGAAAACCAGCTGCCTGGCCGCGTGGGAGGGGAGAGACTGGGATTCAGAACCCAAAAGCCCCATCTCCAGAGAACTGTCACAGCGTGACATGTCCAGCAGCTCTGTGGGAGGGCCTTGCTGGCAGGGCCTGTCCTGACTCCATCTGCTCAGAGCTCGTTGTCCCCAGGGCCTGTGCTGACGATGGTGAGTGGTGATTGCTGAACACGGCAGCTGCCTGAGATGGGACTCCTAGTTGGACAGACAAGAAGCGAACAAGCGCTTTAGCAGGAAAAGCAGGGGAATGAGATGTCCACACGACACTTTGAAGCACTCTGGCGTTTTCCTGGGGATCTTAAGGGGCACTGAGGGCCGTGCCCATGTCCAGAAGAGGCCCGAGAAGGCTCTTCTCTCTCCTTGGCTGACTTGCAGCCCAGCGCATGCAGAAAGTGAGGGATGAGGCCACACTGGGAACTGCTGGGCATTGGCGGCGTGCCCATTCACAACCACACATCGATAGGGCCTAGTATCCAGAATATGTCAAGAGCCCTCATAGACCCTGTCATGTATGTGGAATCTACATCCAGGAAGCTGTTTTGCAAATATGATTCCTCTGCTGTGGCCGATGTGTGCAGCCACATGGGGTGGCTGACACTGTCCCCATAATTGAAAAGCTCTCTTCACCCGATCATTGGCAGCCCTGGGTGACTGCATGCCCGTGTGGGAAGCTGCCCTGTAAACCCTTCTGTGAGGAGGAGCTGTGCAGGCCTACACCACACGCACCAGGGTGGGCTCCCCAGTCCTCACAAGGCTGGGTCTGTGGGTGCCCCATGCATGCCCACTCTCCTTCAGGGCTTTCCCCGCATCGCAGTGGAGGGACGGCAATCCTGGTTATCATGGAGTGATTCATAATAAAAACCATAGACGAGGCAGTCTAGCAGTTACCCACATAGGCACGATCATCTACATACAGTCCTAACCCTGAATCATGGAGGTTTCACATTTGTTGGCAAAGTAAAATATCACAAACACACAAAGCCCCTGATGTCCTCCCCGTGGCAGGCAGACCTTAGCGTGTCCCTCACGACCCACCTCTTGGTGCTCATGCCCATGTGGTCCCTCTCCTTGAGTGCGGGTGGGACCTGTACTTTGCCTGCAGCACATGGTGAAGGTGAGGTGATGGCACTGCTTCACGTTACGTGAACAAGACTCTGCCTTGCTGCCTGCCTTGCTCTAGAGATGCCCCTTGCTACCCTTATGGGGCACGGGGCTACATCAAGAAAGTCCACAGGACAGGGGACTGTGGGTGGGCTCTGGGGGCTGCTGGAATCCTCCAGGGGGTGAAGGAAGCTGGAGAGTGGAGAGCCACCTCCAGCCAACAGTCAGCAATAAAGTATGGCGCTCAATCCTACAAATAATGTGAATTCTTCCAGTAATCCATGTGGACTGGGAAAGGGATTCCTCCCCAGCCAAGCCTCCAGATGAGGCCACAGCCCGGATGACATATGATTGCAGCCGTGTGAGATGCTGAGCTGAGGGCCCAGGTGAGCCACACTTGGACTCCTGACCCACAGAGGCTGTGAGGGAATAAACATAGAGGAGTTGTTCCAGCTGCAAGGTGGCTGCAGTTTGTTACACAACAATAGACAATAATATACCTGGCAATGTCATAGTTCTCCTCTTTTCTCTCCAGAGGAAGCCATTGTCTTTAAGGTAATAGCCAATAATTCCTCTTTTTTTTTTTTTTTTTTAAGACAGAGTCTTGTTCTGTTGCCCAGGCTGGAGTGCAGTGGTGCGATCTTGGCTCACTACAACATCCGCCTCCCAGGTTCAAGCAATTTTCCTGCCTCAGCCTCCCGAGTAGCTGGGATTACAGGCACCCACCACCACAGCCAGCTATTTTTTGTACTTTTAGTAGAGATGGGGTTTCACCATGTTGGCCAGGCTGGTCTTGAACTCCTGACCTCAAGTGATCCATCCGCCTCAACCTCCCAAAGTGCTGGGATTACAGGTGTGAGCCACCACACCCGGCCCCTCTTTACATTTTTCTTAGAAGAATCTCTAGAATTTTAAAAATTATTTTGCATTTTGTAAACGTTTTTGGGACTGTTTATATACGTTTAATACATTTCATAGTTTCTGTATGGTTTTCACTCAAGAGTCTGTTCTGTAGGTTTACCCACATGGACACGTGTATCTACGGCATTAGTTCTCACTCCTGTACTCCGGTTCATCTTCCACTACGAGTTAACTTGCTGATTCATTCTCTGCCGTGGATACTGGGTTATTTTAAAGTTTTTTTTTTTTTTTATCACAAGGAACTAATGAAGATTCTTGTATGAACCTCTGTATACACAAGGGAGGATTTCCACAGAGGACGTATCTAGAAATAAATTGCTGAGTTGTAGGGAAAACACATGTTCAACTCCAGAATTTAGTACCGAGGTTTGTTTGGAAAGGGCTTCACTGATTTACGGGTCGGAAACCAGTGCACGCAGTTGGCAGCCGGCACTTGGGGTCATCGGCCGCTTCCAGCTGTGAATCTTCTGGGCTGCCGGTCAGACTGTGATGGAGTTCACGCGTCTTTTCAGTGCTGCTCGAAACTCAGCTTTTCTCTTTGTGAATCGTCTCTTCACATTCTTTACCCATTTTTCTGCGAAGCTACTTGTCTTTTTCTGAGCAATGTGCAAGGATTTTTTGGTCCATTCTGGAGACTATTCCTTTTGTATTGACACAGATGGAAAATATCTTCTCTTATTCTGTAGCTTATCTTTTTACTTCATTTGTCTTTTGTCAAACAGGACATCTTGATTTTGTGCTATCGCACTGATTGGTTATCAATATTTCCTTCATGCCTTAAGTTTTGTGTGGCCCTGAGGTGGAGAAACCTCGCCTCACCCCGAGTCACACGTATTGTTCCCGCGTTTCTTGCTAAATGCTCCTCCGTGTTGGTTTCTTCCCTGAAATCTCCAACGCACCTGAATTTTGTGCTATGCTAGAGGTGGATCCTCCTGCTTATTTGGTCATCACTCTTCCAATTTCTGGAAATTTCTAAAATTTCTGCATAAAATTTTTAGTTAAAAAAACTGAAACAGTCCTTCGTTCCACTGGGCTGCATGTGCATCAGCTGTGTTAACTCTGTTTGTGAGGGGTGAGTGATTGACCATTAAGAGAAGGCCCTCAGCACTGCCCTGCACGGAGACATCAGTGAGGTGAGAGAAAGGCAGGGCCCTCATCGGGGAGAAAGGCAGTGCCACAGATAAGCAAATCCTACGGGGGCCGGGAACCTGCGGGGGCTGAAATCCCAGCCCCACCGCTTTCCAGATGCGCTGCTGGGCTGCTGGGGCAAGCTTCTCTGCACATGAGGCGTTCTTACCTTCGGGGTGTGTACGGCGAAGGCCGTTAGCTAAGAGGACTGTGAGGATGTGAGGTTTTCCCCCGGGGAGCCTGGTGCGGGGGGGCGGTGGGGGGCTGCCGTGTGGACTGTTTCTGTGGCTTGTGCCCTACGCCCCACATGCTTCCGCCCAGAGGGGCTTCCCGGGAACTCTGGGTCCAGGGGAGGTCACGCTCCAGGGGCGTCCTTGGGCTGTGGTGTTCCCCGCCCCGTCCTACAGGCACCTCTGAGAGCCAGGTAGTAAAGTCACTTATTGTCCCTGGAGCATTCATTTCTGGCCTATCCACGTTTAAATAAAACTTTTATATATCTCAATAATTATATCAATAGATCTTAATCTAGGTAATTAAAATTCAACAAGACATCCCCAAGGATGTAACAAACACCCATAAGCTGTTTTAACGACTGCAAGCTGTCCCCCTGAAGGTATGTGTCCTCGCCTGGGGGTGTGGCACGGTGGGGAGGACCTCGGGCGCAAAAAGTGTCTTCAGGCTCTTCCAGGACGTGCACCTGGTGGCATGTTTTCATTAAGTATTTTATGAGCCTGCGTTGGATCCTTTAATAAGATGACACGCAGTGCATGACAGAATGCAGGAGGGCCGGGCCGCTGTGCTTGCACGCTGTGGCATGGCTCGGTGAGTTGCTGGCCTTCTCTGAGCTGCTGAAACTCTGGGAGGATGATCCCCAGCTCCGACGGACATTTATCCATTCGGATGACGTCTCCTGCAAACCCGCTCTGCAGGCACGGGGGCAGTGGCCGCGAAGGTTATACAGAGAGGTGTGGAGGGTTGCGGCTTGATGTTCCGTGCGTTCACCTGGCTCTTTTGCTGTGGTGTTTGATGACACCGGGATGCATGGCAGTTTCCAGTTTTGGTGAACTGCGCTTCACACTGTGGCTGAAGGAGGCCAGGCTGGCCTTCACCATGGTCCATCAGTCAGCCCCCTTCTAAGGGTCTTCTGTAGGGCAGTGGGGAGGGTGGTTAAGGTTGGGGGGCAGTAATGACCAGGGCAGGGCGGGTGCTGTTTTGGGGTAGGGGCCAGCGAGGCGCCCTCTGGCTCAGACAGCCTTGATTCTCTGGTCCTCATGTTTCTCAGCTCTAAAACGGGGGCAATGACGGGACGTGCCTTATAGCTGCGTTGAGGTGATGTGGTGTTGGGAAGTGGCCGGGGAGGTCGAAGAAGAAGCCGAGTCTCCAGCTCTGCGCCCAGGCATCGGGGCTCGGGGACTTTGTCCCTCAGATGGCGTCTGGTCCTGTCCCTTACTCCATGGACTGGGTGTGGAAGTCCTTCAGGGTCGTCCTGTGCCAGTGCTGTGGCAGGAGCAGAGAGGCTATGGGGCAGTGGTCTGTGCTTCTTGGGGACCGAGGGATCAAAGGAAGCAGAGCTGCCCCAGGGCAGGTGTGCCTCCCTTCCTGTCTTCGGTCTGGCTCAGGTGTGGCTGAGATGGGATGGTGCCTCACACCTGCATGGGGAGCCCACCTGGACTAGAATCTGAACCCTGTGGGTCAGCAGGGTTTGGGCCTCCAGCCAGAGGTGAACCTGCTGCCTGTGGTTTCCTGGGCTTCCCACAGAGCCGGGGGCTCTAAGAGGAGTTGGGAGCAGTGAGAGCTCTCGGTAAGGCCTGGAGCCTGATGCCTAATGAGATGCGGTGGCCAGGGCCAAGGGGCACAAAATTATTCAGCAGAGTTGAGAATTGTTGCGGTACCCACCTCTCCCAGCTATTGGATTCAGAAATGGACTGGGGTGCGAGACACTGTGAGCCACGCGAGGGGCTGAGCGTCTGCAGCCGTCATCACAATGCCACTCTTAGGAGGGGACGGGAGGGCAGTAACCCCAGATGACTGTCCCTGAGTAAAATGGAAAGGGGCTTTTTAGGGAAGGGTGGGGCAGGAAAAAACAGGAAGGGCTGGATCAGGCATAGAATCCGGAGGTCAAGACCCATCCCTCCTCCCTCTCTCCCTCCCATTCCCCTCTTCACTCAAAACAGATCTACTCTTAGTCCAAAGTCGCAGCACAGGAAATGTGGGGACAGTTTCATCTCTTTGGGTCCTTGCTCCCTCATCTGTAAAATGAAGGAACTGGATGGTGGGGTCCAAATATCTTTCACTTCTATGGCTTTTTACTTAAAACTCTATATTATTTTACTTATTGAACAGAACTGAGAAGAATTGAGTTTACTTCAGTATCAGTACATTTATGTAAATCCTTTATTGAAACATCCAAGGGTCTTGAAGAATAAATAAAATGCCTATTAAAATGCCTATGTCTTGGCATATAATAGATGTTCGGTAAGTGGCAAGTTACTTTTATTGTTGTTATTAGATAAGACATGAGTGTTATTAATAATGTATAGTCCTTTATAATTAGCATTAATGCTAGCATTGAACAGGACCATCTATACTGGAACTATGACTTCCCTGAGGGGTGCCATGTGGCCCTGATGAGCCTGTAGCATACAGCACTGTATGGGACACATTCGTGCATAGGTCTCTGCCTTGGAGGCTGATGAGCTTTGTGGGCTACCTGAGTGAGATTTTATGCTTTTTATTCCATGGAATCAAAAGAATTAACATTAGGAAGGGTGGAACTATGGAGGAGGGGTTAGCTTAAGCCATTGGAATATCAATTTCAGGGCAAAGATGATTTAACTTGACTGAACAGAGCACTGCTGGGGAGAGTCAGTGGGTTGGCATCAGTTGGATGGGGAGGTATTTAGGGACTTCAGGATTTAGCATCCCTGCAGTTTTGTGACTGAGAAAGACAGGCTGTGGCGATCGGAGGAGGAGAGGCACCTCTGCCTTGTCACTTTGAGCTCGTGAGGAGGAGAGGCGGGATTCATTTATGTGCTTGGTGAGGGATAGGAAACCAGTGTACGTGTATGCCAGATGTTCAGGAGTCGCTTCCTGCAGGGGGAGACAGAACGAACGTCAGAGTGGGATCTTGCTATTGTCCTTCAGCTCAGGCTCAAGTTTGAATTTGAAGCTGGTATTTGTAGAGGCTTATGTTCATGGCATGTCAGAAAAAGTATTGCACAATTCCTCCCTCCATGGCTGCTGATGAGGAAATTCAGAAAGCATTGCCAGCAGGCCTTCTGTGTTACCTTCACGCCCTCTTGGGGGATCCCGCATGGTCCAACCTGTCTCCGATGCTGTCCACAATCTTGCTCTCATTATTAATAAAATGTCACTCCCTAAAGAACTCAATGCAATGATTTTTTTGCTTTATTTACATTAAAATCAACAGATGTTAGCAAGTTAATGTCATTTATTATATAAGATATGATGACAATACAATTAGTATTTCTAAAACTGTAATTGTAAAATTGACCTTATTAAAATTCCACTTCCTCCGTAATTAAAAAAAACTAATTACTTCTAGTAGTTGGACCAGAAATGACATTTTCAGTTCATTAATATTCAGCAAATTGTTGTTGAAGATGTTCTTGGCACCCTGCACTGTCAGGCTATATCATTTCTGTTTGTTTCTTATTTAAAAGTCATCTGGAAATAATAGTTTGCATTTTAACAAGATGTGTATCCATGAATTGATTTTATAAATAAAGTTTTTAATTGCTAATTAATGTGTGGGGCTATGTCTATGTAACAGTTTCCAGGCATGAATGTGGTGGGCCTGGCGAGCTGATCCTGGCTGCCGGCCTGGATGGAGCCCGCCTGCTGCTGGTACTCCTTTTGAAAGCGATGAGGCAGACAGGGACCTCAGGCCACGCTCTGCTGCTCCTGAAAGTCTCTGCCTAATCACTCAGCCTGGAAGGCGGAGGCAAATCAAAATAACAGAGTGTGAACTAGTTTTGTAATTAACTGGGCTCAGCTGAGAAGGTTTTTAAAGGACGGAAATCAAGCCATTTAGGGCTGCCCTGGTGCAGTGGTTCCGTGTTCCAGAGCGCAGACACTGTTTGGACTGGGGGCAGGGGAGGGGCATTCTCTCTAAGATAAGGCGGAGCTTGCTGGAAGGGCTGCCATGATCCCATTCTCCCATCGTCCCCTGCAAAGTGACTGTCTTGCCATGTCCAATATGGGCTTGTTTGCAGAGAAGCATTTTCCTCACCAGCTCCCCTGAGTGTCATGATGTCCTCCTGGCGTGTGGAGAGGAAGTGTGAGTCCTGAACTGGCAGCTGCTTCCGAACAGGGTGGGCAGGGAGCATGGGGCCCCCAAGAAGGGGGATGCTGCTTTTTCCAGCAGTGGGGGTGCTGGATGCCAAACGGGGTCCCTCGCCGCATGCACACTGCACACATTCTGGAGAACCCAGGAGCTGGTGGACATGAGGAGAAGATGGAGTTGGAAAAACACATGAAAAGGAAGGGGCAGGACGAGAACAGTTCTAGGTCTTCACATGAGGCAGGGACCCGGGAAAGCCGAGGCTCGTCAGGAGGGAGCCTGGGCCACGTTCGCCTTTGTTTCTGCAGTGTCCTATTTCTCTAGAATCGACATGGCTTCGAGTAGGGAAAAATGCATGCATGTTTAAAGGAAAGAACCTCAAAGATAAGGGGACACCCCACCTCCCTAGGTGGGGATGAGAGTTGTCCCGGGACACTTTCTGCCCACTGTGCAAATAAAGACTACAGCATTGCTGTAAGGAAAGAGTTTAATTGAGGCAAGGCCAGCCACACCATGTGGAAGACAGAGTTATTACTCAAATTGATCTCACTGAGGCTCCTGGATTAGGGGTTTTTCAAAGGTAGTTTGGGGGAAGGAGCTGGGCTAGCTGGGAAATGGGTGCTTGCTGCTGATTTGCTGGGATGGAGATGAAATAATAGGGAATGGGAGTTGGGGTAGCTGGGAAATGGGTGCTTGCTGCTGATTGGCTGGGGTAAAATCACAGGGGGTGGAAGCTGAGGTAGCTGGAAAATGGGTGCTTGCTGCTCATTGGCTGGGGTGGAGATGAAATCGTAGTGGGTGGGAACTGTCCTCTAGAGTTGAGTTGCCTGTGGGTGGGGCCACAGGAGTGGTTGGCAGTTCCAGGTGGAAACCATGTAGGTCAGACATGCAAAAAAAACCTGAAAAGATATCTCAAAAGACCCATCTTAGGTTCTACTCTAGTGGTGTTATCTGCGGGAGTAATTGGTGAAGTCGGATATTCTGTGACCTCTAGCATAATGGCTGGTAATCCTTTATGCCTGCGTCTTAGCAGGACTCAGGTGCCTCTCCTTCACCTAGCGGGAGGCTCTCTCATTAGCTTTACAAAGGCAAAAGCTACTGAACTTTGGGGAAAGCCTATTATCATTTAAACTATAACCTAAAGGTCTTCCAAAGTTAGTTAGGTCTAAGCCCAGGACTAATTAAGGCAGCTTGAGAGCTAAAGGCAAGAGTGGGGTGGGTGACATCGATCTCTTTCACTGTCATAATTTTCACACTGATAAAATTTCTGCAAAGGTGATTTCACCTGCTTCGTGCAGCTGGCACAGGACTCTGGGTCATGAATACAAGTGTCTAATACCCACAAGCCTGTCCTCCACAGATCCTTACTTGCAGCTCAGACCAGTGGCGCTCTTCGAGGAGTAGAGTCTAAGAAGTACGGGGGTCATCTGGACACCCTCACAGAGGTCTGAATATGCCACGGATGTCCTCTCTATCCCATAATAATGAAACATGTGCACTCAGAGCCGTCCTTCTAAGCCACCTTCTGAAACAGCGGGTGCCATTTATCTTCATGCACTCAGAGTCTTCTCTGCCGAAGACCTTTTTCTCTCTACAAGATCCGCATACCAACTCAACACTGCGGGCTAATAAAAATGCCCAATAAATTCAGAATACACCTTCAAACAAGAACACCATATGCAAATGGCAAAGTAATTCCATTGTTAAATGTTATTCCTGAAACACTTGTGTGAGCCAGAGTTATTTAAATTGTAGGTCCAGCATAATTGCTGTTGTGTTTTCTGGCAGCAACAAAGGCTGTAGTCAAACGGCTATAAAATATAATAGGCAGTGCTCCCGGCTTTTGTTTTCCAATGTAAACTACTTGCATTACTATTTACATATCAATGAAACCTCCTTTCGCTAAATCATGCAAATAGAATAGCAGGGTTCTGCACAGTCCAGGAATGGAACACTGGAGATCACTTCGCAAGCTATTTCTTTTTTATTTATCCCAGATCCCCAAACATTTGGGCTGGCCAGGCCTGTAATGCAATTACTCTGAGTCTCTGGCTCAAAAGTGCTGGTATTTATTGTGCCCATTTGATCTGGCATAGATTTAGAGATGAGAAGGCAAGAGACAACTTCAACCCTTTGCTGAATCGCTGGTGCGCTGAGCAAAAGATGGGATTCATTGCAAAGCCGCCAGGGAATGCTAAAGTGGCCTGGATTTTTTTTTACTTTAGGAATTGCATGAAGTCTTTACACTCTTTTTACAGTCAGTAAAATCACAATTTAGTTGCAGCACAAAATATACAGTTATAAAGGGGATGGCCACTGTATTGGTTTGTTTAATGCTGCTGTAAAAAATACCATAGGCTGGGGGCTTATATGCAACGGAAGTTTATTTCCCACAATTACGGAAGCTGGAGGTCCAAGGCAAGGCTGCAGCAGATATGGTGTCTGGTGAGGACCTGTTTCCTAGTTGACAGATCAGTGTCTCATGAGGACCCACTTCCTGGCTGACAGATCAGTGTCTGGTGAGGACCCATTTCCTGGTTCACTGATCAGTGTCTGGTGAGGACCCACTTCCTGGTTCACTGATCAGTGTCTGGTGAGGACCCACTTCCTGGTTCACTGATCAGTGTCTGGTGAGGACCCACTTCCTGGTTCACAGATCAGTGTCTCATGAGGACCCACTTCCTCTTCATAGATCAGTGTCTGGTGAGGACCCACTTCCTGGTTCACTGATCAGTGTCTGGTGAGGACCCACTTCCTGGTTCACAGATCAGTGTCTCATGAGGACCCACTTCCTCTTCATAGATCAGTGTCTGGTGAGGACCCACTTCCTGGTTCACTGATCAGTGTCTGGTGAGGACCCACTTCCTGGTTCACAGATCAGTGTCTGGTGAGGATCTGCTTCCTGCTTCATAGATCAGTATCTGGTGAAGATCTGCTTCCCGGTTCATAGATCAGTGTCTGGTGAGGACCCGCTTCCTGGTTCATAGATGGTGCCTTCTCTCTGTGTCCTCATATAGTGGAAGGGGCAAGGGAGCCCTCCAGGGTCCCTTTTCTAGGGCACTAATACCGTTCATGGGGGCCCCACCCTCATGATCTCATCACTTCCCAAAGGCCCCACCTCCTAACACTACCGCCTGGGGGGTGAGGATTTCAACAAATGAATTTTGGGGGAACACTAATGAATTTTGGGTCTCCATTTTTTTCATCCATTTTCTCTATGTTCTTAAACATGGGTAATGACAATTATTTTAAAATCTTGTCTGTTAACTCCAGTATAAGGATCTCATGTGGGTCTACTTCTATCATATATGTTTTTTCTCCTGATCACCCATCATAGTTTCTTGCCTCTTTTCTTGTCTAGTAACTTTTTATTGTATGATTTTTGTAATCTTCCAATATCAGCAGAATACTCATTATTTTCTAGTACACGTGGAAAATTCCCTAACATAGACTGTGCCCTGAGTCAGAAAACAAACCTTAATAAGTTGGAAAGAAGTTAAACAAAGTATGTTCTTGGATATCATTAGCATTTGATTTGGGAAATCTGCATTAAAACATCTTGAGGCAGCAGTACATAGTTATTAGAATGGCTAAAATAAAGAATACTGACAGTACTAAGTGCTGACAAGGATGTAGAGAAAATAGAACTTTCAGACATTGCTGGTAGGATGTGAGATGGTGAGGACCACTCTAGAAAATAGTTTCACAGCCCCTTCTAAAGCTGAACATTCACTTGCCACATGACCTATTGATTCCAGTCCTAGGTATTTACCCAAGTGGACTGAGAATTTTTTGTCCACATATAGATCTCTAGATAAATGTTTTTATATCGATTCATCATTGTTCAAAACCTAAAACAGTTCACCAAACAGGATATATGGGAGCAAACTAACTAAATACCCTTGAACAGGTGCATGGTTAAACAAACTTCGGCTGTGGAATGGAATACTACTTAGCATTGAAAAGGAATGAATGACTGATGTACATACCACCTGGGCGAATCTCAGAGACATTCTGCCGAGTGAAAGAAGCCAGTATTAAATAGTTACGTATTATGTGTGATTCCATTTGTGTGATGTTCCAAATAAGACAAACCTACAGCAATGGAGAGCTGATCACTAGTTGTCAGGGTTAAGGTTTAAAGAGCTATGACTGTGAAGAGACACAACATGAGAATTTTGGGGGTGATGGACTTGTCCTGTGTTCTGATTGTGGTGGTGGTCAAATGAATCCATACATACTAAAACTCATTGAAGTATACCCCAAAACAGCCCATTTTACTATATGATAATAAAAAGTTAAAATTAATAAAATATCTATGAGCCACATCCCTGCGCTTGTATTGTTTTCAGTCTGGTAGGTAAGACATACTAAGAATGATCTGAATAATAATTGCACCATTAACTGAATGTCTGCTCCTAAGATCTGTGAGTGATATACACGTGTTTAATTTCTAGTAAAGCTCCTTGAGTTAAGTATGATTATTTTAATTTTACCCACATGGAATTTGAAACTAAGTGAAGGCAAATAATTTTTCCGAGACAAGGCTTCAACTAGATCATTCCTGTTAGTTTTTGTACACGAGTGTCTTCAACTTAATGGAAACAAACCAAAGAGAAATGGAAACCAAACAATAAACAGAAATCTTCTTATTTCCCTTCAGCTAATTGTTTCTCTCTCTCTCTCACACACACACCCACTAGTGCAAATCATAGTCCCAAAGTCACAATCCCAAAAGGTTAAAATCCCAAATGGCTGCAATCCTGAAAGCCACATTCTGGGGAAGGGATTGGTGTGTTTTCGGTTGTATGTAGGGTCGTTGCATTGTGTTAATCAGGGAGAACTACTACCTTGCTACTGTCATTATCTGAAAATCAATATGGTTTAAAGAGACACATATGAGTGCTGAGTGGACAAGGAGTGGACTTACAGCCTTAATTTTAGATGTCAACCTCTCTGGACTAAGGAATACCTAGAAATGTGGTGGGTGTGTCTGTGAGGGTTTTTCCAGGGGAGATGGGTGTGTGCATCTGGGTGGACTGCGCACGGAAGATTTGCCCTCCACGTCGGTGAGCACCATCCCATTGGCCAGGGCCTGCAGAGAACACGTGTGGAAGGTGATGTGGAAGGTGAACTGGTCTCTCTCCGAGAGCTGGGACAGATTTTTCTTCTCCTGCCCTGGACATCAGAACTCCAGGCGTGCTGGCTTGGACTCCAGGACTTATAGCTTAGGCCCCAGGTCCTGAGGCTTTTGGCCTCAAACTGAGAGTTACCAGCAGCTCCCCTGGTTCTGAGGCCTTTTGACTTGGGCTGGGCCACACTGCCGGCTTCTCAGGGTATCCAGCTTGCAGACGGCCTGTTGTGGGACTTACCAACCACCATAATTGTGTGAGCCAATTCCCCTAATAAATTCTCTCTCATATATAGGTATTCGTATCTTATTGGTCTGTCTTTCTAGAGCACCCTGAATCATACAGATTTGATATCGGAGAAGCTGAATATTCGTTTTTCTTACTGTATTCCTTACAACCTAGTAGAAGGGACCTGCAAAATTGTTCCCTCGCAAAAAGGCTGCGGTCACTTAAGTGGACGATGCTACTCAACAGTGGAAGATAAACGTTTAGAAGCTAATTATTATCGGTGCCTCAAAAGCAGAAAATTGCCTAATTGCAACGACTGAGGAATAACTGGGCTTTTGAATGAACAGCAAACACTTACACAATTTGCAGACCACAGCCACTGCGCAGACACACATGCGGCAAGTGTCTTGAAGATCACAGGAGCCAAAAGGCTGGCAACAAATGTGAGGCATCTCTTCTGCCAAACCGTTCAGTGGTGTAGGACTCCTGCCTCTTCACACATGGCACCACTGTTTATTTCATCTCCATGTCATTTCCAATACTGGAGGTATAACTTGTGCAGAGACCTCCAGAGAGTTCTATTTTTTTTTAAAGCCCAGTGTGGTGATGCATGCCTGTAATCCCAGCTACTAGGGAGGTCGAGGCAGGAGAATCGCTTGAACCCCGGAGGCAGAGACTGCAATGAGCTGAGATTGCGCCACTGCACTCCAGCCTGGGAGACAGTGTGAGACTCCATTTCAAAAAAGAAAAAAAAATAAAAAGAAATGTGACCCTATTCCGTGGAATTAATTGTTCTTTGTCATCCCCGGTCCCCCTCTTCTGTTCAATGGGCCCAGTGGGTCCTACTGTTCTGTGCAGCTGTGACGTCTCCACCATCTTCCATCCCCCCATATCTTCTTCAGCTTCTACCTATCCAACCAATGTCAGATTTTTCATTATGAGCGGACAGGGTTCACACCACGATTATACCTTCTTACCGCATGCTGTGTGCATTTCACTGTTATTTATGATGGGTTACCATATGGGCGCTCCCCAGGCTAGAAGCTCATGAGGGCTGGCCCGTTTCTATCGTGCACACGGGTGGGAACAGGGCTGGCATGGAGCACATGCTCAGTAAGCTTCTGTGGAATAATTAGATGAGTATAGAGAAGAACAAAACCCATCAAACCTGCGTGGGATGGAGCCTGCGTTTCAAGCCAGTTCTCATCGGCCAGAAAGTCAGGTCATTTCCATTTTGAATCCAACAAAAGCGAACATCATGAGACTCCATGTGTAAGGAATGGAGAGTTAAACGGCACAACACACCTCCCTGTGCCGCCCATCTGGCCCTACGTGGCCGGTTGCCAAAAGGGTCACCGTGGATCCGTCTGCGGTGCTGGCTGTGACCAGCAAAGCCCCCTCCACCCGCACCCATTTGTTGACTCACTCACCCCCTCTGGGCTCTTCTTGTTGGTGATTTTGAGAAATAACATGAAATGCCGTAAAGACAGAAGCCACAGGAACGAGGAGAGAAATACTGTGGGTCATCGGCATGGCAGTGAGTCTGATATGCCCTGGTTCAATGTCTTGTCCATCGTCATCATCATGACCATCATCACCACCACCTGATGAGGCAGGGCTGCTGCCCCCATCCCCCTATCCAGCAGGGCTAGCCACAGCTTAGGCCTGTGACAGCAAAGGGGTCACCATGCCCACTTCTTATTATTTGAAGTTTCACTATTTGGCAGGTACTTGGCATGCTTTTTACATGCGTTTCTTCATTTAATCTCCATGGATGGGGTCATTATTATTCCCATTTTACAGGGAAGAAACTGACAGGTGCAGGGGTTCATTATAATGCTCAAGATCACGTGGTTAAAGGAGGCATCTGAGATTAGAACCTGTGTTGGGTGGACTCGAGATTATGTGATCAATATCACTACCCCAGATCAACCCATTTTCTCCTAGAAATCACCTAGATTTGAGGTTGGGATGGCTCAGAGTTGTTGTTGTTGTTGTTGTTGTTCTTCTTCTTCTTCTCCTTCTTCTTCTTCCTCTTCTTCTTCCCTTTCTCCTTCCCCTCCCTTCCTCCTCCTCCTCCTCCTCCCCCTTCTTCTTCTTCTCCTTCTTCTCCTCCTCCTTCTCCTCCCCTTCTCCTTCCTCTTCTTCTCCTTCTTCCTTTTTATGAGACAGAGTTTTGCTCTTGTTGTCCAGGCTGGAGTGCAATGGTGCAATCTCAGCTCACTGCAAACCCCGCCTTCTGGGTTCAAGTGATTCTCCTGCCTTAGCCTCATGAGTAGCTGGGATTACAGGTGCCTCCCACCACACCTGGCTATTTTTAATTTTTTATTTTATTTTTATTTTTAGTAGATACAGGGTTTCACCATGTTGGCCAGGCTGGTCTTGAACTCCTGACCTCAAGTGATCCACCTGCCTCGGCCTCCCAAAGTGCTGGGATTACAGGTGTGAGCCACCATTCCTGGCCCAGAGTACTTTTTAAAGAGTTTAGGCCACACTCTCAAAGTCCTGCCTCCCCTCCCTTCCTTCCTTCAAAATGTTTTTTGTACTAGCTCCATGATCTTTTTGGTTGACTCCAGCACATTTTCTAGGGCTGAGCCTAGATGTGCCCTCCCTAGAGAACCTTCTGATCACCCTTGACTATGTTAGGTCGCTTATTTCAAGTTCTTGTTGCAAGCTACAGCTTCCCCTGGCGGCATTCATCACAGAGAGAAAGCGCTGTTATTATTAGATCATTGTTTTCCAGACTAGTGGGAGCTCCAGAGAACAGAGCTTCTTGTGATGGGCCCCTTTACCCAGCTCAGCAGGTTTACCATGGAAAAGGGTGGATACCAGGGCCCGAGCTAGAAACACAGAAACATGAATGGTATGGCCCTCCCTCCAGCCCCCAGTGGAAGAAGCAGCATGGTGGCCCCCCTTTGGGTTAGAGGTGCTGAGTACTGCTGCCATGAAGCACAGAGGAGTGAGGGGCAGGTGCTCAGTGCCGAGGGATCAGGGACGGTTTCACAGGGAGCTGGGGTCAGTCCCCCACTGAAGGTGAGGAGATCTCACCGTGGGGAAATGGAAGAAGGACTTCTAGAGCTTCTCTGCGGATAGTCTGTATCTGGAGAGCTCAGAATGTCTGACTCCGGACATTGTCCCCAGAGGTGCCTCATGCGGAGGGGGATCCATGCATTTTTAATACATGAATCGATTGGATTTGGTATTTCTGGCTGATCACGTTTCCAGGTCTGCTCATGCAGTGGTGTCTAAAGCACAGGCTGTGAAGTCAGAATACCTGGGATTGAGTTTTGATTCCTTGCTCATACTGTGTAACTTCAACCAGATGACGTAACCTCATGTGCTTCACTTTTCCCATGGATGTGTTAGGAAGAGTAAATAGTATAATTGTCATATTAAATGTGATAATGAGTATTAAGTAGAGTTCCCAGTACATGGATTTAACTATCACCATCACCATTGTTATCATCATCATCATCACGATCATCATCACCACCATCACCATGACCATCATCACCATCACCACCATCATCACCACCATCATCACCACTGTTGTCACCATCACCCTCATCATCATCACCACCACCATCATCATTTTTGTCATAACTGTTATTATCATCATGATCATCACATTATCATAACAACTGTGATCATCTCCATCACCACCATCACCACTATCATCATCATCATCACCACTGTCATCATTTTATCATCATCATTATCATCAGCATCATCCCATTATCATAACCACCACCCTAAATCATTACCGTCACCATCACCACCATCACCATCATTACCATTATCGTTATAATCATGACCATCATCATCATCACCATTGTCATCACCATCACCCCCATCATTATTATCACTGTAATCATCACCACAATCATCATTATCATCACCATTACCATCATTTCTACCATCACCACCATGATCACCACCACCATTATTGTTATAGTTATCATTATCATCATCATTATCATCATATCATCTTTATTATTAACACCTATGTCATCACCACTGCCATAAATGCCACCATTATTGTTACCATTCTCATCACTATCATTACCATCATCATGTTAGAATCATTTTCCTTTCTTGGTATCAAAGTTTTGAGCCATGATATACTTATGGGAAATCTGATATTGACTTGTGTCCACAGGATTCTACAGGTAGCAAACACACATTTACTGTTTTCTAAATTGAATTGCGTTTTGCCAAATGTGGACCATTTGGAAACTAGAAATTACAGAGCTGTTGAATCAGCAAGAACAATGAATTTAACATTTGGACCTTGGCCATTGGCGATTGAACTTTTAGTCAGGTGTTGGACTATAAGGTTTCTGAAAAACTAGTAGGGTCTTAACACATGAGATATTGATGGCCTGGAATCAACCAGGGTGAACGAGGATAGTGTTGGGGCTGACCTGAAGTGGGAAAGGGTGGGATGAGGAATGGGCCACTCAGGGTTCAGTTAAGCTCAGCTTAATGGAATAGTATTCAGGGAAGAGTGAGTAGGCCCATGCTGTGGAAGGCTGGGCATCCGTAAGGGCTGGTGGGTAGCAGAGCGCCTGAGAGCTATGGATTCAGACAAGCCCAGGTAGGGGTCCAAGCTCTGCTGTGTTACCTTAGAATGTTCATCATACTTCTCCAAGACTCGGTTTCCCCATCTGGAAAGTCACCATGCTGGGAGACACTGGTTTCTAGGTCTGTTGTGAACACAAGAGGAGATGAGGCAGCTGGAGCAGGCATCTGTGACACAGTAAGGGTAAGATCAGTGGGGATGATCTTGGTTTGTTGCAGTAATCAGAAACCTCAGATCTCTGTGGGTTGACATGTCAAAAGCTTATTTCTGACTCATGCAAATCCAGGCCAGTCCCTCTGTCTCTCAGGTAATCATCCCCCATGACTTGACTCAGAATTCCTCAGGCTGCTCTGACCCTAAGCACCCTCCATTTCAATCTAGGATTGCGGTGGCCAGGCAGCAAAGCACTGGGGGAATCACACCAGCGAGTGAGGGCTCTGGCCCCAAATGGCTTGTCCTGCAACTGCTCAGGACCATCACAGAGCTAGTCACATGGTCCCACCAGCTGCAAGGCAGTGGCAGGCACGAGGGCCCCTTGAGCCCAAAGGGATGAGAGAATTGGGCATAGGGCGGCATGGAGAGCTCTAGCCCATGCCTCAGCTCAAGTTAGGCAGGGTTGCTTCAGGTTTTGTTGTGACTGTTGTAAAACCCATAAAAATGCTTGAAACTATAATAACGTGGGTTTTGTTAAGCCATGTCTGAATGTTCCTGCATCAAGTTGGTCTCATGAAAGTTGCTTGCTCCAGATGGCTGTGCCAGAGTGTCTCGCTTCGGAGGCATAAAGAAAGGAGTGAGTGTGGGAGGTGGGCTGTAGAGTTGGAGGGTCACAGAGAGAGAGGTCAAGTTTGGAGGAGTGGCCAGAGGGCTCTGAGGCCAAAGAGACCTCTGCTAGAGAACCAGAGAGTGGGGCCTTTATCAGTTGAGAGACTCCGAGTAAGTTACTCCAGGCCTCTGAGTGTTGTCTGCATTTAACATTTTGCTGGGGTTGCAACCTGATTTCAAGACTTTAAAAATCTTGATGAGAAGTGAAAGCTGTTATTTATAATGTGCAAATGGCTTTCAACCTCAAGAGACAGACCCAGCCAAACCACATTGAGGCTGATTATAACTTGGTTTCAAGAAAATTAGCAGGACTGGCCTTACATGATAATTTAACCAAGGAGTTACTTGACATGTTCTACTTGACAACATAAAAAAAATTAAATTGTTTAAATTGGTGTAGCTCAGCCAGAGCTGAGCACTTCTTGAATTTTTTTTTCTTGGAAGTTGTATAGGCGAAAAATACATCTTGGCCAAATCGAAACTTAGGTGAACTGGGGTGTGTGGTACAGTTGGTCCTCCAGGAGTTAGGCACAATTTTATCCTAGTAAGCACTTGTAAGATCTGTGCACATAAGGCCATGAGGCCGTCTTCTTGAATTTTGAAATTGGCCCAGGTGAGTTCACACATGGAGGTGGAAAGAGTGATGGGGGGTGCAGGTCTCCAAGATGTCACTGTGAGAGGGGAGGGAATGAGAGCCCAGAGATGTGGCCTTAGGTGGCAGATTTCAGCATTGAGGACAGAACCCAGTGGTGCCATGGGAGGCAGTGACCTTCAAGAGTGTGAGATTTTCCTGGAGCTAAAGGAGAAAGAATTTGGAAGGCGTGGTGTAAATTAAAAGGATATGCTCCACTATGGGCGTCTTCCTGTGCCTCAATTCCCCCTCTTACCTCCACAGTCACTCCTTTGCCTACCCCTGGGGGCCGCATCAAGTATTCAACAAAAATTGGTCTCTGTTAGACATCAAGAGTCTATCATCATCCTAGCCTCCCAGATGGGAAGCTGGCAGAGTTTCCGAGAAGGCAGCTCTATTTGAGGCATCCCAACGATTGTGAGAGTGAGGCCAGAAGATGTCACACAGCATGGGATGTACCTGGTGTGAGGAGGGAGCTGTGTCTTCACTCTGTAACCCCCGAACCCTGCTCTTGGATATCTGTGCTGATGTGGACACGCTGTTCCACGCTCACCTGCCCCTCTCCTCTGATTGTCAGAACTCCACTGACTCGAGAGAAACAGTTGGCATAAGGGCACAAGGAAATCTATTGTAAATTAATAGCGACAAATTCAAGCAGATGGAGAAAGTGAGAAGCTAATCAAAGTGCAGATCAAAGAAGTGGAAAATGAAGATTAAGGATCTGAAGCTCTTGCAGGCGTCTCGGCGGTTTCTGCTGTTTGCGGCTTTTCAGTTGCCCTTTGCACCATTTCCGTGATGTCTTTTCAGTGAGTCACCATCCCTTCCAATACCACCACTCTTCGAATCTCCTCCCAGCTGGGGGAGGTGAAGCTGATTAATTCCCAACTTCCAACCATCACATCAGGGAAGATGAGTCCCAAGTAAAATTGGGCATTTTTGGAATTCAGCAGTGACATCAAAGAACAGAGGGTGTCTGAATATGACTGAGGGGAAGGCAGATGTTTGAGTGTGTTTTCAAAATTGGTGTTTGGCATTTGGGTAAAAGGAATCTTTCCATCTGTAACTTAAAGTCCTGACAACAGAGACAAGTCATCCTGACTCTCCGTCCTTCCAGCAGGTTCACATTGGTGACTCTATCTGGGTTTTCACAAGGTGTCATCCAGATTTACATTTTCCAATTTCAGTGTACATGAAAAAATAATCAATGTGATATTCTCTGCCGTATGATATCCCTGGTAGGCCGCATAAGAATCTAAATTCAATCCTGCCTTTCCCCATATGCTCCTCCACAGGCAGACACAGGCATGCTCATTTTTTGCATTGGAACGTGAGTCTATGAGCATAGGATCCTGCTTTCAGAGCAAGAGCAAATGGTTCTTGAGCAGTGGGTCTCAAACAGGGGCTACTCTGACCCCAGGGGATATACGGAAATGTCTGGAAATATTACAGGCTGTCACAACTAGGGGTGGCAGTTGCTACTGGCATCTAGTGGGTGGAGGCCAGGGATGTTAGTAAATGTCCTACAGCGCACAGGGCAACTTCCCACAACAAAGAATTATCCAGACCTCAGATGTCAATAGTGCCAAGATAGAGAAATCTTGTCCTATGATAATTGTCCACAGACAGTAAAAGATAATTCATTATCTGATGATAGTGATGATAGATGATGGTGATGATCATGACAGTGATGATAGTCATGGTGATGGTGATGATGATGATGGTGATAGTGATAATTATAGTGATAGTGATGATGATAACAATGGTGATGGTGGTGATGATGATGGGGATAATGATAATGGTGATCGTGATGGTAGTGATGATAACAGTGATGATGATAATGAAGGTGATGATGATAATGGTGATGATAGTGATAATGATGGTGATGATGGTGATGGTGATAATGGTGATGATGATGGTGATATGATTATGGTGATGGTCATGGTGATGGTGGTTCATTGTGGTTATGGTGATAGTGATGGTGATAATCATGGTGATGGTGATAGTGATGGTGATGATAGTGATGGTGGTGATGATGATAGTGATGATGGTGAGAGTGATGATACTAGTGATGATAGTGATGATGATGATGGTGATAACACTGGCGATGGTGGTGATGATGGTGATGGGGATAATAATGGTGATGGTAGTGATAATGAGAGTGATGATGGTGATGATGATGGTGGTAATGGTGAAGATGATGGTGGTGATGGTCATGATGGTGGTGATGATCATGGTTTTGGTGATAGTGATGGTGATAATAGTGATGATGGGTGATGATGGTGATGATGATAGTGATCATGGTGATAGTGATAGTGATAGTGATGGTAGTGATGATAGTGATGATGATGGTGATAACAATGGTGATGGTGTTGATGATAATGAGGGAATAATGATAATGGTGATGGTAGTGATAATGAGAGTGATGATGGTGATGATGATGGTGATGGTGATTAAGGTGATGGTGATGATGATGGTGGTGATTATTATGGTGATGGTGATTTAGTCTGATTTAGATCAGACTAAATTATACTACTGGCTTTCCTGGGTCTCCAACTTGCAGACCACATACTGTGAGACTTCTCAGCCTCCATGAGAAGGAGCCAATTCCTGATAATTATCTATTTATCTATTATCTATCTATCTATCATCTATCATCTATTTAATCTATCAATCTAATTATCTATCTATCTATCTATCATCTATCCTATCTGTCTAATCTATCCTATCTAATCTATCCATCTATCTAATCTATCCTATCTATTATCTATCCAATCTATCTATCAAATCTATCATCTATCTAATCTATCTACTATCTATCTAATATATGTATCATCTATCTAATCTATTATCTATCTAATCTATTGTCTTTATCAAATCTACCATCTATGTATGTATGTATTATCTATCTTTATCTACCTATCAAATCTATCACCTATGTGTCTAATCTATCTACTATCTATCTGTTATCTATCTATCTAATCTATCATCTGTCTAGTCTATGCCATCTTATCTATGTATCTATCTATCATCTATCATCTGTCTTATCTACCTATCTAAGCTATCATGTATCTCTTCTATCATGTATCTATCTAATCTATCATCTATATGTCTAATTTATGCTATCTAATCTATCTATCATCTATCTATCTTATCTATTATCTCTGTCTCTCTGTCTCTCTCTCTCTCTCTCCCTATCTAATCCATCTATCCCCTACTGGTTCTGTTTCTCTGGAGAACCCTGGCTAATTACAGTGTCACTCTGGGTATGTGTGGAATTGTCTGCTCATCATTTCAGTCTCAGCTCTGTTGCCTTTTACTGTTTCCTTCTGCAAATGCACTTCATAGTCTCTTCAACATGGCTAAGAGCAGACATATCTGCCATGTCTGGTAGTGAAAACTTTATGGTCCTTTCGTTCAGTGCTAAGCCTAACTTTTGGTTATATACATTTACATAAACTCATGAATGACAGTTGGGTGACAGTAATGCTGTCTCCCATGAGACCACATCAAGAGAGTGCTATGGGCAGGTTGGGGCTGCTGGGGGAGGAGACACCTCCTGGAAACCATAGCAGGGGTCCCAGTGCCTTGACTCAGTTTGACTAGGAAAGAGACTTAAGCAATTTTCTCAGTATCTCCAATTCTTTCATTTCCTGGAATTCATCTAAATATGAGACATGTTCCTTTCTTACTCTAGGAGTCCATAAGACATACTTAAAAACAGTCAGTACCAGTGTTTCTGTACAGAGAATCCATCTCTATCTGTATCGCTCTATCTATCTATCTATCTATCTATCTATCTATCTATCTATCTATCTATTTTTTAGAGACAGAGTTTCACTCTGTTGCCCAGGCTGGAGTGCAGTGGTGCAATCTCAGCTCACAGCAACCTCTACCTCCCGGGTTCAAGCAATTCTTGTGCTTCAACCTACCTAGTAGCTGGGATTACAGGTGTGCGTCACCACACCCGGCTAATTTTTGTATTTTTTTCTAGAGATGAGGTTTCACTATGTTAGCCAGGCTGGTCTTGAGCTCCTGGCCTCAAGTAATCCACCTGCCTTGGTCTCCCAGAGTGCTGGGATTACAGGTGTGCGCCACCACCCCCAGCCAGAGAATCCTTAGATATTTATAGGAGAAGATGCAGGCTGTTTTGGGAGAATTAATCGTGTGTAATCCAAGGCTTTGGACGGCAATTGGTGAGAGAGTTTTCAACACAGTTATTTTTAAGAACCAAGGCAAACAAAAGGGTATTCCTAGATGTGAGGCACTAACAAATCTGGCTATGGATACTCATTCTTGCTCGTTTGTTTACACCTCCGTTCCCTCCGTTCCAGTCTGATTGGCCACCAAGGACTTCCCTGGCTGCCCTGTTTAAAATATGACCCTCCTCGTCCCTGCCGGGAGCCATTCTCTCGCTTCGTGTTCTTCCCAGCACAAGTCAAGTGGTGCTCCCCACTAGCATGTAAGTTCCATGAGGAGCAGAAACTATTTTACTCACAACCCTCTCCCCAGTGGCTGGAAGGGTACTGGCACAGAGTGGGGACTCTAGGAATATTATATTCTGGCAATGAATAAAAAGAGTATGTGATGAGCGAGCTGTCGTATTTCATATCACAGGTGCGCTCAAAGTTCAGAGAAAGGAGAGAGTCATGTTTTCTGGGAAGCCAGCTGACAGGCATCTCCTAAAGCAAATGTGTGCTGAATTGGAAGGTTGGGCCAGCTTCAGGTGAGGAGGAGTGGGGAAAAAGATCAAGGGGTTCTGAGAGGCAGCAAGGACTTCGGCCACAGTGTGAATGAAGGTCAGAAGAACCTTAAAAGGCACCGGCCAGTTCCTGCCAAACGACTTGTGATGGAAAATCCACTGGAATGTTTGCGCCTCTTCAGTGTTAATAAATGTAGGTTGTGCACTTCCATAGGACAAATATGCGCCCTGTTGGGTTCGAGGAGAGGCACTCAGCGTTGCACAGGTAATCGTAAGCCTGTTAATTATGTTATTCAGTCTTCTAAATGCTTACATATCATCTTCTCACTCATTCTTTTTTTTTTTTTTTTTTTTTGAGACAGAGTCTAGCTCTGTTGCCCAGGCTGGAGTGCAATGAATGGCATGATCTGGGCTCACTGCAAGCTCCAACTCCCGGGTTCAAGCAATTCTCCTGCCTCAGCCTCCCAAGTAGCTGGGATTACAGGCATGTGCCACCACGCCCTACTAATTTTTGTGTTTTTAGTAGAGAAGGGGTTTCATCATGTGGGCCAGGCTGGTCTCAAACTCCTGACCTCAGGTGATCAGCCCGCCTTGGCCTCCCAAAGTGCTGGGATTACAGGCGTGTAATCCCAGGCCCGGCCTCTTCTTACTCATTCTATTAGAGTCATGCAGCACATAACAACCTTTTGATGCAAGAGGGACTACATACGTGACGGTGGTCCCATAAGATTATAATACCGTATTTTGACTGTACTTTTTCTATGTTTAGAAATGTTTAGATATACAGACACTTACCATTGTGTTACAGTTGCTTACAGTATCCCTTATAGTACCTGTACATGCTGTACAGGTGTGTAGGTTAGGAACAATAGGATCTGCCACACAGCCTGGGCCTACAGGAGACTATGCCATCTAGGTTTGAGTCAGTATACTCTACGATGAGCAAACAATGACAGAATCACCTAATGACACATTTCTCCCTCCCTCTTCCTATTGTTACGCAATATATGATTGTATTTCCTGACAGAACTGTGCTACAAAGACCCTCCCATGGTGATTGTGAATCTTCCAAATTTTCCCTGTAATCCTTTCAGTTCTTAAAAATATTTTTGAAATTATGTTATTATTTGTATTTAATGTTCACATTCCTGTGTCTCCTTGATCAATTTTCCATTGGCCCTTTTTAAAAATTGGAATTATTCTTTTTGTTGCCTTATGTTATTTTCGCAAGCATATGCCTTGAGTATAATTCTCTCTCTTTCTCTGTGTCTCCTTTTAAAATGGCATGTTTCTTTACTTTTCTTTCTTTTTTTTTTGAGGCGGAATTTTGCTCTCGTTGCCCAGGCTGGAGTGCAGTGGCACGAATCTCGGCTCACTGCAAACTCTGCCTCCCGGGTTCAAGCAATTCTCCTGCCTCAGCCTCCCAAGTAGCTGGGATTATAGACGTGCACCACCACGCCCAGCTGATTTTGTGTTTTTGGTAGAGATGGGGTTTCACCATGTTGGTCAGGCTGGTCTCAAACTCCTGGCCTCAAATGATCTGCCCACCTCGGCCTCCCCAAAGTGCTGGGGTTACAGGCATGAGCCATTGGGCTCAGCATTTAATGGCATGTTTTTTATAAACACCACGTAGCTTGAATTATTTTTAACCTAATTTGTTTGAGAGTCTCTGTATTTTAAAAAGTATATTTAACACACTTATATTTGTTGGATTTTTCATACAGTTGGACTAATTTCTGTCCACTTATTTTGTGCTTTGTACATATCAATCCCTGTCTTTGTTTTTTCTCCCCCGCCACTTTTCTTGACATTATTGTGATTGATTCAATTTTCTTCAGAGGCCGTATTTAATAGTGGTTAAGGGCACGGACTCTGGCCTAGTTTTGAATTTTAGCTCAGTCACTTATCTGCTGAGTGTCCTTGGACAAGTTACTTCACCTCTGAGTGGCTCAGATTCTCCATTCAGGAAATGTGGATGTTAAAGAAAAATAAAGATGGAGGCCACACTTTAGACATACCTCATAACCAGCCACCCATAACCTCACAGCCAAAACAAATCATCCTGATTTCCTCAAAATTCTAGCTCTAGTCGTAAATGAAACACAAAACGTAAGCTTCACATTCTTACCGTCGTGATTCAGTGAAAGTAAACGAATCAACCTTCGACAAAACAGCTCAAACAGCTCTACTTGTGCTAAAAAAAAAAAAAAAAAAGTTAAAGTGGGCCGGGCATGGTGGCTCATGCCTGTAATCCCAGCACTTTGGGAGGTCCAGGTGGGTGGATCACCTGAGGTGAGGAGTTCGAGACCAGCCCGTCCTACATGGTGAAACCCCGTCTCTACTAAAAATACAAAAATTAGCCAGGTGTGGTGGCACAGGCCTGTAATCCCAGCTACTCAGGAGGCTGAGGCAGGAGAATCACTTGAACCTGGGAGGCGGAGGTTGCAGTGAGCTGAGATGGTGCCACTGCACTCCAGCCTGGGCAACAGAGCAAGACTCCTTTTAAAAAAAAAAAAGTTGAAGTATGCTAGTTAATCATGAAAAAGTTGGATTAGTTCCTTTTTATGCTTTATTAACTGTGCTGTGACTGCCATAAGACATGCTTTTTACACTTGGTTTAAAGTTTCTCGGATTGTGAGCTGTGCCTTCTCTAATTGTTTGACAATAGACTTTAAAATTTTTCCTAAGTTGATATGACTCCAATTTTGACAGATATAATAATAACTTCTTACCATAGCATTTGGGTGAAGAGTAAATAAATTAATGTCTGTTAAGTGTCATATAAAACTGCAGAGAACTATATAATTGCTAACCCTTGTTATTTTCAGTTTATTTCCCTCTGTCAGTTTGGTGCATTCTATGTGTGTACATTTGTGTATGAACACACAAGACATATTTATTACCCTTACATTTTAAGCATATCTTTTAAAATAAATCCAAAAGCATTCAGTGTATCTATCCTCCTCCTGGATGAGACGGAAATTAGCGTGATTTAACTTCTGTCCACACTCACCCGTCCCCACAGCACCCACGATTCTCTCATCAATTATTTTGTCAGATGTTGTTATTTTTTGTTCTTATTTATCACCAATGCCTTTTGATATTTATGATGAGCCTTCACCATTTGTTTGCTGAGCCTTGATTTGTTGCACGAATGTGTCTCTGTGTTACCAGCAGTGTAGAATTTGGGGCTCGCCCTGTTGGTTCCTCCGGTGTGAAGGCTGCGTTGTCTCTGCATCCTGTTGTGGGTGAGCACCCTGTTGCTGGTGAGCACCTGCAGTCAGTTCCAGGATGCTGCCCTGTAGATGGCCTGCCTTTGACCTGTGGGAAGTGTAGAATTCCTCTGTGTGTGATGTGTCTGGCTGCCCTAGATGGCCCAGGAGAGGGTTTTCCTCCCGCATTCGCGGAAGGTTCCTACCCATGACCTCTTAGAACAGGACCTCCCTGTATGATCTCCGTCCTCCTCTGGCCATCCTCATGGGTCTGTGTGTCCCTCCAGCCTTGGAGTGATTCCCACTTCCCGTCTCTGGCTTTGGCTCTCAGAGCGTGCCAGCCTCTGCAAGCGCATGCATATCTGGCTGAAGCTGGGAACACAGGCGAGGCTGCCTCTTCTCTAGAAGTGAGAACTTGAGTGGGCTCTCCGTGCTTTGTTTCACTGTTCAGAATGACAGATTCCCCCTGCCCATGTGGATGGGGGCTTCCCATGGCCCAGAGTCTCCAGGTCAGGCCTGTCCGCGCCCCAGGCCTGCAGCCTGCTGGGGTGCGCTCCCACCGCCTGGAGACCCCTGGGTATCTGCCCATCATCTGTATCCTAGGTGCTCCTGCGGGTGAAGCAAGGCTGCACACGGCCCCGGACACCCCTGCCCAGCCCTTCCACACGGCCCCGGACACCCCTGCCCAGCCCTTCCACACGTCCCCGGACACCCCTGCCCAGCCCTTCCACACGGCCCCGGACACCCCTGCCCAGCTCTTCCACAGGGCCCCGGACACCCCTGCCCAGCCCTTCCACACGGCCCCGGACACCCCTGCCCAGCCCTTCCACACGGCCCCGGACACCCCTGCCCAGCCCTTCCACACGGCCCCGGACACCCCTGCCCAGCCCTTCCACTGCACCTGTGCCTCTGCCCTTGCTGCCTGCCTACCTGCCTCTCCCATGGCACCACCCCAGGGCAGGGCTGGGTCCTTCGGCTCTGCCTCTCTGCATCTGCCCTGGGCCCGGGACAGCTGCTTCCACAGGCCTCCATGCCTATGGAAACCAAGCACACAGGTCAAGGTGTCTCTGGCTTCTAGGTCTCAGGTCAGAGTGCCTGCCCTCTGCTCTCTGCTCCAACTGCAGTGGAAGTGGGGGTGGGAGCATGGCCCCCCAGCCTACAGGGCTGGCTGAGCTGCAGTGAGAAGGCTCGGGCCTCCGCTGTGTCCATCCCTGCCCAGGGAGCTCAGCCCATACTCACAGGCTGTTCAGCCAAACTCAAACAATAACCATGGAAGCCACTGGTGTCCCTGGCCCTGCTCTCCACTAGCTCTCACTAGTGCTCCACGTCCTCAGCGTAGACTCTCTTGTGATCCCTATATTGAGGAGCAAAACCAGAAACAGTCCTCAGACAACTGAAATAAAGGAACCTACTGAGACCGGGTGTGGTAGCTCAGGCCTGTAATCCCAGCACTTTGGGAGGCCGAGGCGGGTGGATGACCTGATGTCAGGAGTTAGAGACCAGCCTGGCCAACATGGTGAAACCCCATCTCTACTAAAAATACAAAAATTAGCCAGGCATGGTGGCAGGTGCCTGTAATGCCAGCTATTCAGGAGGCTGAGGCAGGAGAATCGCTTGAACCCGGGAGACGGAGGTTGCAGTGAGCCGAGATTGCATCATTGCATTCCCTCCTGGGCAACAGAGCAAGACGCAGTCTCAAAAAAACAAAGAAAGGGAGCCCACCAACCCGGGCCTCCCAGGGCAGCAGCCCAGGCCTGGGAACAGGGACACCCATCCTGTACTAAATCTAAAACCCTGATCTCAAGTGACAAGCCCCTTCCTCCTGCCCCTGCGGGAAGAAAGGACCCTGATGTAACAAGAGAATAAGGTGTGGCTCTTGAGGGAAAAATTATCAGTGACGTTCTCAAACCATCTCTACAAAAGAAAAAAAAAGATAAATAAGTCTGATGGATGGGTCTTTTACTATAATTTTTTTAAGAAAATAATTTTGTAGTAGGTTCATTACTTTACTTGACACTCCTTCTTCAGCTGGAAAATCAGCTCCAAGCTAAGATAAACTTCAACTAAACAGCGGAATGGAATCCAATTTAGATGTTCCACTAATTCAGTAAACCTAATTAACTTGGTTCTGGTTTTTGAATCCATTTGCTGGGTGTAATGTTTCTGTTTGGTAAGCAGATAAGGAGATAAATGGGTCACTGTATTTATGACTCACTATTCCCTTTAATATCTACACTGGAGACAGTACGTTCTGATTACAATTAAAATGCTTTTATACCATTTTAGCAGTAATTGAGTGAACCCGGCAATTTGTACTTTGATTCTCTCGGTTAAGTAATTGATGATCACCAGCCATCATTGGATAATAACACATTCAATCCCTCGGCCTCTGCCGGCGGACTTAAAAATAGCTCGGGACTGCACTGGCACGTTACGCGAGGAGACGGCCTCTCAGGAAAGGTGGGCACTTAGTTACTGACAGTGGCTTCTGGAGGTCACTGCTGTTTGCACAAACCTTCCCGGTTTAAGAGTTTGATGTTATCTCCGAGGGCTGTGGGTGAGCGTGGGTGACGGTGCAGGCACAGGAAACCATGTGGAGGTCTCAGCCTCTCCGATGAGCCCTGGACAGGAACCAAATACACACGAGTCGGAGGATCCACGGGCAAGTTCCCAACCAGCCTGTGGACCCTGCTGGAGTCCGGAAGCGACAGGTGCCACCAGGTGCACAGTGGGCCACCTTCCTTCCCGGGCAGCTGGCCGCGCAGAAGAGGAAACCCGCACAGGAGTCAGGTTAGGAGATTTCGTTGGCGCCTTGGAACAGAGCCTGGAGGGGCCACTGGGTACAGCTGGGGGGCCACGGGCTTTGAGTAAAGGCTTGAAAGGGTTATGAAGTTGACCATGGGAATTTCCAGGGAAAGGTGACAGCTCCTTGAAGGCCCTGAGGCTGGGGCGGTCAAGAAACAGTAAAGATGGAGGAAGAGCAGCTGGGGAGGTAGGAGGAGGGCGGGCTGTGCCCACCTGGGGGCCTGAGCAAGGCGTTTTAGAGATGGGGCCAGGCACAGGAGGGCTGGGGACCTGGGGCTGACCTCAGCCTGGGGGAGAACCGTCTGAGTGTACTTTGGGGGCCTCCTGGGGTCCAGGCCAGGTGAGCCCCTGATGTGAACCCCGGCGCTACACCTTCACGGCACTTGCAGAACGCACTTGGAGGGGGCGCAGCCCTCAAAGTAAGCCGGGGCCCAGTGCCTGACTTGGCTGCTTCACGGCGGGAAGGAGGGGACGGAAGCTGGAAGACTGCTTGGTTGTGGGCAGCATCCCCAAACCACAGCTCACGCCCCTGCGAGGACCCGCACAGCCGGGAGTGAAGGCCAAAACACCAAGGGCTTCAGAGGAGGAAGGGATGGGAGTGCAGATGGCCGGGGAGGGCTTCAGGGGAGGGAGGGATTGGAGTGTGGATGGCCCTGGAGGGCTTCAGGGGAGGGAGGGATTGGAGTGTGGATGGCCCTGGAGGGCTTCAGGGGAGGGAGGGATTGGAGTGTGGATGGCCCCAGGAGGCCATGAGAGCCACATCAGGCCCCAGCACTTCCAAGGGGCGCCAGGAGCACTTGGGGCTGCTACAGAGAAGGGGCTCCCGGCTCACTTTGGACACAAACCCCCGTCTGAGCTGCCTGGTCTCAGAGGCCCCGGACAGGAGGGACTGGAGAGGAGTGTTCCTGTGTGGGATGGAGTGGCCGGTGGACTGAGTGGCTTTCCTGGGTGGGATCCCTTTCTTGGATATCCCAGAGCCATGGGAAGCAGACCTGGACCACATTCCTGGCATCCAGCTGGGGCCAGAGGGGCAGCCAGTCCCGGGCGGCAGAGAGGATGGTGAGGCCAGGCCTGGGAAGAGGCAGCTGCAAGGAGGACCCCTGGCTCGTGGGAGGGCCTGGTTGCAGCCTGGAGGAGCTGGGCCTGGAACACAACCCCTGACTTGATGGAGGACGCAAAACCAAACATCCCTGCAGGCACCTCTGGCCTGCGCTGGACAGGATGGTGCTGGCCTCCTTTCCCTGTTTCCTGGGGCACAAAGGAACGGGCAGGGAGGTGTTAGGGCGCTCCTGTCCTACCCAGGCCCTGCCCCTCAGGACACCGGTCCTGGGCCTTGTCCGTGAGCTCCCATGCGCTGCCTTCTTCTGGTGCTGGCCTGGGAACTGGGCTCATCCTGCCGGCAGCAAACACTGCATCCACCTTTCAAACCTGCAGTGACGGATTTGCTCGAGGTCTCCGCGGCTGGGCCTGCCGGGCTCCTCCTTGAGGTTTTAGTTGCGCTATGGGCGTCGGGCTCGCCGTTCACATGGGTCCAGGCGGTCTGTGGGTTGGGACCCAGGCCATGGATGTCTGGGAGAGGGGGAAAGGGGGATAGGACTCTTGGTTTGGGATCCAAAGACCCAGCGCTTGGGGCTGAGCCAGGCTGGGCTGCTCCAACCACGTCCAGCACCAGGGTACGGCTGCCTGCCCTGAGGTCCCTGCAGCCCCCACACTCAGCCTTTCCAGCAGGGCCTGCGGTTCTGGCTTCTCCCCACCTTCCAGGGCCTCCTCCAGGCCCCCAGTGAAGAAGCTGCTGTGCAGAGGGCGTAGGTGTCTGGCTGTTCATTTCCATGTTAATGAGGCCTTCATGGTGTCGTTATCATAGATTCTTCCGCGATCTGGGGATGGGAATTGGGAGAAGACCGGGCTGCTCTCTTTAGGGAAGTACCAGAAGAAGCGCAAGATATAGGGCGGACCTGGCTGGGGTCCAGGATGCAGCTGTGGGAAGATAAAGAAGGGAAGGGGGCCTGGGGGAGACGGGAGCGGGGCAAGGCTGGGAGAAGGTCAGGGCCCCAGCAGAAGCTCCCGCTGACAGGCGAGTGGGGTCTGCCTGCTCTCCTGCCTGGCCAGTCCGCCTGCAGTGCCCACCTAGACCAATCCCCTTTCCTTTCCACAGCCTCGCAGCAGCCTCAGGATGCAAGACCCTGTTAGGCAGTTATGAGGTGGGCCTCTTGTTCCAGGTGAGTGTGACCAGTACCCCATTTCAGCACAGAGATAGTGACATGAGGCTGGTTCAACAAGACCACCTGGGCAGAGAGGCTGAGCTACCTGGAGTGGGGCCGTGGCAGCCGGGGTTGAAGCCTGGGGTCTGCTGGACCCTGGATGAGGCTGAGGATACCCCAGAGTCAGGTGGAGGTGGCCCAGGCCTCTGGCTTGGCAGCAGGTGGGGAGTCACGCCCAGGCAGTGGGTGAGCTAACGAGGACCTTGGAGGGCTCCATGGGCCTGGGGAAGCGATGAGACCAGGCCCGGGGTTCCTTAAGGAAGCAATGGCTGCTGCCAGTCACCAGCAGAGCCAGAGGGTGTCTGTACCCAAGGTGCGGATATCACAGTGGGAGGGCATCTGTACCCACAGTGCAGATATCATGGTGGGAGGGCGTCTGTACCCACAGTGCAGATATCATGGTGGGAGGGCGTCTGTACCCACGGCGCAGATACGACGGTGAGAGGGCATCTGTACCCACACAGCGCAGATATCACAGTGGGAGGGCGTCTGTACCCACGGCGCAGATATCACAGTGGGAGGGCGTCTGTACCCACGGCGCAGATATCAGAGTGGGAGGGCGTCTGTACCCATGGCGCAGATATCACGGTGGGAGGGCGTCTGTACCCACGGCGCAGATATCACGGTGGGAGGGCGTCTGTACCCACGGCGCAGATATCAGAGTGGGAGGGCGTCTGTACCCACGGCGCAGATATCACGGTGGGAGGGCGTCTGTACCCACGGCGCGGATATCATGGTAGGAGGGTGTCTGTATCCATGGTGCAGATATCACGGTGGGAGGGCGTCTGGACCCACGGCGCAGATATCACACTTGCTCCCCGCCAGTCCCCCCAGTGAGGCCCACAGGTGTCCATAGATTCTGCTTCTTTTCCTGATAAGCAGGTCGGGGGGCCCCTTCCGGTTCTCTGTCTCCAGGCATGGGGTGTGTGTCTAAGCAGCCCTGAATTCCATCTGGCTTTCTGGAGCCTGGCCTGAGGCAGAGGTGCCACCTGCAGACCAGGGTGCTGCTTTGGCTGGGCCTGGGGATCTGTGGAACCTGCCTGTTCATGACCCTGGCCAGAGTGCTCAGGACGACGAGGACAAACCAGCCTGTCCTTGGCACACCTGAACGGTCACCACCGATGCCGCGGTCAACTGCCAGGCAATTTTCTTGGAGAATCGTCTGTGAGCCTGCAGAGGGCATGTGGTTTAGAAGCTGTTGTTTGAAGGTTGATAAACTTGCACCCATTTTAACCTCCAAGGAGCACTAATGTCTTTTCTGGAAAGCAGACAGTCATGTGGCCCCATGGGGGAACTTCGCGTCCGGCATAATCTTTATCTGAAATCTTCCTTGTCATGCCTAAAATAAAGTGTCATCATTCATTCAAATGAATATTCAATAAATATAAAAGTTTGCCAACTTTCTGGGTCTGAGATAAGCCCCTTAAGCCCCTTAAGCCTCAATCTCATATTCTTGCAATGTCTAAATATCGCTTAAATTTGGGGCTGGATCCCACTGCTGTCATATTTTACAAGTTACAAAAGCTGTGACTTTGTTTCATTGTTTAATGAAGTTGTAAATGTCAAAGCCGATTTAGTGCCTACAGCGAAGGTTCTTTCTCTTTACTGGGCATGTGATTAAGAATTTATATTTCATTTAATTTTCTGTGTGCAGACTAGAAATAAAGCATTTCTCTCTGATTTCTTTTATGAACAAAACTATAAAACTTATTTTTCCAGTAAGTTCTTTGATGTCTGGGGGAAATGTCTGAGGAACATGGGGGCTGTTGTGTTGGGGGTTTGGCGCGTGGTGACCTGAGCAGACGGTGTATCTGTCATTGGTCACCATGAACTCGGCACATGACAAAGACCCCAACACCTCAGGGACAAGACATAGTGGACACTGGGCTCAGCTCAGGGCTGTGGGTCTGCGATTTTGGCAGGGGTTGGCTGGCAGTTCCCTGCCCTAAGCCGGGCTCTGTCATTCGTCTGGGTCGGCTGAGAGTCGACAGAACTGGGTTGGCCTGGGCTGGGTGGCCGAGGTGAGCCGGTTCAGCAGGCCAGCCCAGGTATGCTCACTAGGAGAGGATGAGGAATCATACAGGAATGCTGATGTCCCCTGCCGTGCCTGCGGGTCAGGAAAGTATAGGAACTTCCAGTGAGCTGTAAGAACTCAGTAGGACTCCCACATTTGAAAGAAACAGACACAGCACACAGGAACTTGGCAAAGCATCAGAAAAGAGGAGAGGAAAAAAGATGGTACCAAAAAAGTAGAGTTTAAAACAAATAAGAGAAAAGAAAATCAAGAATATGGACGAGGTCTTAATGAGAACAGAATAAATTCCCCTTTCAGTGAAAGAATCACTGATTCATTTAGAAGACAAAAGTCAGCTCCATGGCTTATAGGAAACACCTGAAACTAAGTAGCAGAGGAAGGTCAAATATAAATTAGTGGCAATTTTAACTTCGTTCAAGGAAGAATATAGACTTAAAAGCAGTCAAGGGGAAAGTAGATGATTACATAATGAAAAATTGTCCAGTTGGTAAGAAATTTAATTAAATTGACAAAAACTGCTAAGTAACAAACAGGACACCCACTAAATGTATGGAGCAAAAACTACCAGAAAATCCAGAATAGTGTGAACAAAAACAGAAGCAGAGTGGGGTGTCTGCATACATCTCTTGGAACCCCAAGCAGAAAATACATAAAAAAGAATATAGAGGACAAACAATAAACAATACAACATAATTTATGTTCTTCAACAAGAAAAAAAATCATGTTTTGTCCTATCAGTTGAATATTCCAAAAAATAGATTGCCTTTAGCCACCAAGTCAACCTTAACAAATTTAAAAAGGAAGAATCTCACAAATTGTAAAAACTCTGTTTATAATCCAGTAAGTTGAGATGCAAAAATGGTTAGAAACCAAAAAATCTGGCTGGGCGCTGTGGCTCACGCCTGTAATCCCAGCACTTTGGGAGGCCGAGGCGGGCGGATCACGAGGTCAGGAGATCAAGACCATCTTGGCTAACATGGTGAAACCCCATGTCTACTAAAAATACAAAAAATTAGCCGGGCATGGTGGCGGGCACCTGTAGTCTAGCTACTCGGGAGGCTGAGGCAGGAGAATGGCGTGAACCCGGGAGGTGGAGCTTGCAGTGAGCCAAGATCGCGCCACCGCAGTCCAGCCTGGGTGAAACAGCGAGACTCCATCGCAAAAAAAAAAAAAAAAAGAAACCAAAAAATCTAACATCATGCAATATATCAACAGATGTAGAGAGAAAATAAAGAATTTGTTTGTTTGTTTGTTGTTTTGACAGAGTTTCGCTCTCTCGCCCAGGCTGGATTGCAGCGGTGCGATCTGGGCTCACCACAACCTCCCACTCCCGGGTTCAAGCGATTCTCCTGCCTCAGCCTCCTGAGTAGCTGGGATGACAGGCGCCCGCCACCACGCCCAGCTAATTTTGTATTTTTAGTAGAGATGGGGTTTATCCATGTTGCTCAGGGTCGTCTCTAACTCCTGACCTCAGGTGATCCACTGCCTCGGCCTCCCTAATTTGTGCTAAATATTATTAAATTTGTGCTGGGATTCCACGTGTAATAATATTTGGAAGGTATTCTTAATAAAACCTGTGGTAAACAGAGTTCCGCGGTGGTCTGGGTGCACAGGGTCTGTATCATCCCCTCCCTTGCTTGTTGCTGGAACCTATGAGCTATCTGGGTGGGCCTCTCCTAATCAGGTGATCCCTTTACAAGCAGCATTTTCTCAGGCTGGATGTCGACCTATCCAAGGCCCATGCTACCACTGGCTATGAAGAGCAGCCATGTTGAGTCCTGCCTAGAGCCAGGTGGCAGGACCTGGGGTGGCCTTCAGCTGCCGAGAGTGGCCCTTCACCAAGAGCTAGTTAGAAGGTGGGGCCTCAGTCGTACAGCAACAAGGAAATGCATTCTGCCAGCCATCCCAGGAAGCACCCCCAGTCCAGCCCCCCAGTGAGGATGCTGCCAGTGGACAGTTTCAGCCCGATGGGACCCTCGGCGGAGGACCCAGCTGTCTCAGTCAGCCCCAGTGTCTAATAAAATACCACAACCTGGATGCTCAAATGACAGATGTTTACTTCTCAATTTTGGAGGCTGGAAGTCTGAGATCGAGGTGCCCTCAGGGTTGACCTTTGGTGAGGGCCTGATACCTGGTTTGCAGCTGCCCACCCTCTTGCTATGTCCTCACATGGCAGAGACAGACAGAGAGGGAATGTGCCTCTTCATGTAGGGACACCAGTCCTGTTGGATCAGGGCCTCACCCTAATGTCCACATTGAACCTTAATTACTTCCTTAACGGACCTGCCTCCAAATACAGCCACACTGGGGGTCAGAACCTCAATCGATGAATTGTCAGGGGACACAGTTCAGCCCACTGCACCAGGTAAACTAGACCCTGCCAATTCTTCGTCCATAAACCTTTAATATAATAAAATTTATGTTGTTTTAAGCCACTACATTTATGGTAATGTCATGAAGCAATAAAAACCTAACACAAAAATCCAAAGCAAATATGTGCTTAGACAGGAAATTAGGAAATGATAGAGACGACTGAAAACACTAAGGCACTTCCTTTAAAACTGGGGCCACTAAACACCGTTATTCAGCACCACTTTGGAGGCTCCAGCTAACACAAGAAAGCAAATAATAGTTAGTATAAATATTGGGGAATCAGAAAAAAGGCATCCTTTTAGCCAATGGGCTGATTGTGCAGCTAAGAAACCAAAGAGATATTTTTACAAAAGAAAAAGCAAAACAAAAAATAAACCAAACAACAACAACAAACCCCCTACTATAATTAATTTCAAAAATTTGAAAAAATTGCTGGGTATAAGATGAATTTTCAAAACCAATAGATTTCCTTTATATTAGCAATACGGAGTGGAAAATTAAAATCGGAAAAATGTTTAGGCATGGGTTTGCTGTGAAAAATAACCGTGGAGCGATGGGATGCTGTCTCAGCTTGGTTGCTGTAAGGGAAACACGGCTGGGCCGCTCAAACAGCAAACATTTATTTCTCACAGTTCTTGGAGCTGGAAGTCCAAGGTCAGGGCATGGCATGTTTCTCCATGATGGTGGGTTTCTCCGTGAGGGCAGGTTTCTCGGTCAGGGCAGGTTTCTCGGTGAGGGCGGGTTTCTCGGTGATGGCAGGTTTCTCGGTGATGGAAGGTTTCTCGGTGATGGAAGGTTTCTCGGTGATGGAAGGTTTCTCGGTGATGGCAGGTTTCTCGGTGATGGAAGGTTTCTCGGTGGTGGCAGGTTTCTCGGTGGTGGCAGGTTTCTCGGTGGTGGCAGGTTTCTCGGTGATGGAAGGTTTCTCGGTGGTGGCAGGTTTCTCGGTGATGGCAGGTTTCTCGGTGATGGAAGGTTTCTCCATGATGGAAGGTTTCTTGGTGAGGGCCCTTTTTAGTTATGGATTCACATGACCTTTCCTTGGTGGTGCACAGAGAGACCTCCTGGCTTTTCTACCTTTTGACAAAGGCACTAATTCCATCATGGGACCCACTTTCCTGACCTCCTCTGACCCTAATCACCTCCCCAAGGCCTCACCTCCAAATGCCTTCACAGTGGGGATCAGGGCTTCAACATGCGAATTCTGGGGGCACAAAACATTTAATTAATTACAGCAGTGATCCCATGTCCTTGGAGAGAAAGGCTTCATAGAAAAAAACAAAGTCAATTCTCCTAAACTAAAATAAAAGTTCAGTGAGATTCAGGATGAAAGTCCCTATAGACTGATTGTGAGGAGTGGATAGGATGATCTTCCAGTCCATACGGCAGAGTCTCAGAATGCCAAGAAAATCATAAAAGGAATCAGCGGTTGTCTCAGTCCGTTTGTGGTGCTATAAAGAAATACCCAAGACTGTGCAATGTCTAAAGAAAAGAGGCATGTCTGTCACCTCCGGGGGATGGGCATGGTGTCACCTGCAGAGGTGTGTCTGTCACCTTTGGGGGATGCCTGGGTGAGGTTGTGGGGAATCTGCACTGTCATCCAGGATGTACTTGCTGGGAGGAGACTCACCTGAACCTGGGAGGCGATTCCACCTGCTATGAGCTTTACGCCATGGTGGGGGGCGGGCAAAGGAACACAGCATTAACCCTGCATGGTGCTATACTGTGTGTAAACTGAAGGGATCAGCCACACCCCCAAACAACCCCCAGTGTAGCAGGAGAGGAAAGCACAGGTCCATGGTTTTAGGACATCCTGTGTTTAAAAGCCACAGGCTCCTCACCAATTGCAGGTTCCTGGGCCTGGATCCCATCTGGGGTCAAGTCTGGGGAGCTGTGTGTTAATGAGCAGGTTGAGTGGTTCTGTCGCACAGGCTTTTGGACTACCAGCGGGCAAAACCGAGATGATCAAAGAACCGGTGGGTCACGGGATGCAGGCTTCCGGCTGCTGCATGCGGGGCCCTCGCCACACACCGCGGAGGAGGTCCTGTTTTATTGATAATAGTGCTAATAGTACCTTTCTACTATCTCTGTTATTATGACAGCCGGCTGCTTCAGGGAATCAAGACTAGCGCAGACTTTGCACCTTCCTCAGAGGCTCATGGGGAATGGGATGGGCTCTAACAGACAGGAATGGCAAAACCCCACATGTGTACACTGTAGGTCCCCGCGGAGGCCTGCATCCAGAGGTGCGAATGCCATCTTGGCTCATCGCTAGGGGAACAGGGCAGCTCTGGTAATGCCCCTGCCAGGTGAGGGGTGCTTATCACCCCAGGAATCCGGAGGCAAAGGGCCTTCTCACTGGCCTAGATTTATTTTGCAAGTAACTGCCTACCAGGGTGAATAATTCATTTGTTGCTTTGCTCTGACTGTAATGGGCTTATTAAGCCATGGAGTCCAGGATTCCTTCCAGGGCCTCATCTGATGTGCAGTGGCCTCTTCTCACACAGGCTCCCGGCTCATTTGTGCCAGGGAAGGGGTGGCTCACACCTGCAGCTGACCTAGACCTGTGGCGGGAGGAAGGGGTGGGCCTCCAGGCACAAGGACCCCTTTGGAAGGTGACACCTCCACCACATGTGTCCGAAGCTCTTTCTGGTGGCTGCTCAAATATTCTCCTCCCCTGTTACCAGCTCCGGCCCCGCTCACTCTTCCCTCCTGCCTTAATTTTGCTCATGACCCTGACCGTCGGCGTAAACTGTGGAAGTGCGGCCGCAGCTTCGCTCAGGGTCTGCCCTTTCCCAGCGAGTGGGACCAATGGTTGTTTCATCCACGGCTGAATCCAGGCATCCAGAGGGGGGACCCCAGTAAACCCTCATGGGATAAACAGTGACAGCCACACCCCTTCCCGTCTCCAGTTCTTCTGACTTGAGGGAGAAGTCAGACAGAGTTCTAGGGAGGAGCAGGTGCTGCCCTCCTTCCTCTCACACTGGGGTGACTGTGAATTATTAGCGGGCTCCCGCACTTACAGGGAGGAGGTAGCTGATTAATAAGACTCAGGGTTTTCTTCTGATCGTCTATTTTTTCCTGCATAAATCCTCTGAATGACATGTAGATAAATTCTTGAAAGAGTGCCCCCCCTTGAGACAGGATTTCATCATCTCACCTATTTAATTAATTTATTAGTTACAATTACAACTCAAAATGGCACCAACTTCAGCATAATCAAAACTACATTTCAATTATTCATTGAGCCTTTAATTAAGAAGCCCTACTAAATTAATAAAAACTTCAGTGTGAATGAAATGAAAAAGCCCGTGGAAAGTCTTGGCCAACTTTTCTCCATCTCAGGGATTAAGTTTCCTTCTACAAATGGCCGCGAGCTCCCTCCCGACAGGCGGGGGTCCTGCCGGCAGGTGGACACGCGTGTGTGAAGGGAGGCGGCCGGGTGGTGCTTCTCACCTCGACAGCCAGGAAGGAATTCTAAGTAATCACTTGTGTAATGGCTGCGGACGCCCAGGGAGGAGGATCCCAGTGGAATGGAGGTGGGCTGCGTGCAGCCTCGGGTGGGAGATATAGTGTTACATGCGTGCAGAAACCGGCCTCCGTCTCCTTTTCGCCCTGCCCAGAAGCTGCCTGTAAGCACAGGTTTCAGAAGCTGGAAGGAGGGAGCTGACTGTGATGCCGACGCCCGTTCGGGCTTCTTAGGACCTGGCAATTCTCCCCGCAACTCTGTCCTGCCCACAGCGGAGGCCCTTCTGGGCTCCTCCTTTGCTCCTCCTCTCCGTTTCCTGCCGTGGGAGACACGTCTCCTACCCAGGGTCGGTTTTCCAAGTGCTCAGCCTTAAATTCAGGGAGGAAATGCAAATTAGGGTGAGGCAAGGGGCCCGTTCAATCTTGTCTCCCACTGAAGGCTCCATGCCAGCCCCTCAGCTCAGGCAGCTCCTATCCCTGACTTCCCGACGGACAGAATCCGTCCTGCTCTGCTCATCACCAAGAGCTTAATTCTCACGCGGCTGCAATCAGCTAAACTGACACCTCCCTTGTCCCTAAAGCTGCCACCTCCGCACCCTGCTGGGGAAACCCAGCTGGGTGTGCGCCAGACGAGACAAGGGTGTAGCAAAGTGCCCACACAAGCAAACCCCAAGAAGACGCCCTGACAGTGAGGAGAACACAGGCTGCTCTGCTTGCCTGTCCCCTGGAAGGGTGTGTCCACATCTCCTTTAAAATGCCCCCACGTCCTGAGCACGCTCTGCAGCTCTGCGAGTTGAGGCAGCCCAGCCCCACATCACCCCGAGGTCAGGCGGGGGCTGGAGTCATAGCCTGCGTGGGAGGGCTCCCTCTCTCTGGCCACGTCCCAGATCCAGGGGAAGGCACAGATATGAGTCTGCTATTTTCTTTTTCTTTTCTTTCTTTCTTTTTTAGAGACTGAGTCTCGCTCTGTCATCCAGTCTGGAGTGCAGTGGCACGATCTTGGCTCACTGAACCTCCGCCTCCCAGGTTCAAGCAATTCTCCTGCCTCAGCCTCCTGAGTAGCTGGGATTACAGGCACCTACCACCATGCCCAGCTAATTTTTTTATTTTCAGTAGAGACGAGGTTTCGCCATATTGGCCAGGCTGGTCTCGAACTCCTGACATCAGGTGATCTGCCCGCCTCGGCCTCCCACAGTGCTGGATTCCAGGCGTGAGGTGCCGCACGCAGCTGAGTCTGCTGTTTTCAGAACTTGGTCCCCACTTGCAGGGAGATGCCACTGAGGACACCGCTGAAGAGATCTTGAAAAATTGAAGAACAAAAAATTTATGCGAGATTAATTCATTGCACTTTAGTGCTTGTCAGAACATTACTGAGATGGTCGCTGCCAATTAATAATGAATCTTTATGTAGCATCATTTATTTTATTTTCCTTAGCATTAGGGGCTCGAGTATTGCAGTCAGCATATGTATTCAATTATTTATTAAAAACACAGGCAAGAAATGACAATACAAGCAGCATTTACCATCCAAAAACAGTAGAGAAGAATACTGCCCTAGAGTACCTGGTTTCTGTGCAGAAAAGTAAAATATGTGCAGCTTCTCAAGGGGACACTGTTTCTTTGGGTTTTGTGTCAAAAGGGTCTTAAGAAACAAACATCCTGGTTTTTGTCTGTGTCTATTGATGCTTCCCTGAAGCTACGCTCACGTGATACATCTCCTCTCATCCCTCTTTTCATGTTAATAAAGAGATTATTTTAACCCGCCCGGGCCTAAGACCAGAAGAAGGGCAGTGCGAGACTTCCCTCCCCATCTTCCCCTCCCTTCCTCTCAGTCCCTCTCAATCTCCCCTTCTCTGTGTGTCCTTCACACACACATGCACGCCCGCACGCACACAGACACACACACACCCCTGTACCTGATCATCTCCCGCTTTCTGGGGGAGAATCTCAGAATCTCAACCTGGAGATGCTCACCTGTCCCTGAATCTCCTCTAGAAAATTCTTTGCTGGAGTTGATTCTGCCATTGCTCCGGTGCCTCCAGTGAGGTCAGTCTCCAAACAGAAGCAGCTTACGGTGTCATTGCAGGATAAGATGATGAGGAAAAACCTCTAACGGCACAAGTTAAACACAGAGAAATGCCATCCATACGTTCAGCTGTAATCTTTCTCTCACTTCCTGACCCTTCTGGATTTCAGGTTGGCCCCTGGAGAGAACACACACACACAAACACATTCTCTCTCTCTCCTTCTCTCTCTCTTTCTTCTACTTGAAATTTCCTCCAATATTTGAAGGACTCTTTCATGCATCCTCTTCACCTTTTCTGAGCAGGGCAAACCCAGGCCCATCCATAGATTCAAGGGTCCCAGACTCTGTCACTCTAACATCGACCCAGCTTCAGCAAACACCATGGAGCACCTGCCACAGCCGAAGAAACATTGGTGAACACGTCACGAGTCCCTGTCCTGTGTGGGTGCTGCGTCCCAGCAAATGCCTCCTGCCCAGTGCTCCTGCCATGTCCTCCTGGAGCGGGGGCCCTGGACAGACAGAAGTCTTAAACACTGCGTCAGGGACCCTGCAGACCACAGGATCTCACACTCTGAGTTTTGTACTTTCATTATACAGCCCAGACTTACCTACGTGCTTCTACGTCACATCACATGGACTTTAATGCAAAGTTCTTTTCCTTTTCTTTTCTTTTTCTTTTTTTTGAGACGGAGTTTCGCTCTTGTCACCCAGGCTGGAATGCGATGGTGCTCTCTGGGCTCACTGAAACCTCCACTGCCCAGGTTCAAGCAATTCTCCTGCCTCAGCCTCCTGAGTAGCTGGAATTACAGGTGTCTGCCACCACGGCCAGCTAACTTTTTTTTTGTATTTTTAGTAGAGATGGGGTTTTGCCATGTTGGCCAGGCTGGTCTTGAACTCCTGACCTCAGATGATCCACCCGCCTCAGCCTCTCAAAGTGCTGGGATTACAGGCGTGAGCCACTGCACCCGGCCAATGCAAAGTTCTTTTTCTTTTTCCTTTTATTTATTTATTTATTTTTTCCGAGACAGAGTTTTGCTCTTTTCACCCAGGCTGGAATGCGATGGTGCGATCTGGGCTCACTGCAACCTCCACCTACCAGGTTCAAGTGATTCTCCTCCCTCAGCCTTCCGAGTAGCTGCCTGCCACCAAGCCCAGCTATTTTTTTTTTTTTTTTGTATTTTTAGTAGAGACGTGGTTTCACCATGTTGGCCAGGCTGGTCTCGAACTCCTGACCTCAGGTGATCCTCCCACCTTGGCTCCCAAAGTGCTGGGATTACAGGCGTGACTCACTGTGCCTGGCCAATGCAAAGTTCTTAGATGGAGTTTTTTGGTTCTTTGAAAGATTTCTTCATGATATGGCTTGGATTTGTGTCCCCACCCAAATCTCATGTAGAATTGTAATCGCCAGTGTTGGACGAGAGGCCTGGTGGAAGGTGATTAGATCATGGGGCAGACTTTCATCTTGCTGTTCTCATGATAGGGGAGTGAGTTCTCGCAAGATCTGGTTGTTTAAAAGTGTGTGACGCCCCCTCCCCTCTCTTCCTCCTGCTCTGGCCCCATGAAGGCCTTGCCTGCTTCCCCTTCACTGTCCGCCATGATTGAAGGTTTTCGGAGGCCTCTGCAGTCATGCTTCCTGTACAGCCTGCGGAACTGTGAGCCAATTAAGCCTCTTTTCTTTATAAGTTACCCAGTCTCAGGTAGTTTTTTACAGCAGTGTGAGATGGACTAATACACTTCGTTTAATGATTTAAAGCCTAGAGATGCATCCTTGAAGCTCTTTTACGTTCTTTTCCAGGTGAAATCAGAGAAGCATGACTGGAACTAAGAGGAACTTTAGACTCCATCTGACCCTGTGCCCCCATTTTACAGGAGTGAGAACAGGGGGCCAAGGCATGAGCTTCTTCATTCATTCATTCACTCACTCATTCATTCTGTGCAATAATTTTATTGTTGCTGTAGCCATCTTCTCTCCATTAAATTATTTTTTATCAAATAGCATAATTTTAATGACTAAGTTCACTGACTCCGAATTCTTCATATTCAAGGTAGACATCTCAGCACAGCCTTGTGGCACATTCATTAATTGATTGTTTTACTCAACAAAATATTTTAACTTTTTATTATAAAAAATTTCAAAGCTCAAAAAAAAATCAACAATGTGCCAATGTTTCTTCACCTATTTTTACAGTTTTTTTTTTCAAATATTTTAAAGCTTATTCTGGACATCATGTCATTTCACCTATAAATACTTGAGTATGCATCTTTACTTAAAATAATACAAAACACAATATCTATATGTATCTTTCTATCCATCTAGATGCCTATCCATCCATTCATCCACCATCCATCCACCCAACCATCCATCCATCCACCATGCATCCACCATCCACCCACCATCCATCCATCCATCCACCATCCATCCATCCATCCATCCACCATCCATCCATCCATCCATCCACCATCCATCCATCCATCCATCCACCATCCATCCACCATCCACCCACCATCCATCCACCATCCATCCACCATCCACCATCCACCATCCATCCACCATCCACCCACCATCCATCCATCCATCCACCATCCATCCATCCATCATCCATCCATCCATCCATCCACCATCCATCATCCATCCACCATCCATCCATCCATCCACCTTCCATCCACCATCCATCCATCCAACCATCCATCCATCCACCATCCATCCACCATCCATCCATCCAACCATCCATCCATCCACCATCCACCCACCATCCATCCATCCATCCACCATCCATCCATCCATCCATCCATCCACCATCCATCCTCCATCCATCCACCATCCATCCATCCACCTTCCATCCACCATCCATCCATCCATCCACCTTCCATCCATCATCCATCCACCATCCATCTGTCATCCATCCATCCAACATCCATCCACTGTATACCACCCATCTATCCATCCATCCATCTATCCATCCATCCATCATCCATCCACCATCCATCCATCCACCACCCATCCATCCATCCATCCACCATCCATCCACCACCCATCCACCATCCATCCATCCATCCATCCATCCACCATTCATCCATCCATCCATTCACCATCCATCCATCCACCATCCATCCATCCATCCATCCACCTTCCATCCATCATCCATCCACCATCCATCATCCATCCATCATCCATCCATCCACCATTTACCATCCATCTATTCATCCATCCATCATCCACTCATCCATCCACCATCCATCCATCATTCATCCATCATCCATCCATCCACCATCTATCTATCCATCCATCCACCTTCCATCCACCATCCATCCACCCACCATCCATCCATCCATCCACCATCCATCCATCCATCCATCATCCATCCATCCATCCATCCATCCACCATCCATCCATCCATCCACCTACCATCCATCCATCCTCCATCCAACCATCCTTTCATCCATGCATCCGCCTTCCATCCAGCATCCATTCATCCATCCACCATCCAGTCATCATCCATCCACCCACTGGTTGCAAAGCACACCATGCTATTATCACATCTATCAAAGGTTATAGTAATTCATTGTTATTTTATAATTTCCAATGGAAATTCAAAATTCATATTCAAAATATTATTGTCTCAAAGCAGTCTTTTAAAAATTAATTTATTCTTTGAGTTTGGTGGCTATGTATTTTCAGGTTTTTATTTTTGACAACAGCTCACTTTTGTTTATATACCAGTGGTTCATTTATTGGAGAAACTGGTGTCATTTGACTTCTGTGTCATATAAACTGCTCGCTTGATCTGACGCTCGATTTGATTCTAGTTCAGTTTTTTTTAGCAAGAATTCCTTGCAGGTGGCACCAGTGTTTGCTTCACAGCAGGAGGCCCATTAGGTCTTAATGACATTAAGATTGGCAGGGTCAGACTTACCCTGCTCCCCGCCTCCAACCACCATTTTACTTAATGAATGTGGAAAGCAGCCGTTTGTGATTATTGAATAGATCAGTTATGTCATTAAGAGCTGCAAAACAGTGACTTTCTAATTCTAACTTCACTTTTGAGTAATGCTGGAAATTTTCTCTCAATAAAAATTTTCTTTCATCCATTTTTAGCTAAAAAAAGAAAGATAAGCATTTGAACCCTCTTTCATTTCAGAGCCAAGAGTTGGTTCTATCATCCTCCCATTTTGACCAACAAGGGGAGACTTTATGAGCATCAGGTGCACATATGGGTTTTATGCGTTTGATGTGTTTCAATCTATTGCAGTTATCATTCTTTCTGATTTTCTTTTTGTTCTACACCAGGCTGGTGAGAACACTTTTCTTTACATGAGAGTTTAAAGTTTGCATCAAATTTAGAAAAAAAAAATAAGTCTACCATGTCTTCAAATATTTTTCTGTATCTTTTTTTTCTGGAACTTCAGTTATGGGCAAGTTAGATTGATATTGTACTATGTGTAACTGAGGCTCTGTTAATTATTTTTGTTCTTTCTTTTCTGTCTATGCTTTGCTTTGGATAATTCCCATTGCTATATTTTCAAGCTTGATTTTATTTGCTTCTGCTGTGTTTTATCTGCTCATAAGTCCGGTAAGCGTATTAGTCACTGTGGATATTTTTTATTTCTTCTTAACAGTTCCTTTTTCTCTCTTCATCGTGATCATGTGTTCTTTTAAATCCTTAAACACATTTATAATAGCTCTTTTAACATCCTTGTCTGAAAATTCCAACATCTCTGTCATTTCTGGGTATTTTTCTATTGACTGCCTTTATTGGGGTTACAGGTCATATTTTTCTCCTGCGAACATGGTGACTAATTCCTAACTGGATGCCTGACACTGATTGTTTTGGTGATGAGTTTTTGTGTTTTATTGTCTTCTTTAAAGAGTTTTGAGTTTTGATTCGGTGACATTTATGTTACCTTCAGGCTATGCTTGTCTCTCCTGAGCTTTATCTTAAGACTCAAGAGCACAGGTCTGGGACGTTCTCTCCTGGGAGGCTGGTTTAGCCGCAGACTCTCCGGTTTACGCTGAGCACACTGTGTATTCATCAGGTTCTCTCTACGTGGGTGGATGGAAACACGAGTGAGTCCCAGCCCTGTTTGGATTCCTCGAATTGTTGAACCTATGGATCCTAGGATATCCGAGAATGGCCTGATGGAATTTTGCCTTCTGTCTACCTACTTCCACATTGAGCCACAAACTCAGGGAGACCCGTGCCGATTTCTGGAGCCCTCTCTCTGCATAGATCCTTTATTGATGTTGTTCTTCCTTCCAATTTTTAGCCACCTCAGCATCCCAGAACACGGGTCTCTGTACCCTCAACTCGGTGAGACTTGCATTCTGCCCGACATCCCTCTGTGTAGTGGGGTCAGCCTCCAGGCGGAAGGCTGGGCAATGGTAGCCTCATCGTATTAATTCTCTTCCCTCAGGGATTCCTTCCATTCTTGGGTTACCTGCTAGTCAATATCTGAAATCAATTGTTTCATGTGTTTTTCTAGTTTCCAAGTCTTTTATGGTAGGAGGGAAAGTCTGGCACCATTGATATTGTCTCAGTGAAACACGGAGTCTTGTCAAGGTTTGTGTTGGGATTACTTAGCATAAAACATATCAAGATGATATCAGATAGAAATTCAAAAGGAAATGTAAATAAGTTATCATGGGAGATTGCAACGTCTTTTAAAATCATGGATATATAAAGTAGACAAACAATTCAAAAGACTGGCATGTGAGCTTGTATTCGTACGCTTGCTTCGTGGAGTCACTCTTTCCACAAGTGTTTACAGCATGTTCATTTTATATGAGGTGCTCTGTTAGGAACCGCGGCTGTAACAGTGAATAAATCAGGTCCTATCTCCTGTGTTCATGATACTCACTACAGTGCAGGTGGGAAAGACAGACAAAAGTAAGCAAATGAAACAATAATGGAAGTTACACACAAATTTTCCCTCCTAAGGAAACAATGCTTTACATCTCCCTGGCCGGATGAAACATGGGAAAATGAATACTAAAAAGGCTCAAAGAAAGTCTCAATTCCACCAGGCAGACATTTTATGGATTGAACTGTAACCCCTATGGAATAAAGTTTGATGTTAATAGAAAAAATAAATGTTGGGGAGAAAAGGCTGTTTTCCTGAAAAGTGTACTTCATTTTTTACTGGTCAAATTGAAGAAAGAAAGCAAAAATTCTAAATTATAGTCTATCTTAGAAAAATCCTGGGCCGGGCACGGTGCCTCATGCCTGTAATCCCAGCACTTTGGGAGGCCGAGGTGGGTGGATCATGAGGTCAAGAGATCGAGACCATCCTGGCTAACACGGTGAAACCCCATCTCTACTAAAAATACAAAAACAAAATTAGCCGGGTGTGTTGGCGGGCGCCTGTAGTCCCAGCTACTCGGGAGGCTGAGGCAGGAGAATGGTGTGAACCCGAGAGGCGGAGCTTGCAGTGAGCCAAGATCGCGCCACTGCACTCCAGCATGGGGGACAGAGCCAGACTCCATCTCAAAAAAAAAAAAAAAAAAAAGGAAAGAAAAAGAAAAATCCTGAAGACAACGTGACATCCTCGCCAGCTGCAGAGACGTTTGGTTGGTGGGCACAGGAAGGGCAGGTGCAGGGCCCGGCAGGGGACTTGGCCCACTCACTTCTCAGCTCAACTCGGCCCTGCACCAACTCCCTCCCAGGCTTTTCTCCCTGGGGGAGGAGCAGAACCAGCAGAGTCCCCAAAGCCGAGTCCTCCTGGCTCCAGTGAAGGGCAGGAGCTGCTCTCCTCCACACCCACTCCTGCCCCAAACCAGCTCCGGTTGCAAGACGGTCCCTCTGCTGACCTCTGGAGATAAGCCCGTTCCTGTCTCCCCCTGTCTGGGGACCGACTGAGGGGGCCCCATTGTCAACCACCCTGGCCCGTCAGGCCTCAGACATTCACAGTGACAGGAGTTCAGGCCAAGGAGCATTTGCCACCGACGGTGAGGGGAGCATGAGGTTCCAGCTCCCACACATTGTAGGCGAACCTGCACTTAGGGGGAGATACCAAACTTTCCGCACTTCAGCGTTTAAGATGGAAGACGAAATTAGGTGAACCAAGTATTCAATTCATAAGCTAGAAATAGAATAACAAAGTAAAAGTAAAGAAATTGGGATTCCTGAGTAAAGAAGAAAATAATAGATTACAAGAGATGTATTAAGTGGCTTTATAAATAAATTAAATAACTATTTCTTTTAAAAGACTAATAAAATAGATAAATGTCTAGCAAATCTAATCAAGAAAAAAATAAGAATGTGACCATACACATTTTATGGATTTTAAGAGGGGATTATAACTACATAAAGTGGGTACTCAATAAACATTTGTAGGATTAATGAAAATATATTTTAAAATGGAATTCTCTGTACAACTGTATAGTAACAAATTTGAAATCTGGATGAAATGGCTCATAGTCTAGGAAAACATAAATCACCAATATTGACTCAGAAAGAAATGTTTACTCCATGTTGGTGAGATAGCCGGGCAGGAGATGAGCTTACAAAAATCAATAGTTTTTCTTATGCTAGAAATAAGTATCTAGGAATGGAAATGAGGACAAATATGTTGCGCACAGCATTGGCAGAAACTATAAAATGCTCAGGAATCTATCTTGAAAATAAAGGTGCAAGATGATATAAGGCTAGGGTTAGACTAACCTTGTACAATATATATAATATATTATATTATAGTCTTATATAGAATAATACTATATGGAAAGTCTTATTAAGGGACATAAAACAAGATCTGAAGTCGCGGAGAGATAGCTCGTCCTTATAGGGAAATGCCTAATCTCTCAAGACAGCAGTTCTTCCAATCTTAATGTAAAAGTTTAATGTGATTCCAGTGAGATTACCAGGCGTCTTATTTCACGAACTGAAAGTTCATAGGGAAGAATAAATTCCCAAGAATAGTCAAGCAAACCCTAAAAAAGAACGGTAATTGTAAAATTGCCTGATGTGAAAATGATAACTTGTTTCCAAGGCGCTTAAATCAAATCAATATGGTACTGGCCCAGGAATGGAAAAGCGAATGGGGGAATCAGGGCACTGAGAACCAGAACCTAGTCTATGAGGTCTGATTTGTGATAAGAATGGTGTCCAATTCGGGGGAAGGGACCGGTTCCCCTCGTGAGTGTGTCCTGCACAGAGATGCCCATCAGGATGGAAATGACTCAGTCCTCAACATCAAACCAGTGACAGACACAAATGCCAGGGGAATCAAAGGCTTAAACAATAAAGATAATAATAATAATAATAACAATAATGATATTTACATCCAGAAACTTCTAGGTTCTGCAACTGAGGAATCTGCAACTGAGGAAATGACTTTTTTTTTTTTTTTTTTTGAGACAGAATCTCACTCTGTCACCCAGCCTGGAGTTCAGTGGCGTGATCTTGGCTCACTGCAACCTCCACCTCCCAGGTTCAAGCAATTCTCCTGCCTCAGCCTCCCAAGTAGCTGGGATTACAAGTGCCCACCACCATGCCCGGCTAATTTTTGTATTTTTAGTAGAGATGGGATTTTGTCATGTTGGCCAGGCTGGTCTCGAACTCCTGACCTCAGGTAATCTGCCCGCCTCAGCCTCCCAAAGTGCTGGGGTTACAGGTGTGAGCCACCATGCCCAACCAGGAAATGATTTTTAATAAGGAATTTAGAAGCCATAAAAGAAAGTCATTTGTGCTCAGATAGTGATAAAAGTATTTTCATGGCAAAAACGATACTTTATGTCAAGCCAATATAAAAGTAATCTATTAGTAAAATATTTTTTAATGTAAATGACATTACATGTGTGACATTATTATTTGTAATATCCCAGAAACATATATTATTAGAAAGCTGGCAAAGAATAAAAGCAACAAACTAACAAATGTCTGAAAGAGATGTCCCAACACACAGCTGCGTAGAGATTTGCCAGTGAAAGAAACCATATGTTTTATCACCCTCAGACTAAAGAAAATAAAGGGAAACATAACATCTCTTGTTGGCAGGGAAAATGGCACTGTTTTTAATATTCATGTAAATTTAAGTTGTTAGGGCATTTTGGAAAGCGATGTGGAAATGACGCCCGTGCCCTCTGAAGCTCTTTGGTGCCACCATCCCAGTCTCTTTTGTGTGTATTTGTGGCTGGCAGGGGAGTGGTAACGCAAACATATGTTTCCACCAGTCACGCTGCAGTCACACCTTGGGAATCCACCACATAGGAATAAAGTGCCAATAGGAAACCACATGTGATGTATGTGGATGTTTCTGGAAGCACGTATGTGTGTGTGTGTGTGTATTTGTGTGTGTGTTTGTGTGTGTGTGTTTGTGTTTGTGTGTGTGTGTGTGTGTGTGTTTGTGTGTGTGTGTTTGTGTGTGTGTGTGTGTGTGTGTGGCGGCAAAACAAACAACAGAGCCATCCAGCCACAGCAGCCCAGGAAACGGCGCGGACACCCGTGATGGACGGGGTGGGACCTGGGCTCGGCCTCCACCATCCCGCCAGGCACCTCCCTCTCCTTTGGTTCCCGTGGGTGAAGTCAGAGGAAAGGTGTTTGGAATTCCCGCCTTCCCCTGACGTCTGTTCATTCCTTACACCTGCTGCACTGGCTTGTCACCAAGACCAATGATGACCGCCCGAGGGGAACTGGCTCCGTCCTCCTTCCGCAGTTGGGGCCTGTGGGGTTCCTGCTGTTTGGAAGCCTCTCCCGCGTGGCAGGTTTGCAGGCGAGCACGTGCACACATTTCCCTCTGGTGTCCTGGGCGCCTTTCCTCGGCGTCACCTGCATTTCCTCTTCGTCCACCTTCTCTTTTGAATCTCAGCCGGAGACACATAGAACTGAGAGGCCCATGGAAGCTGCTCGGTTTATGTTCTGTTTGCTACTACCTTGAAACATTTCACAACCGGCTTCTCCTGAATAAGCAGGAGGACTTGGCCATCTTCCACCCACATTCTCACAGGGACACAGGGCTGAAGCTGAGCTGCAGCCGCTCCTCTGGACAGGGGCACGCAGGTCCGCTGGCTCCTGGACATGGGGCCACCTCGCGGTCTCCTTCCTTGCCAAGTCCTGCAGGACCCTTCTTGGCCGTTTCCTCTGAGTGTTTACTGCTCCCTCTGAGACAAAAGGTCCCCTGTGGCAACACAGGGCCTGGTTTCTGTGTCTCTGACTGGCCCCGAGGGGATTCGAGAACTTTCCTGTGTCCTAGAGACTCAGAAGCCCTGATTGTAAACCTCGTCCCCCCGGTCACCCCTGTGATTGGACATGAGCGCTTCAACCACTGAAAATAGCCGGGGGCTTCCCTTGCTTTTCTTCGCCTGGGAGTGACCCTGCCCCCCTCCCTCTTCGCCACCACCCGAGGGTCTCCATAATTGCCCTTTCCACCCCAGCTCCTCCCCCAGGGTCTTTACCATGGAGGCTTCTGGGCCATGTCAGCCGTGGCCTGGAGTTGGGCCTCTTTCGTGGTGAGATTTTGAACGACCCAAGCCAAGCGTGGTGTGCCCACCCTGATTCTCCACATCTCTGGGGGTGGCTGATCACCGGCTGTCCCCTGACCAGGGGCTGTTTCTTATGGTCTCATGGAAAGAGCCAGGCAACCACAGAAATCTCCTGAAATGCTGCAGATTTTAACCCAGATGGAGGCCACCTCTTCGCTCTTATTCTGGAAGATCTAGGAGAGAAGCCTGGGGTTGGCGACACCTGGTCGCATGTTTCAGATGAAGTTCTGGGATTGGAACCTGGAGTTGGTGAACACCCGGGTCCCATGTCTTAGATGAATTTTTGGGACAGGAGCCCGGGCTTGGTGAATACCTGGTCCCACGTCTCAGATGAAGTTCTGCGATTGGAACCTGGGCTTGGTGAATACCTGGTCCCACGTCTCAGATGAAGTTCTGGGATTGGAACCTGGGCTTGGTGAATACCTGGTCCCACATCTCAGATGAAGTTCTGGGAATGGAACCTGGAGTTGGCGAATCCCTGGTCTTTCATCTCCTAGAAACACAGGGAGACTAGAACCCAGCCTGTAGGAGAGAAATTGAAATACAACGGGGATGCCTGCCATCCTGCCACGATCAAGTCCACTATTCCGGCTTTCCCAAGGCATAGCCCCTTCTTGTCTACGTTTTGTGTTATCCAGCTGCTTCTCATGTTGGAGGGGAGACGGTGTGATTTCTGTCCTTCATAAGCAGGGCTTTCTGACTGCCGCATTCCTCAGGCTCATTTGGACCCTCCCCTGCACTGCCAGCCTTTGTTGCATTGTGGGGCTACCGTTTATCACACTGTTTCCAGAGGAAAACGTCTTTCAAGTACCAAGCACATCTTACAAATAAACCTAGGGCATGACTCATGTGGTTTATAGGTGGAATTACACAGATGATCGGGAAGTTGCCTTAGAAACAAAATGTTAAAAACAATGAAAAATAAAATAGAAACACTATGTTGCATTTGGAGTTTGGAGATTTGCATATTTATGAAGTTCTGCAATTTGAAAAAATATTTCTCTTCTTTCCTGGGTGTCTATTCGGAATACATTGCCATGTGTCAAAATCAACGCAATCACAATCAAGGCTGCCAGCCTGCAGCAGCCTCTGTTACAATGCTGAGATGACTTATTATTCATAGATTCATCTGAAGATAAGATTGGAAATAATTTATCTAGATCCGTGTGTGAATTGCATTTATTTTAAAGGTTGTTGCATCAGAGGCTTAAACATACCCAGCAAATTATGCCAGGAAAGGTTTTCCTCAAATCTTTCTAAACCCAGGGTGCTTGTCGGTTTAAATCTCTTGGACTGGTTTTTCTTTTAATCACTCCAATATTTGGAGACTCTTCTCCCTGTCTAGAGAGTGTGGCCTCTGGCCATCTACGGGTTCGGGTTCCTCCTCCTTTTCCCTCCACTGACCCGCACATCCCCACGGAGAAGCACGAGGAGAAAACACTCCAGCCAGTGGAGAGATGATGGCTTTTACTCTCAAAAGGAAGAAAATGAAGACGTACGGCCTTGGAGGTCCAAGATGTTGCAGTGAAGAGATTGTGTGTTTTCAGCAGTGCTTCCCCTGTGGAGATCTCTTTCCCCCACTGCGCCCAGCACACGTGTGAACGAAGCCAGGGTTCCTCTCCTCTCTCTGGGAGAGACTGGCAGGAACCGGAGGATTTACATTTGTCACCAATGATTAAGGGAATGCAAACCAAGGCCCCCCAGTCCCTTCGACGAAGCCTCTAAGCTCACTGGAGCAATCGCACCACAGTTAGGGGAAGAGCAAAGTTCAAGCCAATGGTCAAGCTCATTTTCCCGATTGACCATGGAGGGCTGATGGGCCAGGGCTTGTTCTATGTGACCCTATTTTTCAGGGAGTTGGCCATAAGCTGTTTGTCTCTCCAGGAGGAATGCTTTCTTGGCAGGGGAAGTCGAGGAAGGTGGTATTCAGGGTCGGAGAAGGAGTGTGCCAACACCTGGAGGTTAGCTCGGGGAGACAGTGGCCCTAAGTTGGCTATAATGTCCCAGGGACAGCAAGCTGGCTGGAGAACTTGGAGATATGCTGATGTCACTCAGCGGTCCCCTTCCTGATGGGGGATGGTAACTGGGACCCTTTGAGCTCAGGGCTGCTCACCTGTCCAGGATTCTGTCCTCACACTGAGGCATCACTGGTTCTGTGCCACCATTCACTGAACTGGTGTTTTCTCATGCCTTCCTGCAGGCCGCTCCTTCCACCCAGAACGCCCCGTTCCAGGCAGGCCTCTTTCTCAGCTCTGCCTTCTCTCTTCCCAGAGCCTTTCCTGACCCCACTCCCTCACCCCACACCCACCAGTGATGCAGGAGGCTGGGGTGCTTTGCATTCTGGGCACGCCTCTGTGGTTCCGTCGCAAAGCTCATCATATCACACATGAGAGAGCAAGGGCTGGAGCTGGGGCGGTGCTGGGCTCAGGGATCAGGGGGTCACGGAACTGCCCCATTCAGGAGGGTGGCAGGGGCTTGCCTGCCAGGTATGAGGTTGTACCACTGTGATGAGATAGTAACCGTGGTGGGCTGTGGATGCCTGAGCTCCGTTTGCAGAGGCTCTCCCTATGTCCCTTCCTTCTTCTATTGTAACTTTTGATATTCACAGGGCTGCTTTCATTTCCGCATGAGTTAATCACGAAATAACAGAATACAGCTTTGAAACTGTAGGCCCCTCTGCCTGCTGGCAAAAGCAGGCTTTCTGCTGAGCTTCTGCTAAGCTGCAGAAAAGCAGAGGCTGTTCTGTCTTGTGAAACCGCCCCACAACCGAGGACATTAAACTCTGGAGCCCGTAGTTCCACCCGTGACTGTATCAGCCAGGATTCAGCCACAGGCAACAGAAACCACTTGTTATTTCCATGGGGACAGAACGTAAAACAGAGTGTCCAAGGATGACAAAAGCACAGGGGCTGGAAGAGGGGGCTCCAAGCCCTCTGCCAGTGATTTCCAGAACAATCCAGAGTGGCCCACCAGTCAGGAAGCGTGGCACACTGGAAGCCCCTTGTGAATTTGCTGGCTGCAGAAGCCACGTTGCCTTCACTGGTTCGGGGAGCAGAGGCTCTGAGGCGAGGCTACTGACCACAGCTGCAAGCTCCATCCCCTCACTGCGCCAGGGAAGACCCAGACCAGCCAGGACATGGTGGGCCGAGCCCTGGCCCTGGACACGCCCAAAGCCAGAGGCTGATATGGGAACTGCTGAGGCCACAGCAAGAATGCTGGCCAGGAGAAGCCGGGGCTCCTTCCACCTCTCACTGCCGCAGCACACGGAGTAAGGTGGGAGCGTCATGCCCAGGTGCAGAGAACTCCCACCCACCCCAGCACACGGAGGAGCAGGGGTGGAGTGCCACATCCAGTGCAGAGAACACATGTGCGATTCCTGGCACCCCGGCCTCTGTAGTTAGGAAGGCCCACGAAAAGGAGAAGTGAGCTTGGCAAAGGCCGACCTCTACAGCTGCCTTAAAAATATGTGTGCCTAATAGCAAAGACTTGGAACTAACCCAAATGTCCATCAATGATAGACTGGATTAAGAAAATGTGGCACATATACACCATGGAATACTATGCAGCCATAAAAAGGGATGAGCTCATGTCCTTTGCAGGGACATGGATGAAGCTGGAAACCATCATTCTCAGTAAACTATCACAAGGACAGAAAAGCAAACACTGCGTGTTCTCACTCATAGGTGGGAATTGAACAATGAGAACACTTGGACACAGGAAGGGGAACATCACACACCGGGGCCTGTCGTGGGGTGCGGGGCTGGGGGAGGGATAACATTAGGAGAAATACCTAATGTAAATGATGAGTTAATGGGTGCAGCAAACCAACATGGCACATGTATACATATGTAACAAACCTGCATGTTGTGTACATGTACCCTAGAACTTAAAGTATCTATATATCTATATATAAAATATGTATGCCCTGGCAGTGGCCCTTAAGCTCCTGTTTGTCTTCTGACGATAGACAGACTTAGGAGCTTGCTTTGTTTAAGCCAGATGTAAAGGGTCATCCCTTCTCTCTTTCCCATACACATGGCAGTTAGAAAAAAGGAAAACCAATGATTTAGTTTGATTTCTTACATAATGAAATAATGTAATCCACTGATTTCATGTCAGTTGACACAGAGGTGCGGCACAGAAGCAGATACACAGACCAGTGGGCACGGCAGCCGCCCTGCACCCGCTGAGTCCCTCGGTGAGGGGTGTGAAGGGGAGGCTGGCTGGAGAATGGGTTTTGGAGAATTGGTGAACTCTTGAAAAAGAAACAGAACTCGTTCCTTCAGACCAGGTCAAAATTAAATTCTAGATGTTCTAGATGGGGTTGGAGGAAAAACAAAGGAAACCCCAACAGTGTCAGAAGCTGAGGAGGATGAGGAGCAACTGGCCCCTCGCTCATGGCTGGAAGGGGTGTGAAGTGGGGCCGCCCTGGGGAAGACGGGTCGGCCATCTCCTCGTAAAGGTAAATGGACACTCCCTGTCCAGGCAGCCACCCCTGGTGGGCATTTACCCAAGTGAGCTGAAGACCGATGTTCACCCAGAAACCTGTGTGTGGGGCTTTAGAGCTGCTGTATCTATAATTGCCCCAAACCAGACAACCAAGATGTTCTTTAGCAGGAGCAGGAGAAACAAGCTGTCAGCATTCGTAGAGAGGACCCTGACCCAGTGGGAAGAGACACAGACGAAGCAGGATTCACGCGGCCAGACGAGGATTCACGTGGACAGACGGGTCCCAAAGGCATTTTTTGTTTTTTTGAGATGGAATCTCGCTCTATCTCCCAGGCTGGAGTGCAATGGCGTGATCTCAGCTCACTGCAACCTCCGCCTCCCGGGTTCAAGTGATTCTCCTGCCTCAGCCTCCCGAGTAGCTGGGATTACAGGCACCCACCACCACGCCTGGCTAATTTTTTTTGTATTTTTAGTAGAGATGGGGTTTCACTATGTTGGCCAGGCTGGTCTTGAACTCCTGACCTTGTGATCCGCTCGCCTCAGCCTCCCAAAGTGCTGGGATTACAGGTGTGAGCCACCGCGCCTGGCCCTGAAGGCATTTTGCTAATTGACAAAGCCAGGCCCCAAGGCTCCGTATTGTGGGATCCCATTTCCATGCCCTTCTGGAAAAGGCACAACTGTGGAACAGAAAACAGATCCGTAATCACTGGGGTTTAGGGTTGGGGGTGGGATTGGCAAAAAGGGGGCACAGAAGGTACATCTGAGGGTGGCGGAGTGGCCCCTGTGACACTGTGGCGGTGACTGCAGATTCTGTGCTTCGGTCAAAGCCCATGGAATAAAGTGAACTTTATGAAAATGGGAATGATCCACCAGCCGGTGCGGGGTCCTGGGAGGAAAGGCAAACTAACAGCTGAATCTGACGGCATTAAAGAGGCACGGCACACCTTGCTGGGGGCAGGGTGGGGAGTGGGGCTCACCTGAGCAATTTCCGCAAAGAGGTTTTTGACTCAAGACAAAAGGAACTGGTCTGAGTGCTGGCTCCAGGCGGTAAGTTTGTCTCTCTCAGGGGTGCAGCCGAGCAACTATGTAACCACTTCACATGTATACTCAGGTGGAATAAACCAATGAATAAACAGTAGAAGGCAGGGGTCAGATTTCTCACTGTCAGAGGAAAAGTTGCACCTAAGCAAAGGCAATGTGTGAATGGACTCTGGGGCTGTATTTTATTCAGAGACCTCAGAAAAATAACACACATGCATGCAGGCACGTAGTGCACACACACACACACACACAGACACACACGCACACACACATATATAAATGTGAATGACAAACACGCCCCAGCTCAGTCCCTGAGATGGTTGAGAAGCAGTGACATCCTGCGAGAATGAACAGGTCTTGAGTCCCCACCTTGGTTTCTAACACTTCCCTAATATGGGAAAGTTCTGACCTTGGTTTCTAACCATTTCCTAATACAGGGAACCAAAGCTACCTGGGTGAGTGGGTGACTCTAGGGACGGGGCAGGAGAACTACAAGATGAGCCCAGGGCATCGTACAGCACCACAAAACCAGGAAATGCCATAAAGAGGGTGCACATGCGTCTACACTGATGTCAACACATGATTTCATAAGTAAACGAATAGTGGAGAGTCCACCAACATTCCATCTATAAGAATTTTGAATAATAGCCGGGCGCGGTGGTTCACGCCTGTAATCCCAGCACTTTGAGAGGCTGAGGTGGGCGGATCACCTGAGGTCGGGAGTTCGAGACCAGCTTGACCAACATCGTGAAACCCCGTCTCTACTAAAAATACAAAAAAAAAAAAAAAAAGCCGGCCATGGTGGCAGATGCCTGTAATCTCAGCTACTTGGGAGGCTGAGGCAGGAGAATCACTTGAACCTGGGAGGCGGATGTTGCAATGAGCCGAGATCGTGCTATTGCCCTCCAGCCTGGGCAACGAGAGTGAAGCTCTGTCTCAAAAAAAATAAAAAAACAAAACCAATAATAATTTTGAATAATAAAAGGAAAAGGACGGAGGGAGGGAGAGAACCACCCCAAGAACACCACAGTCTTAATTGCTGCAGGAATGACCCGAAGGGCAGGGGCCTTGGAGGAGAAACAGGGCATTCGCATGGCCTCAGAGTGTGTCACCCAAAGCCTGCACTCGTGACTCTGGCCGTTGTACCATATATCCACAAACTGTCTCATGCCCCTTCCTTCCGGAGGTGGGGCCTAACTCTCCTCCCCTGGAGTGTGGGTTGGACTCGTGACTTGCTTCTAACAACGGAGCAGGAAGGAGCAAAACAGTCCGTGCAGCAGAGAGCTGGGCGATGAGCCGGGTGGGGTGGGGGTCAGCCTGCTCCAGGCAGGGGAGGCAGACAGCACCCCGGCCAGGGACAGAGCTGGTGCACCCGGCACGCGTGTAGTGACGTGCAGCCGCTGCGTGACGGGAGACGGAGCCCACCGCCCCTCCGGGGAGCTCTTCCCCCAAACCCACCATGTTGGTCTCACCAGGAGAAAGCATTAGAGAGTACAAGGTTTTATAAAATCCGTGACCAGAATCCAATCTTGACAATTTCTCATTCTTTTACTTTATTGAAAATTTCTCCATCTTTTTATTTTCTTTTTTGGCCAACTTTTCAGTCTTTCTATTAAAATAATCACCTCCAGTTGTCAGAGTTTGGAGGATGCGGTGAGGAGACCCGGTGACCACACGCAGTGTGATATCCTGGGACAGAAGGAGGACGCTGAGGGAAACCCAAGTCCGAATCAAGCCTTTCATTCAGCTCGTCACATGGTATCACCGTGAATTTCTCAGAGCCACAGACGACTTAATAAGCACATCAATGTGAGCTGCGTTAGCAGAGGGGGAGCGGGTGACAGGCATGTGGACGCTCGCTGTGGCGTCTCTTCAGCTCTTCTGTAAATCTAAAATTATTTCAAGACACAAAGCAAAACAAGTAATACTTCCAAGCCTCTATTTCAGTGATCTATATTTGCAGCATTAATGAGCTACAAGAAAAACAACATGAAAAAGTCCAGCCGATGAAGCGTCGGGGACACTCTTGGGGCCTTCCTGAGTGTGGTGGGGAATGAAGCGTGACTGAAGGACAAACCCCCTCAAAGCCGAGCTGCTGTGGACCCCGGGCTCTAAAGTCCCTGATACACCGGCTGCACCTCTCCAGGCCACAGCCTCTGTCCCACCTGGGCTCCATCTGTGGGCTCAGGGGTCACCCAGGCCAGGCCCGTCTGGGTTCCCTGGAGCCTTACCCTATAGTACATGGCCACCATAGCTGAGGGAACCCACGTGTGGGGGATGGATTTCCAGGCTGGAAGCCTCCGGCAATGCTGTCCACCTGGTGGGTCCCCTTCTGTGTGTCTGCCTTTCCCTGTGACAGCTCTGGCCATGTCACCGACAAACACCTCTGGGTCTCGGCCGCCGCCACACGCTCCTGCGCACCGCCCACCTGGAGGCACCACCCCAGAGACACGAGCCTCGTTCTTCTGAAGAGCCGTAGTCTACACCTTTATTTTATTCCGGAGAGTCATTAAAGGGAACCAAATCCGTATCGGGGCAATGTCTGCTTTGGGGCCCAGTGTCCCCCCAGTTTGTCAGATAGCCGTGCTTCTGCGTCGCTGCCTCCTCCACCCTAAAATCTCAGCCGAGGAGGCCCAGGAGGACACTTGGAATATGCAGAGGGGGAGACGTGGACGAGGGATGACCAACAAACCAATAAAACCCTGACCTGGAGGCGAAGGTTCTAAACACGGAGTGGGGAGTCACCGGTGTGGGGTCTCCTTCACAAGCGGCCTTCGAAATCAGAAGAGATTCCTTCCCTGCTTATGCCAGGGGAACTAAGAATCAGCCCACAGGCAGTGGATTGGCCAAAGTGACCTTTCAGGACGCTGGCCTTGTGCCTCTAACATCTCCCGAAGAGCTGATGAAGCCGAGCCACTTGCTGTTGTGTGTTGAAAATGGTGCAAGACCCTACACAATCATCCCTGAACCCATAATGCTGATGCTCTGATGTAAAAGGAATATTTTCCCCTTGAGATAAAATGCCATCAGATGCCATCTGTGCCGCCTGTAATTTTAGCCATAAATCCTCGTTGTATTTATTGGAGATTTGTTTTTCAAGATGGCTAATTTTAGTCTCCAATTCAACCGCACACTAATTTTCTTGTTTCTTTCTTGCTGAGAAATCTGATATAACAGCTCCTCATAGAAAGGGCTTGGCAGGTTTCCAAAGCCCAACAGCCTCATTTACTTAGAGAGAGGTTATTTTTTCTTTCTTCCTCTCTCCCCTCTCCCTCCTTGTTTTGGTAGCACGGTTAGAATTCAGAAGGGTTGAAATAAAAACAGGATTGCCCTTGTAGAGACAAGTGAGGATGAGCTGGGTGCGGTGGGCATGGAGGCGAGGGGTCAGCCTGCTCCAGGCAGGGGGAAGGTGTCCCTGGACTCGGGGCTGTGGAAGGGGCGTCCCTATCTGGGAGCGCAAGGAAATAGAACAGCAGCAGGAGGGATCTCCGAGCCCAGCACCACGACATTCCCCGGGCACAGCGTTACGCTGTGGAAAACATTTGGAAAGCTTCCTTCATTTTTCTGAAATAGCTGAAGTGATGCAGAAGGTTGGCTGAAAGTCTAAATCTAATTACAATAGATAATCTGGAACAGCCCGTCAATGGGGAAGGAATTGTGGGATGGAAGCTTTTTAAAAAGAGGCACTTAGCCATGAAATCTGCATATACCAGTAAATTTCATCTACAGCAATCAAAATGTGCATCTTCCATCTATTTCCAAAAACTCTGAGTTCTCTTGAGAAGCACCATGACTTGAGTGGAAAATTTTCGGACTGGAGGTGCACGGAAGGGCATTCTATCAGTGGGATGTGCCTTCCTCCAAGGCCTGAGAAGGAGCCCGCCTTCTCCCATCACCCAGGACAAGATTCCCCCACACAGGGGAGGACGCAGGGGAGGAAGATGCCCTGGAGCTTCTTAGAAAGCTCAGAGCTCAGAAAACAGATGACTGGGGTGAGGATTCTTTTAGATGCTGGCTTATGTTGGAATGTGATTACTGGGGGGAAGAATCCACTTCACCATTAGGTGAAAGCTAAATACAGCTACCATTGCTGACAGCATCATCACAGCAAAACTGTTCCACAAATATTCTTGCTCTTGCCGTGTTAGAGGCAAGGCTTAGAGAGGCTAACAGCCTGTCCCAAGCTACCTGCAAGTGTGGGGCAGACCTCCACTCTGCTGTCAGCCTGCAGAGCCCAAACTGGTGCCTCAACCACCTTGCGTCCTGAGGCAGGGTTCCTGTCTCCAGGGGGTCCCCTGAGCCTTATGCACTGCCAGGCACATAATAGGTTCTCAAGAACCATCTAGTGCACATTTTAATGAAAATTGATTATATTTATTTTTTGTCTCTTCAATAGAGGCATCTTATGATATCCTGATTCAATCAGAAGTCACCCAAAGCATCATTTCCTGTGAAGTGAACACAAATCACATACAGACATTGGTGGACACATTGAGAAGCTGGCACCTCCTGAGAAGTGAGAATAGGGTTCTGCTCTCCCCTCCCTCTCTCTGTCCCTTCTTCCCTCTCGAATCCCTTCCATCTTTCCATAGCCACACAGGGAGACGTCACACAGACCGTGTCCTGGCAAGGTGTATATATAGAGAGAGGGAATTTATTACAGGTATTAACATCCACAAATGCTAGTTTATGGGATACATGATGTTGAAGGAGGAAAAATGAAAAGTGCAGGTCCCCACGCTGCAGTGTGTGAAGTCTCACTGCCGGGCAAGGCTTCACCGGATGGCCAGTGAGGAAGGCTGGTGCACATCCACAATGAGGGCAGAGAAGCTCTCCAAGACGAAGATGCCAACATGGCAACGAAGCCATCCATCTGCAGCCCTCGGTCCAATGCATCAGACCCAGAGGCTGGAGGAGCCATTTCAAAAAGACAATGTAACCCCCTGCACACGGCATAACTCATGGTGCAGGGCCAGGAGACACGGCACCTGCTCCTCACGAGGCTCCTGCCCAAGTCAGACTGGTCAGTGATGTTGGAGAGAAACGACCCTTGGCCAGCTGTTCATTGACCTCTGCGTCCCATTCCCAGACTGTCTGTGATTCTAAAATCCACCTGCCATTGTCATCTCAGGGAACTGACATTTGACTGTGAATCCTGGACTCTGACTTGACTCCAAATCGTCCCTCCAGAAGGGCTGTTTCACAGAAAGGCAAGAACTTCATGCCGTCCAGAAACACGGCGTTACCTGTCCTGAACAGCTGGCACGTGAGCACACAAAGCCAGGGTGGAAGGAGCGTTCAAGTGCTCTCCCACCGCGGACAGTCAGCCTGGGGTCAGGGAGTGTAGGGCTGACCAGGTGCCCTGGCCAGGGTCGTCCCGTGCCCCACGCTGCACCTGCATCCCTCAAATGCAGAGTGATGTCAGCGCCCGGGTTGGTCCGTCCATTTGTAAGGGCGGGATGGACACCCCGCAGGGGCTGGGGGTTCACATACTCAACACTGAGTCACAAAGCATGGAGACACCAAATACACACACACAAGACTCACACAGACAAAACTGAGACATACCAAACATGGAGACACAATATGGACACACAATGCTGACACACAGGCAATACAGACACACAATACTAACACACACCACAGTCACACAACACTAACACACATCACACACAACAGGGACACATGCAAGCAACACTGACTCACACACATAATGTGGACACACACAGCACTGAGACACACACAACACAGACACAACACTAACACATGTCACACTCACACAACAGGGACACACACATACAACAGTGACCCACACACAACGTAAACACACAGAGCACTGAGACACAACACAGGCACAACACACACACCACACTCACACAAGGACTCACACATACAACACTGACCCACACACAGTGTGGACATACACAGCACTGATACACACACAACATGGACACACACCAGCGGGCTTATGCAAACAACACTGACACTTACACACCCTGCTGACACACGCCACACAGACACACATCACTCGCACTCACGACGCTGACTCTCCTGCACCTGCCCCCTTCTGCCTTGTGCCCTGTGGCCCCCATCCTGGCCAGGCCTCGGCGATTACCAAGGGCCAAGCAGATGTGGCCAGTGGTCGGGAGACTGTTTTCCTTTGTTAAGGGACGCACAGCCGTGGGTGGTTCCCAAGCTCCGGGGCTGTGCCTGTCCTGCAGGGTTAACGGAAGCCCACCAGCCTCTCTGCCCATCTCTGTCTCCACCCGGGCAGCTGTCTGGTCAGGACAGCATGAGGGGCAGGGGATCCTAGGCTCAGAGGAGGGGCTCAGGGTTCTGTGTCCTCAAGCCATGTCCTCCAGGGCTTCTTAGCCAAGGTGCCCCCGTCACTGATGGCTTTTAGTAGAGCATAGTGCTATCTCTGTTAGTGGTTTTTATACCTATTCTCTATTATATAAAATAGATACATCTTTACAGTCACATGTGTGCAAAAGACACATTTTTACCCAAATGGGTTTAATATTTTAGACATTGATTTTTAGCATCTAATAATAGATAATTTATTTGAAAATATTTGAACCCCTTACCATGACCACCCGTGTGGATTTGACATATGACACTGTTGGGTGCAGAGACCATGATTTATTAACATGTCCTTTGGTGGTAGACAATTAAGGCTTTCCAATTTTTTCCTGGTTTCTGAGATGTCACAATCAACATTCTTTTTCACAAATGTTTGTGTCCTTATGCAAATATGTCTATTTTGAAATAACCCCTAGAAGTGGACGTATGTGTCCAAGGTACCTGCATTTTAAGTTGCAAAGAAGTTGTCAATTGTCTCCGGATGGTTGGTGCCTTCCTAAGTTCCACAGCAGTGTACGGCGACGTCTGGTCTCCCACGTCCGCCCAACCCCGGGGGCTGCTCAGTCACGAGCCTTTCCAAGTCCTGTCTGAACAAGGGCTGCTCGTCTGCTGATGAGGGCGTTGCTGAACCCCCGGCCAGCCGACGACCCCTCCCCTGTGTTCCTGCCCCATGAATCCCCGATTTCTGTGGGCTGCCTCAGCTCATGTCCTCGGCTGCTTTGCTCTTCTCTTGGATTGTTTACCTTTTTACAACTTGTAAGCGATCTTTGTGTATTAATGACATTATTAACCTTTTCTGTGATATGTGTGACAATGTATTTCCATTTTGTACCTTTGCCTTTAAATCTTTATGATATTTTTAAATTGCCTGAAGCTTCTCAAATTTTTTCTTTTATAGCTCACAGGTTGTGTATAATGCCTTGAAAGCTTTCTTTTTTGGTATTTTCTTCTTTTTCCTCCGTATTTTCTTCATGGTTTCATTTTCAGCCCTGGTTCCATCTGGAATTGTGTGTGACTTTATATTTAAAGTGATAAATACTCCAACTTTTTTCTTCTGGCTGCTTAGGGCCCTGCAGTGGTTACCAAGGAAGCACCTCAGCTCTGGAGCTAAATCCTTTGCCCTGTGCTAAATCCCACCCGTGTTTGGGACCTGTTTGGATTGTGAAAACCCTGCTGGGTTTGTCTGCCTATCTGTGCCTGCAGAAGTCTAGAAGCACCTTCATCATCCGGTTTAAATTACGTTATTGGCCGGGCGCGGTGGCTCATGCCTGTAATCCCAGCACTTTGGGAGGCCAAGGTGGGTGGTTCACCTAAGGTCAGGAGTTCGAGACCAGCCTGACCAACATGGTGAAACCCTGTCTCTACTATAATACAAAATTAGCCAGGCGGAGTGGCACGTGCCTGTAATCCCAGCTACTCAGGAGGCTGAGGCAGGAGAATCGCTTGAACCTGGGAGGCAGAGGTTGCGGTGAGCCGAGATCGCGCCCTTGCACTCCAGCCTGGGCAACAAGAGCAAAACTCCGTCTCAAAAAAAAAAAAATTACATTATCACACCAGGGAGGTGCAGCCCTTCCCAGCCCTGGTTTCCTTGGTCATACGTTTATTTTTCCAGATAAACTTTAGAATTATTTTACAGCATTTCCAAACATCCTGCTAGTATTTTATTTGGGGTCTTAGTGAGTGTGTGAGTGAATCAGGAAGCATCGCTGTCTGGAAGGCACCTCACGACTTCCGGGAAGGAGAGGCGTTGGCCGCTCTGGCTGTGTCCCCAGAACCTGTGTCCCTAGAATCTGTGTCCCTAGAACCTGAAGCAGGGACTGGGCTCAGCGCATTGTTGGATGTTGGATCCTGATGGCCTCAAGTCTTCCTGTTCGGGACAGATGTGGATTTTTATTTTACATTCCTCAACAGAATGTCAAATTTTCTCTTTTAGGTCCTGCTCATTCACATCTGCTCCTTTGCAAGCTGCTCCTCTGGGTGCTGCTGGTGGGGTCTCCTTTCCCCTCCCAGCCCCTCCCAGACAGCACTTGGCTCTCTAAGACACCTGCTCGGCTGCCTGGCTGTTCTCCCTCTGCAGAGCTTCGCCACGTGTCCGCGTGAATCCCTCCCTCCCTTCCTGCAAGGCTCTGCCAAGAATCACCTTCTTCATGCAACCCTCCCTAGCCACCCCATGTGAACGCACACAGACGTGCACATGTGCCACAAACAAATGTGTGTATACAGACGTGCACACATGTATACGTGCTCACATGTGTGCAGACATTCACACGCATGTGCGTGCACACAGATGCACACAAACACAGAACTCCCCACCCTCCCCTGCCTCACGCTTTGCATAAAGCGCTGGCTGTCTCACGTGATGAGCGTTTTTCTTATGTACTTGATCTGCCGTCTGTCCCCCCACCTAGATTCCAGGAGGACACAGAGTTCCCACAGTTTCTCCCCCGTGGTGTCCCCACCACTTAGAACAGTGGCTTGCAGGCAGTGGGGCTTAATCAGTAGGTGTTCAGCGGCCACGCTGCCCTCCTCTTGTGCCTCTTACGTGAATCTTGCCACTCTCAATGCGTCCGTGACCACTCACTTTTAGCCACTCCCCCGGAAGCTCTTAGCGACTGGATGCCAGATGTGGGGTGGGGGGAACACAGTGAATGACCCCTCCCTCATGAGCTCTGCGTTTGCAGGGAGTGCCCTGTCCTGTGTCCCCCAGAAAGCCTAGCGCTTGGTGTTAATTATACGATGGCTCATGATTCACATATAAATTGATGTGATGAGTGGAAATAACAAAAGTGGCATCCTCAGGAAACCAGGAACGGTTAAGACACTAATTCCAAATGTTCTTATCTGGTTGCTAAAGCAGACCCTGGTCTCTGTTACTAAATGTACTTGAACGTTGAACAGGAGTGTTCCCTGCACTGACTCCACAGCATGCCCTCGTGCTAACGCCTACACTTGGTGCGGGCAGTGGGGATTTTTGGCCCCCAGGGTAGCCCTGATGGCCTTTCCCCAAAAGGCTTCCCATCTGTGACCTCACCAGGTGGCCCAGGGGTAGAAGTGGTCAGTCACACAGTCCTTGCATGGCAGCTGCCCCTGTTCCGCCCGGGCAGCAGCTGGGAGGCCTTCCTCCTTGTTGACTATCTCTGCAGAACCATCTCTTAAGCAGGGGGCTGGGAGTCATCCTCACCTCCCTCCCTGGCCTCTTCTCCCCATTCCAAGCCTTAGGATTCTTTTGTGTGGAGGATTTTGGCTGAGAGATCCTGTGGGTGGCCCTGTCTAAGGTGCGTAAGCTGTCCCAGACTTGGAACAGAGAGAGAGAGAATTGGTAATACAAGCTCTCTATCTGAGATATATGCAAAAAGTAGATCTTCTCAATTATCCATAAACTTTAAATCTCAAGTTTTTTAGTAGAAAATCTCCCTGGACATCTGAGAGCTGCTTCCATCACAGGCAATGGGAACGCACGTACAAGATGCACAAACTCACCATGAGTATTTCTTAAGTACCTACTGAATAATTGGCTCCTGCCAGCATGCTAATGGAAGCCCAGAGGACCCGAAGTTGACTCAAAGCCCTTCATCTACAAAGGCACCTGTTCCATTTGCATTTTCACCTTATGTGCACTCATTACTATTTCTTTTATATGTTACTAATTATGCACCTTCAGACGTCGCTTTCCCTTTCTTCCATGTGAAAGCAGTTGAATTGCTTGGTGAACAATAGAAAGGGAGATGTTTAAAAAGCACATTTGCACACGTGAACACATCTGGTGAGCATGCTGCATCCCAGCCACGCAAGGGCAAAGGCGCCCACTGGAAGGTGAGCCCGCAAGAGACTGGGCCAACACCGAGCACGGAGGGGATCAGAGCGTGTGTGTGTCCCGGCGGTGTCCAGGTTAATTGCACAGACGCCCTTCCCTCCCTGCTCCTTCTTTACCAGCAGAGGAGCTCTGCCTCCTCACAAGGCAGCTGCTGACTGACAGTCCTGGCTTAAAGAGGAGCGTTTGAGCTCTTTGACATTGTCACAGAGCAAATTGGCACAGCCCCAAAGCTTCTTCAGAGCGTCCACTGCCGTGCTTAATGAGAAGCGAGACAAGAAGATCTGTGGGAGGAAGGACAAAGGCCGCAGGAGCTACCAGGTGTCAGAGATGGAAGCAAAGAGGAAGCAGGAAAATGAGATAAAGGGAGAGGAGGCACAGTACTGGGAAGGCCATGGAGGGTCTCAATGGGCAATGCCAATGGGGCTGAATGTCCTTCACACTCTATGGCCTAACCACAGTCAAGGTGCCCTGTGAGACCTGCAGAGAGTAACATCACTTCCAGAGGACTTTAGGGCCTTATTATCAGCCCAGTCCAATAAAATCAAAAGCATCATCCATTCATCCATCCACCCATCCATCTACCCACCCACACATCCATTGACCCACCCATCCATGCTCCATCCATCCATCCTTCCACTCACACATCCATCCATCATCCATTCACTCATTCACATATCCATTTATCCATCCACCACCCATCCACACATCCATGTCATACATATATTCAGGCACCCACCCATCATCCATCTGCCCATCCACACCTCCATTCATTCATGCAACTATCCATCTACCCACCCACACATCCATTTACTCACCCATCCTTTCATCTACACATCCATCCACCCACTCATCTACAATCCAGCTATCCATTCTTCCACCCACATCCATTCATCCACCCATCCATCCACCCATCCACACATCCACGTCATACATACATTCAGGCACCCACCCATCATCCATCTGCCCATCCACACCTCCATTCATTCATGCAACTATCCATCTACCCACCCACACATCTATTTACTCTCTGCAGGTCTCACAGGGCACCCATCCTTTCATCCACACACCCATCCACCCACTCATCTACAATCCAGCCATCCATTCTTCCACCAACATCCATTCAGCCACCCATCCATCCACCCATCCACACATCCAATCCATCCATCCACCACCCATCCACACATTCACATCATCAATCCATACAGGCACCTGTTCCTCTACCTACCCACACATCCATCCACCCACCCATTCATGATCCATCTATTCATCCTTCCACCATCCATCGACTCACTCATCTACCCATGCATCCATCCATCCATCCATCATCCATACACCCATCCACACATCCATTCATTGATTATCCACCACCCATCCATCATCTCTCCACCCATCCACACATCATCCACCCACTCATTCATGATCCATCCTTCCATCCACCACCCACCCATCCATCCATTCATCCATCCATCCACCCACCATCATCCATCCATTCACACATCCATTCACTCATGTACCTATCCATCTGCCCACCCACACATCTATTTACTCACCCATCCTTCCATCCTTCCACCATCCATCCACCTGCGCATCCATCCATCCATCCACCCACCCACACATCCATCTATCCATCCATTTACCCACCCACACATCCATCCACACATCCATCCATCCATCCATCCATCCATCCATCCATCCATCCATCCATCTTTCCTTGCTTCCATCCATCCACCCATTAATCTCAACGTTCAGCTCTGAGGGTCATGGGTGCTATCTGGGTTTGAACTCAGTCTCTGTGACATACAAGCTGTGGGTTTGTGCACAAGTTATTTCATTCTTTGTGTTTTTGATTCCATGCAAAATCATGGAAATGATAGCACCTTCTTCCCAGAGCTGTTGGGAAAATTAAATTAGACTGGAGATGTGGACTTAACACAATGCCTGGCCCACATTCAAGCTCATGGTCGTTAGCTCTTCATGTGGTGGTGGCTGTTATTTTAGACCTGAAGTGTTTATGGAAGGCTTTGGGGAGGCTCTATGTGAGCACAATCCTAGAGGGAGGGCTTTGGTCAGGAGAGGCAGCCTGGACAAAGGAACAACTGGGGAACAACAGAGCACCATGAGAAGCCAAGGCTGAAGGGGAGGGTGTGAGCGTGCTTTGGGCAAGGCTGAAGGGGAGGGTGTGAGCGTGCTTTGGGTAGGGCTGAAGGGGAAGGTGTGAGCGTGCTTTGGGCAAGGCTGAAGGGGAAGGTGTGAGCGTGCTTTGGGTAGGGCTGAAGGGGAAGGTGTGAGCGTGCTTTGGGCAGGGCTGAAGGGGAAGGCGATGGAGGGGAAGGTGTGAGCGTGTTTTGGGCAGGGCTGGAGGGGTGGGTGTGAGTGTGGTTCAGGCAGGGCAGGTGGTAGGGGCCAGTGTGGGTCCTGCCCAGGAGGGGCCTGGCTGCTCTATCTCAGTGGCCCCCTGTTCCAGCTTCTTTATTTTGCCCACGTGGGTCTGAGACTCCAGTTGGCTCCACTCCAGGGTCATCCGCTCCATGCTGGCTGTTGGGGCTCACACTCTGGTAGGTTCAAATCAAGGGTCCTCATGTATTTTTTTCAGTCCTAAGGAAGTGGCCACATCCTTTCCGGGTTTCAGTTTTCTCATGTTGAGAATTAGTATCTGAATATTTTGACATGAATCCTTTGGAAGACATAATGAAATAATTCCCTCACTCAGTAAGGTTTACCAAGCTCTCAAGTATACCAGGCCCTGACCTCAACAATGGGGGACGGCCGTGGACAGGGAAAAATTCCTGGAGTGGTGACATCCATGCCCCGGTGGCCAGAGGCAGACACTGGACACACCACGCATTGACTCTGGGGATGGCGAGCACCATATAGAGAACAAGGTGGCTGGGGACTGGCCAGCCACGGACAGTGGACGGCATCTCCTCTGCTGAGACGACATTCATCACTCTTGGGTACAAGGAGGGTGTGAGCTTTGGGGATGTCCAGGGACGGGCAAAGGGGGCAGTGACCTCAGCGTGGTGACGTTCTGCCTAAAGAAGTCACTGACTCTCAGCCCATGTTGTCAGCTGAAAGAAGGCAAATGCTGGCTAGTAGCTAAAACATTTTCCTTCTGGAATTCTCTTTCTTTCCGAAATACACTGCTTTGAAATTCATGAGTGATTGTCTGCTGATTGCAAACTCTGGGTTTTGTTCCTCTGAAAATACCTTCCTATCTCTCTCCTTATCAAAAATATTTTTGCGAGTTTGCCATTTAAGTTCGGCAGTTATTTTCTTCCAGGGCTTTGAAGATCTTATCCGACTGTCTTCCAGCTTCCAGGGCTGCTGAGGAATCGCCTGCTGGGTGGAGTCCCCTCCCCCTGAGCAGGGGGCCTTCTTTTCTCTGCAGCTGTTGACTTGGTGATTTGCATTTTCAGCAGGAGGTGTTTAGATGTGTGTGTTTAGGGAGTCAGGGAACCTTTCGGGGCGCGGCGCCCATGCCTGTCCCAGGTGCCATCCTGTGAGCCCTCTCCTATTCCCCAGTAAACACCTGCTCACCATCTCTTCTCTTTTTCCTCCTGCGACACTCAGGGACACACTGGGCCTCAATCCTTTGAGTTTCTTAACCCTTTTCATTCACATTTTTGGTCTTTTTGTCCTTCTGCTTCACCGGGAAACTTCGACGACGTCTTTCCATTTTCTTGAGTTGTGTCTGACTGGCAGTTGGTTTTAAATTCCATCCATCTGTTTGTGTATCTTTCACGATGCTCCATTTTAATTCTGAGAGTCCTTGTTCCTCCCCCACGTTCCCCCACCCCGCGCCCCGCCTCCCCTGGACTCAGCTCTGCTGTGTGAATTCTGAGCTGCAGCCTCCCAGTCCTGCCAGACCTCCGCCCTGATCCTGCATTTCTCTGCTTCCCTTGACTCATGGGTGAGGTGGCTTTTCCTTGGCGAGGCTGTGATGTCTGTTTAATGCAACCCCGTGCTGCCTGCAGGTGTGGGGAAGCACAGCCCTGGCCGAGCGCTGCGTCTGTCACTGAGAACTGCGCGTGGACGGCGTGTCGGCCCCGTGAAATCGCTGGCCTTTCCTGTGGGGGGAGGCGGGGGCTGCACACGTCGGTGAGGGTGGAGGCGCTGGGCGAGAGGTGGACGGGTGGGCACACGTCGGTGAGGGTGGAGGCGCTGGGCGAGAGGTGGACGGGTGGGCACACGTCGGTGAGGGTGGAGGCGCTGGGCGAGAGGTGGACGGATGGGCTCTCTTCTGTTTCCTCTGCTTTGCCAGAGCCAGGCAGGGGGACCCTCTCCCGTGAAGTCATGGGAAGAGAGACCAGGATCCCTTTTCCAGCTCATGCTCCAAATTGTGGCCGTTTGGGGTGTCCTGGCTTTATGGATGTCTGGATTCCGAATTCTCCCGCTTTTAGGGTCCTGCCCCTGCTCCTGCCCCCGCACGCTGCCCACAGCAACTAGCTTCAGGCCCAGGACTGAGCCACCTGTGGTGCCCTCCTGCCCGTCCCGCTCTCCTGAGGGCAGCCCCCATGGCTGGCGGCGTTTCTGTCCTTATTACCAGCGCAGCCACAGGCTTCCACATCTTACCCGGCGTTTCGGCTGCTCTGAGTCAGAAGGGCTTCGCAGGTGCTTTTTCTGAATTCAGCCACATAAACATTTCCTTGTGTATGTGTGTATGCGTGTATGCATGTGTGTATGTGTATATGTGTATGTGTGTGTGTGCGTATGTGTGTATGTGTGTATGTGTGTGTGTATGCGTGTATGTGTGTATGCATGTGTATGTGTGTAGTGTATATGTGTGTATATTTGTGTATGAGTGTGTGTGTTTGTGTGTATATGTGTGTCTGTGTCTGTGTGTGTACATGTGTGTCTGTGTGTACGTGTGTGTATGTGTATGTATATGTGTGTATGTGTGTGTCTGTGTCTGTGTATGTGTATGCGTGTGTCTGTGTGTCTGGGTGTATGCATGTGTCTGTGTGTGTGTCTGTGTGTGTATGTGTTTCTGTGTGTATGTGTATGTTTGTGTGTGTCTGTGTGTGTACGTGTGTGTCTGTATGCGTGTGTCTGTGTGTATGTATATGTGTGTATACGTGTGTGTGTGTATGTGACAGGGAGACAGAACAAACCTGCCCGGGGTGGAGGAGTCCTTCCCAGCGCAGCAGCACTTCCAGGGTTACTGCCCCGTTTTATCCCATTTTTGCTGAATCTGTCTAAGCCATGGGATTTTGGAGAGAAGCACCTGAAGGCCCAATCGCTTCTCCCTGAGCCCCTGGATCTTGTGGAAGGCTGGAGGCTGGGCCTCCGCGGCACCGTGTTGCCTTCCCGCTGGGGAGACGGAGGCGGTCGTCTCCCGGGAGGCCTGTGTGTTCCGGGGGCTGCTGAGTGAGAAGCTCATTTCGAATCCAGAGGCGTCGGCCTCAGGATCAAAGAGCTCACTGTACTCCTGCCTGTGTAACAAGGGCCCTTTCTTCTAGATTCTATTTTTAGATGTAATGTTACCACACTCCACTTGTTTGCTAAATGAACTCATTTTTAATCAAAAATTGCTATCATTAATTATCAGCTGTGTAATCAATATTCATTTTAATTCCGCGGATAAGACTCCCCCTTGAGTTCCCCACCTGACTCGCACACACTCACACACACCCCACAAGGAAATTTATTTTCATCAGGGTTCTATGCATCATTAAGAGGTAGTTTGTCTTATTACAGCCTGTTATTAATGTTCAGAATTCATTTAATTTCACTTTTAACTGACTGTAGCAATGGGATAATTGATTTCATCGGGGAGGCCATGGCAGCCGGTGTGCTGGGAAGTGGCAGGAAAGCTGAAGTTGAGTGTCCTCAGGGCCCAGGGGGACCTGAAGCCCCGAGTGCCCCACCCCAGGGCTCTCAGACTTCACCCTCGCTCTCCTCTCCATCCCACCAGCACCTCAGTCAAGGGAACTCATTCACAGCTCACCCTGTTCCTGACTACATGGTATCATGGACAGGGAAAGAGCCCAAGGTGGCCGGCCACACACAGCCCTGCTGAGCCAGGGAGGATGGAAGGTGCCCCGCGCCCCCTGCCCTGTCCGCAACCCCTGCCTGGTCCGCGCCCTCCAGCCTCTCTAGCACGGCCCATCACAGCAGGGGGCTTTCTCCCCGTGGCCCCACAGGAATGGGGTGCTGCCTCCTCGCTGGGCTGGGGGCTTTGTGGGAGCATTGTTCCGACTGCCTGCACTTGTAGGGTGGGCCGGATCATGCCGATCTCTCTGAAAAGAGAGGAGAGATCAAGTTCAAGTTCACTGATGGCCTTGAGGAGCAGACACAGCAGACTCCAAAACTCAGGACCCCCCACTAACCCTGTTCAGATGCAGTGTCTCCCAGACACACATAAAAGCACAGCTGAGATCTGAGGCTGGGCCACGTAAAGCTAGTAGGCTGGTCAGACAGCTGTGACAGGATATTCTGCATTTAACACACGAAAACGATATTTCTGGAATTCTCATGAAGAAAGTAAATGGCCATTTTCTTGTGTGATGATGCTGAGTCTTACACAATAACTGTGTGGGGAAGTCATTCCAGAAGCCCACAACGATGGCGAAAGCCATATATGAACATTTTCGATGCTTGCACAAATAAATATTTATGACTTCTCTATGCCAAAATATAATTAAAAAGCTGCCAACTGGGGTAATACTTCGGATTTATGTGATAAAGAGTGAACGTTCCCTATGTAGAAAGTGCTTCTACAAATCCATAAGGAAGTGATGAAAAATACTTAAAAATGGGCACAGGGAACCGTCTGGCAATTCGGAAAGGGATATTCACAAACGAGCCCTCAGCAGACCAGGAAACACTCAGGCCTTCCACCCACCGATAGTGGAGGACGCGTTGGCGGAACAGCACCCTGGTGTCTATGCTCAAACCAGCCCTGGCTGGGGGTGGAAGGGGCTCCCCGTGACTCAGGGCCCTGGGTTGGGGGTGGAAGGGGCTCCCCCTGACTCAGGGCCCTGGGTTGGGGGTGGAAGGGGCTCCCCCTGACTCAGGGCCCTGGGTTGGGGGTGGAAGGGGCTCCCCCTGACTCAGGGCTCTGGGTTGGGGGTGGAAGGGGCTCCCCCTGACTCAGGGCCCTTGTTGGGGGTGGAAGGGGCTCCCCCTGACTCAGGGCCCTGGGTTGGGGGTGGAAGGGGCTCCCCCTGACTCAGGGCTCTGGGCGGAGAGGGGAAAGGGCTCCTCCTGACTCGAACCAGCCCTGGGCGGAGGGTGGAAGGGGCTCCCCCTGACTCAGGGCCCACAGGGTTGGCTTTCATCATCCTCCTGGGAGCACCCGGATAGATAACATTAGACACCAGCTTTTCTACTTGAGTCGTAATCTTCAAACAGGCAAGCATTGTTGACACACACGTCGCTTATGATGGGAGAAGATGGATGTAACCCAGGGGGTCCTACAAAGGGGTGCTGATTAAGGAATCAGCAGAGCTCAGCTGCAGACCGCCCCTTCCAGATTTGCCGACGCCTTTCGATAGAGGATGAGAAACGGAGAGTGAGCGTGTGTCTGTTACTTCCCGCAGGGGCCTCCTGTCGGGGGAAAGCAAACATGACCTTGTTCCTATCAGTGGATAGAAAGCAAATTTTTGTTTGCTTTTAGTAGTGCCAATTTTTGTTAAAAAAGGGGAGTCAGTGGAGCCAGGGAAGAGACGTGGTCTTCCCCCTGCGGAGCTGGAGAGGGAGGGCCTGCTGAGGGCAGCCCGAGAACCAGCTGCCAGCTGGACGCAGAGGCCCGAGAGCCAGCCACTAGCCGGACGGAAGGGCCTGAGAGCCAGCCACCAGCTGGAGAGAGAGACCTGGCATTCCCAGCCCCTTGGGGAACCTCTAGAGTCAGCCCCATTGAGTATCTGGGCTGCCATCACCAGTCCTCAGCTTTGCCTGCTTTTGAAAAAGAAGTAAACGGAATTTTGCAGTTTGCACCTTTGGATTGTCTGCTGTGTTTTGATACTGGGTGTGGAGGGTGAATGCCTGCTGCTGTGCACGGCAGCTGTTTGTAGCTCAGGATGATACACAGCTGTGAAGACGCTATACTCGATCCACCTTTCCTACCACTGCTGCCCATTTCAGTGGGAACATTTTTAGGTTTAGCTGTTAGGCATGTTGCATCTATTGGGTATAAACTCAGTAGTGGACTTGCTGGGTGATATGGTTTGGCTGTGTCCTCAGTCAAACCTTATCTTGAATTGTAGCTCCCATCTTCCCCATGGGTCTTGGAAGAGACCCACTGGAGGTAATTGAATCATGGGGGCGGGTTTTCCCCTGCTGTTCTCGTGATAGTGAATAAGTCTCCTGAGATCTGATGGTTTTATAAAGGGAGTTCCCTTGCACACGCCCTCTTGCCTGCTGCCATAAGACATGCCTTTGCTTCTCCTTCACTTTCTGCCATGATTGTGAGGTCTCCCCAGCCATGTGGGACTGTGAGTCCATTAAACCAACCTACCTACCTTCCTTTCTTTCTTTCTTTCTTTCTTTCTTTCTTTCTTTCTTTCTTTCTTTCTTTCTTTCTCTCTTTCTTTCTTTCTTCTTTCTTCTTTCCTTCCTTCCTTCCTTCTTTCTCTTTCTTTCTGTCTTTCATTCTTTCTTTCTTCTTTCCGTCTTTCTTTCTTTTCTTTCTTTTTTTGTTGAGACAGAGTCTTGCTCTGTCACCTAGGCTGGAGTACAGTGGTGTGATCTCGGCTCACTGCAACCTCTCCCTCCTGGGTTCAAGCAATTCTCCTGCCTCAGCCTCCCAAGTAGCTGGGATTACAGGAGCCCGCCACCTTGCCCAGTTAATTTTTGTATTTTTAGAGACAGGGTTTCATTATCTTGGCCAGGCTGGTCTCGAACTCCTGACCTCGTGATCTACCTGCCTCGGCCACCCAAAGTGCTGGGATTACGAACCTCTTTTTCTTTATAAATTATCCAGTCTTAAGTATTTCTTCATAGCAGAAGAAATGAAAATGGACTCCTATGAAAATTGACTCATACACTGGGCCATACAGTCGGGGTGTTTTTACCTGTGGTAGATACTGAAATACAGTTTTCCAAGGAGGCTGAAGCCACCAACATTCACACGAGCAGGTGTGAGGACCGCAGTTCCTCTTCCCGCTCCTCCGCAGCACCGGGCACCGTCTGCTCTCACACGCTGGCCTCTCTGGGGAGTGCGACACGGTTTTCACTCCCATGACCGTGAAGACTAGTGGGGCTGAAGATCTCTTCTGTGCTCGGTGCACATCAGACACCCTTTCTGTGAAGTGCCTATTTCAGATTTCACAGTTTTCAGTCGACCCGTCTTTCTTTGTCTCACTGGTTTGTATGTCTCTTCTGTGTGTTGGCTGCAAGTCCGAGGTTGAGAGAAGTCCTGTGATGTCTTCTTCTCCTTGGGGCTTACCTGTCCACTCTTAGAGCTGTGTTTTCGAGGACAGAAGTTCTTAAGCTGAGTGTCTACCAATGTCTACATTCTACATGTGGCAGGTGCTTTCTGGGGCCAAGTCAAAGTTCTCTGTCCAACGCAAGGTCAGGAGGAGCGTTCTCCCACACGTTCCTCTGTGAGCTTTTTTTGTTTTGTCTTTCACATTCAGGTCTGTGGTTCACTCAGAATTAATTATTCAGGGCAATATAACGTAGCAGCAAGGATTCACTTTCTTTTCCTCAAATGGATCAAACAGAATTTAGTAAGAAGATCTCATCTGCCTGTGCCTCGCAATGTCACCCTCGTCCTGAGTTCAGAGACCACGTGCATGTGAGGTGATTCTGCAAAACTCTTCACCCTGGTCACTGAGTCCACCTGCTCTGCTTCCAGAAATATCACACTGCCTGGATTACTAGGGCTTTGTAATAAGTTACCTTCAACGCCTAGCTGTCTAAGGTCTTTTAACATGAATAGATGTTGAATTTTACCAAGCAGTTTTCGCATCTTCTATTCAAACGATCATATACATTTTCTCCTTTGCTGTCAAGGAGTTAAGTGCATTAATTAATTCCTTTAATGTTAAATTACCACTGCATTGGTGGGATTAAATACGTTCGATCATGATGAATCCTATGGTTTGCAAATTGCTGAATTCAATTTACTTGTATTTGGTTTAGGATTTAAACCGACGTGCTCCGGAGGAAGATGGGGGTGTGGCATTCCTGCCCGTAAGTCAGTTGCCAGGCTTTGGTGTCTGGGATGCCCAGCCCCCTGTGACTCTGGGATATTTTGCCCCTTTTCCAATTTCTGAAAGACACTGTGGAATGTTGTTATCCATATTTAAGCAAATTTGGATGAATTTGCTAACAGAGCTCTCTAGGCCTGAAGATTTTTTGTGGAGAGGTTTTTTATTTCAGATTAAATTTATTTTCCAGAGATTAAAGCTTTCAGGTTTTTTTTTTTTTTTTTTTTTTTTTTTTTTTTTTTTGGTGGGCTTTGCAGGGCTGCACTTTTTATCCACCTATTTCATCCAGTTGTTAAATTGACTGGCATAAACCTGCTCATAATTTCCTTTTTTAAAAACTGATTTTGGCCGGGCGCGGTGGCTCACACCTGTAATCCCAGCACTTTGGGAGGCCGAGGCGGGTGGATCATGAGGTCAGGAGATCGAGACCATCCTGGCTAACAAGGTGAAACCCCGTCTCTACTAAAAATACAAAAAATTAGCCGGGTGTGGTGGCCGGCGCCTGTAGTCCCAGCTACTCGGGAGGCTGAGGCAGGAGAATGGCGTGAACCCGGGAAGCGGAGCTTGCAGTGAGCCGAGATTGCGCCACTGCAGTCCGCAGTCCGGCCTGGGCGACAGAGCGAGACTCCGTCTCAAAAAAAAAACAAAACAAAACAAAACAAAAAACAAAAAACAAAACAAAAAAAAACTGATTTTATGTCTTTAGGCTGTGTGGTTGCCCACTCTTCATTTCTGGGTTTGGTAACTGGTACCTGTTGTCTTTGTATTCCTGTCGGTCTTGGTAGGGGGTGATACTTTGAAGGAGGCTTCTCGGGGAGCTAGTGTTTGGCTAGGTTGGTTTTCCCTGCTGTGTGATCGTTTTCTAAAGTATTGAGAACTACTCACATCTTTCTTACTCCCTTCCCACTCCATTCTTTTAGGTATAATTTGCTAATATTTTCTACTATTTGAGATACAAAGCTGGATAACTGCCTTGTAGCCTTCAATCTTTGGTAACATAGTACTTCAGGATTGAACTAATATTTTCTACTATTTGAGATACAAAGCTGGATAACTGCCTTGTAGCCTTCAATCTTTGGTGACGTAGTACTTCAGGATTGAACTAATATTTTCTACTATTTGAGATACAAAGCTGGATAACTGCCTTGTAGCCTTCAATCTTTGGTAACGTAGTACTTCAGGATCGAATTCCCTCTAATCGGGGTTCCGGCTGCACCCACAAGTTTTTCATGGAGAATTTTATCATTAATTTAAAATATTTTCTAATTTCTTGATGATTTCTTCCTTGAACTATGTGTGACTTAGTAGTGTAGTGTTTAATTTCCAAACACTTTAAAGTTTTATAGTTATCTTTAACATATGGCTTTCTGGATGAATTCTGCTGTGGTCAGAAAACATACTTAGAATGATTTAAATCTTTTGAATTGGAAGAGACTTTTTAATGGTACAACATGTAGTCAATTTTGGTAAATATTGAGTAAATATTTACTATGCTTTGACAAGAACACGACTTGGCCATGCACGGTGGCTCACGCCTGTAATCTCAACATTTTGGGAGGCCACAGGGAGCAGATCACGAGGTCAGGAGATTGAGACCATCTTGGCCAATATGGTGAAACCCCGTCTCTACTACAAATACAAAAATTAGCTGGGCGTGGTGGTGCGTGCCTGTAGTCCCAGCTACTCAGGAGGCTGAGGCAGGAGAATTGCTTGAACCAGGGAGCTGGAGGTTGAAGCGAGCCAAGATGGCGCCATTGTACTCCAGCCCGGGTGACAGAGCAAAACCCTGTCTCAAAACAACACCAACACCAACAACAGCAACAATTACACCCACGACTCTGCTGCCGGGCATAGCGCCATGTCTGTCACCAACAGGGATCAATAGGGGCAGTTCGTTGTTTGTGTGTTTAGGTCTTTATCAAGGTCGGCAAACTTTCTGTAAAGAGCCAAATAATAAATATGGTGGCTGCTATGCAAAATCGGCCATAGAAAACACACAAGTGAATGGATATTGCTGGGTTTCAATACAGATTTATTTACAAAAATAGAGGGAAGGCAGTTTGACCCATGGGTCTTGGTTTGCTGATCCCTGGACTATATCATGAATTATTTTTATTTCAATTACTGAGAGCAGCTTGTTAAGTATTCTCACTATAATTATTGATTCATTGGTTCTCCTTTTAGTTTCATCATTTTTTATTTATGAATTTTGATAATCTTTGGTTAGATGTCAGCATTTGGAGTTCTGTTATATATTTCTGGTAGACTAATATTTTTGTTTTTATTAATAACGTTTTGTTATTAATACAACATGTTTCTTTTCTCATTAATGTTTCTTGCCTTAAAACCTATTTTGTCTGACATTAATTGGGCTATACCGGCGTTCTCTTGGTTAGTGTTTATATGATATGCATTTTTTCTATTTTCATATAGTATTTTAATTTTTCTGTGTTCCTATAACAAAATTGTATAAATTTTATGCATGTTTTATGTATTTATTTTCAACTAACAATCTTTAACTGAACATTTAATTTCATTTCTAAAATATTTGTGTTCTAATTGTCAATGGATTCTTTATTTTCTGCTTCCCTACATCATTTATCTTACTTTTCCTCTCCTCGTCTTGCAGTCTTTTGGATGAACAAGTACTTTTCATTATTCTGTTTTCCTCCACTTCAACCGTTGGTTATAAATGGCATAGGGAGGACCGATTCAGCAGAGGCTTTGTCCCTGGCAGGTGCCACGGGTCGGAGACAGCACGGAAGGAGAGACAAGCCTTACAGAGACAACGTCCAGCGCCGGACAGGACGTGGGAGGAAGGAGCGCAGACGCGGTGCTGGTGGGAGAAGGAGACGGTACTAGCACGGTGGAAAACCTGTGGAAGTTACCCAGCGACGTTGACATACGTGCTCTACGATTCCGCCCAATCATGGGGAGCACAGCCCACAGAAAGGCCTGCACACTCCCTGAAAGATGCTCACAGGGATGTCACGGCTCTGCTCTTCCTCACGACGGAAAAGGGAAACGGCCGCAATACCCGTCTATGGTAAAAAAGATCGATAACTTGGAAACGGGTAAGTATTCAGGATGAAATGTTATCTGGCAACCCAAATGAACCCTCTGCAACTACTCTCAACAATGCAGATGAACCTCGCAAAGAAAATGTGCAAAAGGAACTAACTAGAAAATACAAAGTACTTTACGATTCTATTTATGTAATGTGCAAAAACGAATGCGTTGATAAAAGCTAAGATTGCAGTTATCTCTGGGCGTGTGCAGAGGACAGGAAGGACTTCAGGACTCGGTAATGTTCTCTTTATTAATCTGGTGACACGTGCGTCCTGCTGGGTGAAAGTTCACTGAGCTGTACCTTGCAGGCACCGTTTTGTGAATATGTCAGACATACATCATTAGTAATTGACTCGGAGAAATAATAAAAGGATCTGCAAGGATACAGCCAGAGAAATACACACCCAACAAGTAAGAAGTGAAAATTATCGTTAGACAATGTAGAATCTAAGGTTAAAATAATTCCATTGAATAGAATGGCTGCTTGTATATCAATAAAACATAAACCTGGTGACTGTGGTCAAAAGGCTGGCAGGGAAGTGCATGAAGTGAGAACTGTTGTACGCACGAGAAGAAGGTCCGGAGAAAAATCCAACGTGCCATTTCAATGCATCTATCTTAGAATTTTATTTTTTATTTTTTGAGGTGGAGTCTTGCTCTGTCACCCGGGCTGGAGTACAGTGGTGCAATCTCAGGTTACCGCAACCTCCGCCTCCCAGGTTCGAGTAGCTGGGATTACAGGCATGTGCCACCATGCCCGGCTAATTTTTGTATTTTTAGTAGAGATGGGGTTTCATTATGTTGACCGTGCTGGTCTCGAACTCCTGACCTCAGGTGATCTGCCCGCCTCGGCCTCCCAAAGTGTTGGATTTATAGGTGTGAGCCACCGTGCCTGGCCTCTTAGAATTTTAAAGTTGTAGAGACAAGTAACCAAATGCTTATGAGAATTGTGTGAAAAACCCACAAATGTGTTGAGGTTAGATAGGGAGACTTACATGCCTCAAGCAGAGAATGTGCATTTTTATATAGACAGAAAAATTTGCAAAAATCCTTCACACATGTGGGCACACACATACAAACACACACATGGACCTGAACAAACCCCATAATGCTGATAGGATCCACCCCACTCTTTGATCATAAGTCAATCACATTTAAGGTAAATTATTTAAATGGCCACATTCTGGACATAGCTGGTGCTCACTCGTATCTCTGGTTCTTCCATGCGTCCTGTGTTTCAGGAAAGACAAGCCAGGCCATGTGACTTGCTTTGGCCAATGGCGTGCAAGGGGAGGAGAGGTGCCCGCCTCCCAGGAGATGCTCTGAGGATCCCTCCTGGTCCCCATCTAGTCTCCAGCGGTGGTGGTTGCGGAAGCTTATGGGCAGGCGGAGGTGCCCTGGAACTGAGGGAGCTCAGAGGGGAAAATTCAGCAACGTGGCTGGATACAAAGGAAACATAGGCCGGGCATGGTGGCTCATGCTTGTAATCCCAGAACTTTGGGAGACCGAGGAGGGTGGATCACCTGAGGTCGGGAGTATCTAGACCAGCCTGCCCAACATGGTGAAACTCCATCTCTACTAAAAGTACAAAATTAGCCGGGTATGGTGGCACATGCCTGTAATCCCAGCTACTCGGGAGGCTGAGGCAGGAGAATCGCTTGAACCCAGGAGGCTGAGGTTGCAGTGAGCCGAGATCATGCCACTGCACTCCAGCCTGGGCAACAGTGCGAAACTTTGTCTCAAAAAAAAAAAAGTTTTCTCCCTTCTAGCAATCAGTGCTAGAAACAGAACTAGAAATATACTCTCTTGCACACACACAGGCAGAAACATAGGACAGTATTTCTCCAGAAAGACACAGCACACGTGAAGAGAAGTACAGGACATTACTAAATGCCAAGAGAATATCTACAAAATGAAACATCTCACGTGTTTTGGGGTAAGGATACACAAATTTAAAACTGTCACTTCTCCTAAATGCACATGTAAATTTTCGGCAGTTCCAATTAGATTCCTGCACGGCCCTGCGTGAGGCCCAGCTGTGAATCACAGACATCCCCACGTGACAGTGGTTTCAGCAAGAAAGAATTGTATTAAGTGGTATTTACCTTTTAAAACCTGCAAGAATGTTCTTATCATAGAAATGAAAATGGAATCACAGAAGATGAAGGGCGAGGGAGGCCCATTTAGGGCCGGCCTCAGGGAGGCTCAAGAGGGAGCCGCCATCCTCCTATACCGCCAACCCCCTCCTCCCTCCACTGGGCTGTCAATGTCTCAGAGGGGGCTTCTGGTGACCCTCTGCCTCAGGCCAGCTCCTCCTTCCTCTCCCCTCCCATGGAGGGACACCCCATGACAGGACCCCCTTGTGTCATTGAAATCCACGCACTTCATGAGTCGAAGTCATTTGTCTTAATGGGAAATGTTGTTATTCCCCATCAAGCACTGAAACCAAGAATCCCTGGATATAAACGCGAGGTCACTGCATAATAAAAACAGCACAAACGCAGCAATGCTGCTGGATTCGGCCTCTGCGCTCTGGGAGGCTAGAGAGACTTCAGCGTATGTCACCGGCTCCAAATTCCAGACAATGCAAAGACTAAGAAGAAAAATGGGGCCAACTCCTTTCTGAGGCTGCTGTCCAGGGTGATTTGAGCCGGGCGCTGAGGCGCTTCCCTGAAAGCCTCCCGCTCTGTGCGGACGGAGGTCCTCAGTGGCGCTAGGACCCACATGGGAGCCCAGTGTCCTGGACCCGTGTGGACATGCTTTCTGCCCTATGTGGCCTCTGACCAGGAGCCTGCGGGCGTCTGCTGCCTCTGTCTGCCTGGCAGACGCTGCTTGTCTGGGACACCCCAGCTCCACTAGGCCAGCCCACGGCCACCATGGCCACAGAGGATCGCAGCTCTGAGGGCTTTTCCATAGTGAAAGGTGGGAGGAAGGAAGCTGGGCTGGGTTGCTTTTCCTACTCATTCATTCATTCATTCCTAACTGCCAATTTCTCTGGGGAGGAATGGAGGGCTGCGGGAGTCCTTTTCTTTCCTGCCTTCCACCTCCGCACCTGCTGCAGGTGTGGGGTTGGCCATCTGAGTTCCTCCACTGGCTCCTCACGCGTACGAGAAGACCGTGTCGCTACTCTCACCCCAGGCGCTGGAAAGCAGAAACACCGAGGTGCAGCAGTAGGTAATCTTTACTAAAAATGGCAGGAAATGAAAACAGTGAGAAAAAACGGGGAGACACGGTGAAGGTGCCCACAGTCACCTGGACGTGAGGAATGGGCCACGCTGCTGGCAGCTGTGCCCGAGCAGGTGGATTTGGGATCCTCGTGCAGCTCTGGGCTCTGGCGTCGTGACTGGGACGGGGTCCTGGTGGCTTCTCCTCTGAGGGGAAGAGAGGGAGGGCAGCACGGACTCCTCCCCAGCAAGCATCCTCCTTTAGATGCGATCAGACTTCCTGACTCGGTCCCGCTCAGGTCGCAATCGAAAAGCACATAGGTGATAATAACAGAGGTTATTTTTTAGTGGAGACTCTTACAGCCAAACAGATGTGGGAAGCAAGAGGTGTATCTGGCCTTTGCTTAGAATATGAATTCTCCCGTTCTGGTCTTTGCTTCTCCGGGAATTTTTTTGTTTTGTTTTTATCTAGAGTAAGAAGGATTACATCTAATTAGGCATTGTCACTGCCAAGAAATTAATTGCAATCTCTGAATATTTTGGATTATTGAGCTGTGCGGCAAATCTTTAATTACTGTCTACTGACTCTGCCATTTTTGTTAACAATAAATCAGTCCTCCTCGCTGTGGCTGCAAACGGTGCCATCTTTGCTCAGCATCTTACACAACCTTGGCCTTCCCCTTGGGTGACCAATGTCTGGAAGTCACCCACTGCCTTCCTGTGGAGGTCAGATCCCTTAATTCACTGAATAATTAGATTTCCATAAAAATCAAAGAGAGCCACCTCTGACGAGTGACAGCATTTCTGTGCCATTTACGATCCCCACACACCTTGACCACTTTTTATGGATGGCTCTTTATATTTTAATGAAAGAAAGCCAATTAGCTATAAACTGATTACTAAGAACATAATCAGGGTCATTTCTTTGCAACAAATCAATCAACAAAATGCTAATTATGGATGGTCTTTTAGACTTGGATTAATCTATTAGTAATTAAAGAGAAGTGCAAATCCAACCTCGATCTTAATTGTAGCCAAAAGGCACAGACGTCTTTTTGTTGACCCATAAGATGCTGTTATTTAGCTTAATGCGGAAGGAAAACCCATCAATTGTCTGGAACTTCATGGCTCTAATAACATGTTCAGAGGAGGTCTTTGGAGGCGTTCATGGGAAATGTAACTGGGGTTATGCTTTGGAAAGATGGAGATCTTTTTTTCTGATTCATTTATACTTTAATTTGCATTTTTATTGTGCTTGTAAAAGAAGCTTTTTTCTAAAGCAGAGTAGTAAATTCCCAGACCTAAGCCTCGTGAAACCCGACTAATTTCTTTCTTTGACAGAGAATGACGGCTGGACTGGGGTGAGGTCAAGATGACACAGTGTTGTTGGGATGACCCAGTCCACGGGAGAGAGTGGCTGAGAGTGGCTTAGTCCATGGGAGAGAGTGGCCGAGAGCGGCTTCATCTGCAGGCTCCTGGGAGCACTGGGCAGGGGTCACGGCGGATGGGCACTGCTGTGTGGCTCTAGGGACCTACAGGTCTCTCCACATGCACACCGTTTGTTTTCTTTACAAAGCTTGGTATAATTTTGAATGATAATTTAAAAACGAATGTGTGTGAAGAGTCATATTTTACACAGAGAAGAATTCGTTGCTTGAGGTCCTGTGAGCAGCAACAAGGCGAGGCAGGGGCTCAGGGTGCGGTCGGTCTCCCTGATGGTGGAGGTACGGGCATGGGTGAGGAAGGCGAGTTATGGACACAGAAACCAGCAGGGGCATGGCAGCCAACTTAGGCAACAAGCAGGACTTGCTTGGTGAGGACAGTCTGTGGAGAAATGGTTTCTATCCAAGGGAAGCGAAGCACCAGCATGGGTCACACGGCCAGCATGGGTCACACGGCCAGCATGGGTCACATGGCCAGCATGGATCACACAGCACGGGTCACACAGTCAGCACGGATCACAGGGCGTCCACCTGCTGGAAGCCAGGCATGCTGAACGCGGTGTCAGCTTGGGCCTCAGCGAGATGGGCTCACAGGGTGTCCAGTGGGGCCAATTCCTGCAGACACTCCGCTAAAGGAATTGATGTCACCTGACTTGAGTCCATGTGGGCGCTGCAGGCTTTCCCTCCCATGTCTGTATTCCTGACATGACAGGCAGCTCTCGGAAGCCTGTAAGGTGCGTATACATGACTGTGCTTACAGCAAAGAAGGGGGTTCTTGACAGACCGAGGGTTTTGTGAGAAATCCTGCGATGATAAATTGCACACATCAAATTAAAAAGGGAATTTATACCCCTGGGCACCTCTGTTTAAGGCGGGACATTTCTGCTGAAGCATCTTAAGGGAATTGTAATCGGTGCCCCCAGAACGAGGAGGAAAGGCCTCTCCTGACTCAGAAAATCCAGTTCACTCGCCTGTGTCTGTTTCCTTGAGTCTAAAGTTCTGGTAATGGATTCTTTTTTTTTTTTTTTTTTTGAGATGGAGTTTCACTTGTTGCCCTAGCTGGAGTGCAATGGCGCGATATCAGCTCACTGCAACTTCTGCCTCCCGGGTTCAAGCGATTCTCCTGCCTCGGCTTCTCAAGTAGCTGGGATTACAGGCGACCGCCACCACGCCTGGCTAATTTTTTGTATTTCTGGTTGAAATGGGGTTTTGGCATGTTGGCCAGGCTGGTCTCAAACTCCTGACCTCAGGTGATCTGCCTGCCTCGGCCTCCCAAACTGCTGGGATTACAGGCATGAGCCACTGTGCCCAGCCAAGTTCTGGTAATGGATTCTAATGCATGGTTTCCTGAGGGTCGAGTGAGTTGATAGTTATCTGCACAGCACTTAGAATAGTGCCTGAAATGTGGTCACTATAATTGCACTCCATCCACGAAACAAGAACAAGTAACTTTGAAAAAAGCCAATGAAAGATCATGGGAACAAAAACACAGTTGCTGAAATAAAAGCACATCACAGAGCTGTGGAGGCCTCTGACCCATTGCCCCTCTGGGCTTCACTGACCCACCCGCTGCCCTGCCAAACGCACGTGGGCTTTGCCGGAATCCCTTCTCTAGATTCAGCCTTTAACGAGTGAATTGTAGTCATCAGTCAAAGCCCAACAAAACCCAAACACAGAAGCCCTTCCACTCTGGGACCATCCCAAACCCGCCAGGCTCGCCTCATGGGAACCTCCATGGGACTTCACGGAAGGGCGACGACCATCCCAGTGCGATGCCCTCAGCACACTCTGCAGGTGTCACTTCTCCTTGTTCTCGCTTGGTTATTGGTGCAGGTTATTAGGACAGGAGCAGCTCCCATGGGGGACGTGTGAGGAGGCTGTGGGATGGGGCTCCAAGCTCCTGTGACGAGGACAGCTTCAGCCGGTTGTGCCACCTGGCGGCCACACTGCCCTAGAGAGCGGGGCTGGGGAGGATGTGCCCAGTTTCCCTCTTCCTGAGGCTGCCTCGGGCGAGCTCTGCCCGCCTCAGCCTGTCTGAGGACCAGGGTTGCCGGGACAGATCCAGGTGGGAGGTGGATTTGTGATTTGTTCTCCGGCTTCCTGAAGTGCCTGGAGGACACCAGTGCGCCAGCCACAAAGCCAAGAACTGGATTCTTTCTCATCCGTCCTGGGGTCTGCGTCTCAGCTTCCTCATCTGCCCCGTGAGGATGGTCACAGACGTGGAGAACGGCTCATCTGAGGACCTCTGAGGATGAGAATGACACGGACTCAGCTGTGCCCTGAGCCCTCCAGCAGTGCCGCCGGCTCACTCCTGGCCGGTGCTGAGGACTGAGGACGTACCCACGGCCAGGAGGCTAGCAGGGGGTTGGGCGAGCAGGAGCCAGCTCTTCCCTGATGCTGAGCTGCAAAACGATTCTCGTCCAGCCTTCGTCTTCCGTCCTCCCCCACGGTGGCTGACCAACCACCACCCTCTACTGGCCCTGAGCCCTTGGAGATGTCAGCCCCTGTGTGCAGCGCCAATCCACAGAAACTGAGGAAGGCCTGGTGCCCCCGCTTAGATCCAAGACCCCAGGTGCGGGACACCTGTGGAGAGGCCACCCAAGTCCATCCCATTGGCTTTCACCCTCTCAACTCCCCGGCATTTCTCATGATGGGGCAGTACTGGTGACCTTCCCCAGCAGGGAGAGGGCGGATGGACAGCCACTGCCTCTGCTTCCCGGCAGGGAGAGGGCGGATGGACGGCCGCTGCCTCAGCTCCCCGGCATTTCTCATGGTGGGGCAGTACTGGTGACCTTCCCCAGCAGGGAGAGGGTGGATGGACAGCCACTGCCTCTGCTTCCCGGCAGGGAGAGGGCGGATGGACGGCCACTGCTCAGCTCCCCGGCATTTCTCATGATGGGGCAGTACTGGTGACCTTCCCCAGCAGGGAGAGGGTGGATGGACAGCTGCTGCCTCAGCTCCCTGGCATTTCTCATGATGGAGTAGTACTGGTGACCTTCCCCAGCAGGGAGAGGGTGGATGGACAGCCACTGCCTCAGCTTCCCGGCAGGGAGAGGGCGGATGGATGGCCACTGCCTCAGCTCCCCGGCATTTCTCATGATGGGGCAGTACTGGTGACCTTCCCAGACAGGGAGAGGGTGGATGGACAGCCGCTGCCCCAACTCCCTCTCCCCGGCAGGGAGAGGGCAGATGGATGGTCGCTGCCTCAGCTCCCGGGCAGGGAGAGGGCGGATGGATGGCTGCTACCCCCTGGGAGAATTGTCCGCAGCCCTGGGAGGTCACAGAGGCAAACCTGGAAGATGGATGGCCACTGAAAAAAGCCAGAACGCTTGTTTCCAATAGGAACGCTTGCAATTTGCATTAATTAGCAAAGCAGTGGTGATTATAGTTATGACCTAGAGAACAAATGGGAGTACGCATCTGTGTCTGTCAGGCTGGGACATGGACGTTAAAGGCACATGGAGGCAGCTTCACGCCCCTGGGGCCGTTGGGAGGCTGAGTTCCCTAGTGCCCGCCTTTCCAGGGTTGCTTTGTGAAGAGGGACCCAGACAGAGTGTGTAGGCTGCAGGCTGGGGATGGGACCTGGAGGAGGCCAGCCCAGGGCCAGTGCTGAGGCAGGGGCAGGCGGGGAGCTCAGCCTCTCTTCCCCCGCCGGGAATTTCACATGGGCTCAAAGGCAAACAAGGAACAAAGAAATAGCAAGCCCCAGCGACAGCACACCTGCCCCAGAACACCCCCCTCTCAGGCCTCCGTTCTCCTGACAACTTTCTAAGTAACTTTAATATATAGCATTTATTCTAAACATGCAATTTCCTGCCAGTGCCAAGTGGTTCCCAAGGAGCCATTTCTCCACTTGTGTGGATGTCGCTGCCTCCGAAGGGTGGAGCCGAGGGGAGCACAGGAGGTGCTGTCTCCTCCCCAGGAGTTGCCAAGGGCGGCGGTCAAGCTGAGGTCCAGGTGGGATCAGGGCGCTAGAATCTAAGAGTCCAGTCGATCGTTTTTTGCTGTTTGCTTTCCTTTGTGGAACCTCTCCATGCACGTCCTCCTCAAGGCCATGGTTTCTCTAATTATTCCGATGTCTTTTCTTTTAATCTCTTGAGCATATGTAACATTTTGGGGATGCAGATAAATCGGGCTTGGAGGAAATCTTATAGCTTTAATTGCTTATATTAGAAAAGAAGAAAATTTAAGATTGGTAATCTGACTTTTGAACATAAGCAGATAGAAAAGCAACTTAAAGGAGTGAAAAAAATCAATGATAAAATATGAGCTATAAGTTGATGGTGTAAAAAAACTAATAGAAAAAATACAATAAAACAACAATAGAAAAATTTCTGTGACAGTATTAATAAATTGTATAAATGTCTAACAATGTAAGACATGGCTGAAGAATAAACATAAGTTCTGGAGAGCTTGATTATCTATTAAAGAAATAAATTGTAAACCTTCTCCAAAGGGAAACCACAGAGACACAGGTTTTTACTTGTGAATTCTGAAAAACAAGAAGTCAGGAAAAAATCACACCAGTTCTACACAACACTTCCCCCAAATGGAAGAGGAAGTAACACTTCCCAGATTTTTTTTTTTTTTTTTGAGATGGAGTCCCGCTCTGTCACCCAGGCTGGAGTGCAGTGGTGCTATCTTGGCTCACTGCAACCTCCACTTCTCGGGTTCAAGCCATTCTCCTGCCTCAGTCTCCCAAGTAGCTGGGACTGCATGTGACTGCCACCACGCCTGGCTAATTTTTGTATTTTTAGTAGAGACAGGGTTTCCCGTGTTGATCATGATGGTCTTGATCTCCTGATCTTGTGCTCTGCCCTCCTCAGCCTCCCAAAGTGCTGGGATTACAGGCGTGAGCCACCGTGCCTGGCCAGTCAGTTCTTTTTATGAGGTTAGCAACACCATGACACCACACTCAAGAAAGTCATAACGAGAAGAGAAAATGACAAATGTTCTCCGTGGATATGTGTGGAAGAATGCTCTGCAAAACATTAGCAAACAGAACCTGGCAGTCTACAAAGCCATAATAAAGACTACTTACTGTAGATGACGATTGATGGGTGCAGCAAACCACCACGGCACTTGTATACCTATGTTACAAACCTGCATGTTCTGCACATGTACCCCAGAACTTAAAGTATAATTTTTAAAAAAAGATTATAACAATAAAAAAACAGACTGGGACCAAGGGAGGCCCTGCGAGGTGGATTCAACATTCAAAAACTAATCACTGCCATTTACTTATTAACAGAATACAGGAGAAAACCATAACATGTTATTAATAGATGAAGAATAATAATTTGACAAAATTTAACACTTATTCATGACAAAACTCAGCCAAATAAGATAGAACAAAATTTCCTCCTGATGAAAATCATCTCTATGTATAGATGTATAGTGTATATAGATAATCATGTATCTATATTATACAAGTGACACCACACCAAATATTGTGACATTAATTGTTTTGTCTCAAGATCAGGAAAAAGTGAAGAATGTTCACTCACACCTATTTAGCAGTGCACTGGAGGTTCTAGAGAGAGCATCGAGGCAAGAACAATAATTAAAATGCATTTATATAGCAAGAGAAGAAGTAACATTTTCTCTGTTTGCAGGTGACATGATTGTGTATGCAGAAAATTCTAACAAATCTACAGAAAAATTATAAGCATAGTAACAAGGTCAACATGCAAAAATTGTCATAATTGTGTAAAAGAACAATGAACAACTGGAAAGTGAAATAAAAAATCCATTTACAATAGCAGGAAAAATGTATTTAGGAATCAATTGTGTGAAAGCTATCCCAGCTGTTTACACTGAAAGCTAAAAAACTCTGCTGAGTGAAATTAAATAAGAGCTAAAGGTATGGGAATAGATGTATGGCACATGTATGGGTTGGGAGAGTAAATATTTGCAAGATAACTCTTCTTTCCAAATTTACTTATCCTGATAGTCTTTTTAAAAACGAAATAGAGGCCGGGGTGCAGTGGCTCATGCCTGTAGTCCCAGCACTTTGGGAGGCCAGGGCAGTAGATCACCTGAGGTCAGGAGTTCGAGACCAGCCTGGCCAACATGGTGAAACCCCGTCTCTACTAAAAATACAAAAATTAGCTGGGCATGGTGGCGGGCGCCTGTAATCCCAGCTACTCAGGAGGCTGAGGCAGGAGAATCACTTGAACCTGGGAGGCGGAGGTTGCAGTGAGCTGAGATAACGCCACTGCACTCCAGTCTGGGCAACAAGAGCAAAACTCTGTCTAAAAAAACCCCAAAACACAAAATAGAAATTAAAAAGCTGGTATTAAAACATTTACGGTGATGTCAAGGATCTAGAGTAGCGAAACAATTTTGAAAAAGGAGAACTTTCTCTAACCTGTGTCATTTGGATGTATAACTGTATTTTTTTTTTTTGAGACGGAGTCTTGCTCTGTCGCCCAGGCTGGATTGCAGTGGTGCAATCTTGGCTCACTGCAACCTCTGCCTCCCGGGTTCATGCCATTCTCCTGCCTCAGCCTCCCAATTAGCTGGGACTAAAGGCGCCCGCCACCACGCCTAGCTAATTTTGTTGTATTTTTTAATAAAAATGGGGTTTCACAGTGTTAGCATAACTGTATTTTTTACTACATTCTTACAAGTTCTCCTTTTTCACTCCAGGACATAACGTACCTGGAAGTGCTTCCTGTGGATGGTGAGGCAGGGGTACGATTAATCAGGGCAGGATATTCTGTGTTGCTGGGGGAAAGTAAAAGGACAGCAGGAATCTCAGTGGCAGAGATGTTACCTCCCAGGAGTCTCACACCCTGGTGTGGGCTGGGGGCTGCCCTCAGAGCTCTGCAGACAGGTGGTGACTCGGGGATTCAGGCTGCTCCTGGGCCCCCATGCTGCCATCTTAAATATGTTCCTCCGAAGGACAGTCACCAGAGCTGAGGCTGGAGGTGGAACAGGCGTTCTCAGGGTTAGAATGGGAAGCATTTCCACCTACGCTCCAGGAGCCAAAAACTCAGCCACGTGGCCCCCAGTTGGAGGGAAGGAGAGCTGGGAAATGCAGTCTCCCTGTGTCCCAGCAGGGGAGCTGTGACAAACACACAGCGTTTCTTCCTCAGGACCTGATGAACGGTTTTGCATTCACCTGTTTCTTTATTTTAAATTTTTCAGTCAATTGTCTCAGCCATAATATTTCTATAACACCACTAATGTTGTTTCCATACATGTGTGGATCTATTTTTGAGGCTTCTGTTAGGATCTCTTTGTCTCTAAGTTCATACCCCACTGCCTTAATTCCTATAATTTTAGAATGTCCCTATTACCATAATTGCTTGTTAGTGTTGATCATAGGCCAGGCGCGATGGCTCAACGCCTGTAATCCCAGCACTTTGGGAGGCCGAGGTGGGCAAATCACCTGAGGTCATGAGTTCAAGACCAGCCTGGACAATATATGGTGAAATCCTGTCTCTACTAAAAAATACAAAAATTAGCCAGGCACGATGGTCTACACTTGTAATCCCAGCTACTTGGGAAGCTGAAGCAGGAGAATCACTTGAACCCGGGAAGTGGAGGTTGCAGTGAGCCAAGATCGCACCACCGCACTCCAGCCTGGGAAACAGAGGAAGACTCTGTCTGAAAAAGCACCCCCCACCCCCCAAAAAAAAGCCAGGTGTGGTGGCTCATGCCTGTAATCCCAGCACTTTGGGAGGCCAAGGTGGCTGGATCACCTGAGGTCAGGAGTTCGAGACCAGCCTGACCAATATGGTGACACCCTGTCTCTACTAAAAATACAAAAATTAGCTGGGCGTGGTGGCCCGCGTCTGTAATCCCAGCTACTTGAGAGGCTGAGGCAGGAGAATTGCTTGAACCGGGGAGGCAGAGGTTGCAGTGAGCTGAGATTGTGCCACTGCACTCTAGCCTGGGTGATAAGAATGACACTCCGTCTCAAGAAAAAATAACAAAAAGGAATGTTGATCATAAATGATCCTGTATGTTATAAAAATATTGCCCCATTTGAATACACCCTGAGCCTCAGCTTCCTGATTTGCAAGTGAACATGGAGCCTCCGCATGTCTATCTGAGAATTCCGTGATGAAACCAGGCATGGCATGTGACAAGCTCAGCCACAGCGGTCCAGCAGCGGCTCCACGCTTCCCTGAGCCAGTGGTGAAGGGAGGTGGCAAAGAGGAGCAGGTGGGGCCAGCAGGCAGCCCGGGTTTCTGGAAGTTCCACGCCTTCTTTTTACATCGATCTTAAAGAGGATGGTACAAAAGAAACCCTATTCCTGATGGGACCATCCCTTAGTGTGAGAGGTTAAAGTTGAGAGACAGAAAGAGCTTGGACTGAAGGGTCGGGGAGCTTCTGAGATGTGGAGGGTGGCCCCAGGTGAGGACCAACTGTGAGGAGCCAGGGGCTGGGAGGGGCTCCTCATTGGTTGAGAAGATAGTTTTTGGGCTGAGGCGAGGATGCTAGCATGCCTTCACAGGGTACAGCTCAGGAGCTTAGATTCTACTCAGGCCAATGCAGTGGGTCAGGTGAAGGATCCCCCACCCCGGTAGGAAGAGAGGCACAGATTTACACAGAGTCTGTGGTGTGGGCCCAAGTAGGGGGTACCGGCAGGTAGGTGGGGGGGGTCTAAGGGAAAATGGTGGACACCCAGTCAGAAGATCCAGCATGAATTGGTGAAGCTGAACTCCATGCTCCTGATGTCCCCAGGGCTGGGAGCCACAACCCCAGACCCACTGCAGAAGGCTGGGCCAGTGGTGAGTGTGGGGCTTGGATGGGGACCTCCTGTCCTGACACTCGTGGCCCAGCTGGAGTGAGGCTTCTGGTGAGCCCCTGAACGGGACCAACGCTGCCATGATGTTGTTTTTCAGAAAGATGGACTGGATGCAGAATAGCCAGGGACACCTGTCCCAGGCCTCATGCCATGAAGCTCTCACTCTTCACAGAAGGAACTGAGTCATGGCTAACAAGGTTGCAGTCACCATGAAGGGAAAATGCCAGGTCAGCCAACCTGGGGCAGAATTATATACACTTGTATATGTGCACCCACAGATGCACACATGCATGAATGCATGCATACACACATGGACACACACATATGCATACACATGCATGCACGCACACACACACCTACACATATAGAAATGCACACAGATGTGCAGAGACGCACGTGCACACATACATGGACACATGCACACATACGCACACACACACATGGACACATTACATACATGCATACACACATGCACACACATACATGGATGAACACATGCACACACAGACACACATGCACACACACATACACACGGACACACGTCCATATAAGACTGCTGATTTTATGTGTCCGCTTGGCTACGCTGTGGTGCCCAGTTGTTTGCACAAACACCAGTTTGGACAGTGCTCTGAAGGTGTTGTGTAGATATGCTTCACAGCCACAACAGCTGACCTTAAGTGGGTGGCCCTTGAGCATGTGGGGGACCTCACCTGGTCAGCTAGTGGCCTTGAGAGCAAAACAGATTTCCTGGAGGAGATGGAATTCTGCCTCGAGACTAACACAGATGCTCTGCCCAAATCTCCAGCCCACTGGCCTGCCCTACAGATTTCAACCTTGTCAGCCTCCATAACTGCATAAGCCAGTTTCTTAAAATAAATACACACACACACACACACACACACACACACACACACACACACACACACGATCTGCATACATGCCTACCACACATACTCAAGATGGGACCACCAATTTCCAGCCCAGGCAAACCTGCATCTATAGAGAATTTGAGGACGACTTTCTGGGAAGCCTGGGCATATAACACATAGACTCAGCCTCAGGTGCAAATTCGTATCAATGTGGGTGATTGGGAGAAAATGTGATGCTTGAAAAAGCAGAGAGAATATTTTAAAAGTTAAAACTCAGCCACCTGCGTCTAACAAGGGTTGGTGCTGAAGCCACTTCTGCAGGCGCTGGGCGAATTTTCATGCCTCAGTAGCTTTGCCAATCCAAGCCGGGAGGCGGGGGGTGCAGGAGGAACACAGACGGCCCAGAAGCAATGTTTTTTTTTCACTTTGTTTTCCTGGAGGGAATTAAAATAAAAGCTTAGAATGATTTTTTTTTTTCTAAGAAGAAGAATAGAGAAATGAACACTCTTGCTTTCTGCTGGAAAATTAGATTGTCCTCAGGATACAGAATTCATCTCAGGCAGTTTCCATCAGCAGAGAAAGCTGGAAATTCTTACTTCCAAAGTCCCAGAAGGAGTTCTTTCAATGTTTCTCATGATTTATTTTAACTTTTTCTTGAGAAGATCAGGGAAAGAGTCAAACTACACAAAGTTTCAAACTCAGAAAGATGAAAGAAATATTTCTAGTAAGCAATTTAAATGATCAAGGTGTCACTAATTGAAAAGCTACATTTCATATGTTTTTCTTCTTCCTTCTACGTTAGGCGCTAAACATGATTTTCTTAATGTTCGCAAGTCTGTGGGAAAAAGATATTTTTATACATAGTGGGTAGGAATGTCAACTGGAACAAAATTTTAAAGGCCAGTTTAACAAAGTGAATCAAAAGTTAAAAATAATACACTTAAGCAGTGAGCTGTGAGAATCGGCTTTTCCACTTCAGATGTTGAGCCCCCACCCACAGCCCTCCAAGGGTCTGTAACAGTGCGTGATGCCAGGTATGAGTCAGAGCACGGGTCCCCAACCCCACGCATACCGGTCGGTGGCCAGTTAGGAACGGGGCCCTGTAGTGGGAGGTGAGTGACGGGCGAGAGAGCATGACCGTCCTAGCTCCACCTTCTGCCGGATCAACAGCAGCATCAGATTCTCGTAGGAAGGCGAACCCTATTGTGAACTGCGCAGGAGGCTCCAATGCCTGATGGTCTGTCCCTGTCTCCCATCACCCTCAGATGGGATCCTCTGGTTGAAGGAAAACAAGCTCAGGGCTGCCACTGATTCTACATGATGGTGAGTTGTGTAATTATTCTATCATATATTACAGTAGAATAATAATGGAAATAAAGTGCCCAGCAAATGAATCATCCTGAAATCGTTCTCCACCCCACTTCCATCCGTGGGAAAATTGTCTTCCAAAAAACCAGTCCCTGGTGCCAAAAAGTTGGGGACCGTTGCATGAGAGAGCCGCAGGTGATAGCAGAAAGTTGCCGTCCTCATCAGCAGCAGGGTAACTGAGGCAGCCAAGGAGAGGTCAGGAGACTGAGCCCCAGCAGTTAGTTCACTCTGTCACCAGGTCCAAGTGAGGCGGGTCCCAGCTGAAAACCAGGAGGTGCGCCGTGGTCCCATTTTAGCATTTTAAGGTACACAGACATAGAGAAAGCCTGGCACAGCATTGAAGTTTGAACTCTGACTTTCGCTGGGATAACGTTGCAGGTATGTTTGATTCCTCGTTGGCACTTTGTTCAATTTTGCGGGCAGGATTCAGTGCACCTCCTCTGAGATACCAGGGCTCCACACAGCCCTGAGCGGGAGCTTGGAGAGGGACCTGTGTGCTGAGCAGCTGGGGATCAGGGAGGAAGCAACAGTTTTGTGTGTGTGTGTGTGTGTGTGTGTGTGTGTGTGTGTGTGTGTGTGTGTGGTGGGGGTGGAGGTCTCAAGGAGGAGGAGGTAGAGATACCCAATGCCTAGGCGGCTGGAGAAGGCGGGCAGTGCTGAAGCCGGGAGCCTATGGAGCATCCTGGTGGGAATTCTAGCAGAAGTCTCCAGAGAAGGTGATGGTTGGTGAAGAATCGGGAGAGAAAATGATGCAGGGACGGATCATGAAAGGCTTTATCCGTTAAGCTCAGCCTTCCTACCCTATGTGGAAGCCACAGACGCCCCTGAGAAGCTCAGCTTGGAGAAGTGTTGGAAGACTTTCATTCTAGAGCTCCCTGTCTTGGGGAGGGGCTGGCAGCTGTGACAGTCGACAGGAAGAAGGCGTCTCTCTATGTTAGCAGTTGCAATAACCCTTTCTATGACATGTTTACGAGTTTTCAAGTTTGCAAGAGGTTGGACTGGAATAGGAGCCAAATGAAGAGGTGCATTTTTAAAATCCACAGCCCCACGATCCTTCAGACAGCTGGAGCTCTTCCTCACATCGATTTGCAATACATATTTTCAACCTCGCTGACTCACTCCTGTTAATTAACTAAAGCTGTGCCAGTGTCCCAGAACTGGAGCTCATGGGAGACGTGTGTGCTCACACCGATTCAAGGGGAAAGAGAAGATTCAGGGAAGTCAGGTTGAAAATCTCTAGTTCTAAAAACATTATTTTCTTCCTGCAAAATTGTGCATTTCTACAATTATTTTGATAGTATGAAGTCTCAGCCATTGCAAACCAGCATCCGCGTTTTTCCCTTTATTCTAAGTTGGACGGCAGTCCTTCGGACACTCAGTCCTGGGGACAGGCACAGATGCGCTGAACAATGTCCAGGTGACCCCTGAACGTGGGGCTTCCCTGAGCCCCCATATTCTCTTTATTTGCTCATCATGAAGATTCCACGATAGGGCCCATTGTAAAATACTTATTACCTAAAAAAACAAAAGTATCAATGAATTCCACAGTAGACATCTTTGAATGAAAATTCATCTTGCCCACAGCCAACCAGCAGCCCCGGGCATGATGGAGACAGAGATGGCAGCCTCTAGGCGCTGGTGACCTCCTCCCCCTCCCTTCCTGATGTAGTGCGGGAAGATGGGTCCAGGATGGGATTTCCAGCCCCGGCCACACACAGAGACACTCTCCTGACTTTTGGTGCAAGCTCCTCTGCGAACTGTTGAACCAGTGCTGCATCACGGGGTGGGTAGGACTCAAGAGTGACGCCCTCTGCCTTCACCCAACACACAATGGGGTAGGTAAGACTCAAGAGCGATGCCCTCTGCCTTCACCCAACACACACACACGTGCACATGGCCGCTCGTCAGGGTTGCTGCAGGTGTGGGGGCCTCGGGGATGGAGACAGGGATACCCACGGGGCGTGCACCTGCCTCTGTGCCTGACGCCCTGGAAGCACTTTCTGTTTCGAAAGCTGTGCTGACGGGGTGGATCAACGGTGCTCTAGCCTCCACAGCAATTCAGAATGGTTATCACCCTTTCATTCTTACATTGTTGCCCCAAACTTTTCCAAATTGGTAAGCACTCAAGTCAGGCTAGAAATGTCAAAGGCAAAACACGAACAAGTGAGAGGATGGATTTGCTTCAGGCCAAGAGCACCCAGGCCTGCAGATATCACATCACAGCCAGGAGGCTTCCTAAGCAGGAAAACCCTCTCTCACTCAGACAAACATAGGACATGTTTGTCTCTGTGCCCAGCTGGCTTTGGGGTCACAAAGTTCTGTTCCTAGTGAGTCACTCATGAGGCAGACATTGAGGAGTTGGTTAGGGGTGGAAGGGGAAGGGCCCCTGTCCAGTCTTGTCAGCAGGTCCATTAAGGGGAAAGGTCTGTGTCTGGTCTGGCCATAGGTCAACAAGGGAGTCAGAGGTGAGTCTCACAGGAGCTGTGACAGAGAAGACAGATAATCTTCTTGTGGCCGAGAAGGAAGACAGACTCAGGTTGAAGACTGCCCAATGGAAGGCACGGTAAACAATCCCCAAGAAAGGGAATCTTGGGTGATGTGAGTCAGCTTTGCATCACATGGACTCTGGAATTTAATTCCTACGGGTTAATAAACCTCCTCTATGTTGGACACATAGACAATCATATATGTCATATGGGTGAAAGCTACAAGGCATTATGGTAAAAAGAAAAACCTGTGAAACGAGCTTCTAGCCAAACCCCAGGAGTGTTATCCTTTTGTATTGTTCAGTGACTTACCTGTTTTCTATTGATTTTTTTTTGTTTCAGATCAATAGCTTCTTTTGTTAGTTGTACGTTTCTAACTTTATACAGTTTATGACTTTGTCACAAGCTAATGGCATCTTGCTGAACAGGTATTTTACATTTTAACATAAACAATCAGTTTCTAATTTTATGGTTAATGTTTTTATGTGCTTGCGTACTTGGTTGCTTAACGGAATTGTTCTCTACCATGAGATGGTTTTATGTTACGGTATTCTCAGAATTTTAAGGTTTGCCTTTCACATTTAACCCATCTGAAACTTATTTTTGCATATAATGTGTGGTACGGATTAAATTTCATTTCATCTTTAAGGATTCTGTTTGCTACATGTTTCTGGTAGATTAAATTTATTGGGTTAAGAAGGTATTATCCTATTTATATTTTACAAGTTTTTAAAATAATGGATAAACATTAGATTTTATGAAATACTTTTTTGCATATGTTAATTGTAAGATTTTTCTCATTTAATAAGTGAATTTGGTGAGTGAAAATTATATATTTTTCTTATGTATTCCACTCTTGCATTCCTTGGATAAAACAAACATAATTTTTAATTGATTACTGGATTATTCTATGAATATTTTTGCATAGAGTTTTAGCATGTGTATTTGATTTTGTTACCAAAGTTATAGTCAGCTAATTTAAGGATTTGGAGACCAAATTTATTCCTCTTCTAGTCTTTGTAAGAGTTCCTATAAGTAGAGGATGGTCTATTCCTGGAAAGTTGACAGAATTCACCTCTAAAACCATCTGGATCTGGTGTTTATAAGTATATACTAAATGTATTGAGTATTTATAGGACTGTCAGAATTTCTATTTTTTCTTAAGTCAGTTTTGATTTTTTGAAATGGTTTATTTTATTTAGGCTTTCAAGTATATCTTATAAAGTTGTTCAAAGTTTTTTCCTTCTATCTTTCCAACATCTGCTACATTACCAGCTGGTCTCTCAATTGCCTTATTAATAAAATCCAATAGTTTCTTATCTTCTTTCCTCTTTATTAATCTCACAAGACACTATTTATTTGATCAGTCTTTTCACAACACCTACTTTGTTATATATTTTTCTATGTTTTTTTCTCTAAAGTCTTTAGTTGATTTGTTTTCAGCTTTTCTTATATTTAATGCCTTTTGTTTTCCATATTCTGGTTTTATAGTCTATGCTGTTTTCTCAAAGCTCTTCCTGATTTCACATACCTCGTAAGTGATGTATTCACTATCGTTCACCTCCAAGCATTGTTCATTCTTCTTATAATTCCTTCTTTGAATCATGGGCTATTTGGGAATGTGGGTTTAAACATGGGCATTCTTGGCCACTTGCTGGGATTTGCTTTGTACCTGGCACGCCACCTTCTATTCTTCGTCGTCTGTGGCATGGTCTGAACAGATGTGCGCTCCACCTGGCAAGCTCTTATGCTTTCTGCTTTCAGATTTTCCATCTCATTCTCTCTGCTTGATGCATTTTAGGAAATTCGTTCGGATGCACCTCCTGCTTATTGGTGGTCTCTCTTCACTGCGGCACTTGTCCTTTCTCCAGAGAGGGTTGCGTGGCTTTTTGTCAGGACCATTACTCTGCTCGTCAGGAGGCCCCGCGTGACCTACACTGCTCTCCCCACCATAGGGCCGCCCCGGGGCAGCCCCTCCACCTGTGAGCGCCACCTCCAAGCTGCTTCAGCCCAGATCTTCTGATCCCGCTTCCTTGGCAATTTCCATGACTTCCTGAGTCCTTAAAAACAAGAATGCTCTCTGTGGGATCTAATAACGCCTGCTTTCCTGAAAGCGTCTTGTGTTGATTTTTTTTTTTTTTTTTTTTTTTTTTTTTTTTTTGAGACAGAGTCTCCCTCTGTCACCCAGGCTGGAGTGCCGTGTGGCGATCTCGGCTCACTGCAACCTCCGCCTCCTGGGTTCAAGTGCTTCTCCTGCCTCAGCCTCCCAAATAGCTGGGATTATAGGCATGCACCACCACTCCCAGCTAATTTTTGTAGAGATGGGTTTCATCATCAGACCTCAGGTGATCCACCTGCCTCGGCCTCCCAAAGTGCTGGGATGACAGGCGTGAGCCACTTCGCACAGCCCCAAATCATCTTTTAATTGTAATTTCCCTTAGCACTTGGTAATCTTATTCCCTAGAGTGAATGTATTTGATTTTTAGTTTCTTGGGGAAAATGTGAGTTGATTTTGAGGTAAGATATCAGTAAAGCAAGAAAATTCTGGAACAAACCATAATTTTTGTTCTTTTTAATTTTGTTTGTTTGTTTTTTTAGAGATAGTGTCTCGCTCTGTCACCCAGGGTGGAGTGCAGTGGCATGATCTTGGCTCTCTGCAACCTCTGCCTCCTGGGTTCAGGCAATTCTCCTGCCTCAGCCTCCAGAGTAGCTGTGATTACATGTGCCTGCCACCACACCTGGCTAATTTTTGTATTTTTGGTAGAGATGGGGTTTCCCTATCTTGGCCAGGCTGGTCTTGAACTCCTGACCTCAGGTGATTCTCCTCCTTGGCCTCCCACAGTGCTGGGATGACAGGTGTGAGACACTGCACCCGGCCTTGTGTTGATATTGCTGCAACGCCAAGGACCCTGGTGGAGATGGTTCTGCTGCCACCCAACAATGCTGCTCTCCTCCTCCTCAGACGCGAGGTCACCTGAGGCTGCTGGGCACTGTGTCCCATCCTTTCCCAAACCTTATGTACTCTAGATAGTCAAAACATCCAGTGAAGTTAGACTGAATAAATGAATGAGTGAGTGAGTGAATGAACACTGCCGCTGAAGGGCTGCCCAGGAGGGTCTTTAGGAGACGATAAACCATAGTGATCTGTAAGTGGCATTGACTATCAGCAAAGATGATATTTGTGGTTTTGGCCAACTTCTGCTTCTGTGTTTATCTTACACATAAATGTATATTATGTCTTTATACATCAGAAGGAAACAGCTCAGCCAGTGTCTAAATTAACTAAATTCCCAATTAGGAGAATTAAACTTCTATCTGACTTACATGTAATTCTGAGATTATTGAAGTTGAAACTGATTCTTGCTGACCTTCCTTTTGGAAAACTTATTACAATGCAGCGATCAGGCTTTTTAATAAGAGCCGGATGATGTCACATGTTAACGATCTCCCCTCTCTCGATTTAATAACACGTGTCCATATTATTTCCAGCAGTCTAGCTCCCATCCTCCAAAGCCGTGTCTTTGTTTAGTGCTGTGATTGAATTGCATCCTCCAAAACGTAAGGGAAAATCCCAGGCCCCAGTGCCTGTGAACGTGACCTTATTTGGCAATAGGGCCTTCGTAGATGTCATCAAGTTAGGATGAGGTCCTGCTGGGTTCGGCGAGGAGGAGGTCCTAGTCCAATACTGGCATCCTTATAATAAGAGGGCACGTGACACAGACACTGAGAAGAAGGTTCCCTGAAGACAGGGTCAGAGGGTGGAGTGACAGGGTGACGCGTGTCTACAAACCAAGGAAGGCCTGAAACCACCGGAAGCTGGAAGAGGCAGCAAGGATCCTCCCCTAGAGCCTCCAGAAGGAGTGTGGTCCTGCTGACACCTTGGTCTCAGAGAGGGCGTCAATCCCTGCCGTGTTAATCCTCCTGCTCCCACTGTGAAGGTACATTGTCACTGCAGTCCCAGGACCCTCCCCCGAGTCCGGGCTCTGATGCGCTGCCCCGCACCGCCGTGCTCCCCGAGCGAAGCCGAGCGCTGGTTCCAGGAGGCCCAGCAGGTGCAGCGCATCCCTGAGAAGTGAGCTGGTCAGGATCGAGCGGGCCCGGCAGGCGTCTGTCAGTGGCACCTGCCCCTGGCGCAGGTGCTGCCGCTTGTTCACAGAAGGGCCCTGCCGGACGTTCTAGCGCAGAGGCAAGAGTTTTTTCCGCACGTACCCTTTCTGCGCGCCTAGTTCCCCCTTTCCGTCTGGCAGGGCTGCGAGCTGCACTGAGCTGGTCTGCGGCCCACAACAAGCCCGGGTTCCAGCCTGCCCGGCCAGAATAGGTTTTCAGACCCCGTCGCGACAGACACAAAATTCTGCAGGCTCTGGGCTGAGACACACGAGCTCGAACCTGGCCTCCTCAGGCTCTCCTCTGGTCTTCTCAACAGCCAGACGGCCTCGGGCGCGTGGCTTCCTCCTCTCTGGCCTTCCACTTCTTCAGCAGCAAGATAGAGACAGGCACGTGGGAATCTCCCACTTGCCTGTAAAGGATTAAGTAGAAAAATGCCCACAGTGTGATGAAGTTTCTAGGTGTGAGCCGCGATGGATAGACGACCATCTTTATTGGATGTGGATGGGTTGCACAGACACAGCTGTTTAGAGCTTACTATGAATCCAGTGTGGATGGGAAAGTCATGACGATGATGACAAAAATTCCACCCCTCCTGGGGCCGCGCGGGTGCACGTGTGGGGTGTGGGAAGGACTGGCCCCAGCCCAGCAGGCTCCGTCTTCCTGGTGCTGCTCCCCGCTCTGCTTCAGGGACATTTGCAGGCTGGCCACTGGTAAGGGCTGAACATGGGTGTCCCCCCAACATTTGTTTGTGGAAATCCTCACCTCTGTGGTATTATGAGACACGGTTGCAACCCTCGGGGATGGGGTGAGGGTCCTTATGAAAGGGCGCAGAAAGACCCTCCCCACTCCCCTGTAGGATAACACAGTGAAGAGGCACCGTCTGGGGACCGAAGCCCTCACCAGACACCGAGTCTCCCAGCACCTTGATCTTGGACTTCCAGCCTCCAGAACGCTGAATAATAAATGTCTGTGTCTTCGGCCACCCAGTCCACTGTATTTTTGTGATAGCAGCTTGAATGGACTAAGACAGTCGTGTCAGTCAAGTGCCAACAGCCAAGACCCCAGAGGCACCGGCTGAGGGAGCCATGTGGGGGCTTTGGGAAGGGAGTGTGGGGGCTCTCAGGCATCTGGGGCTGGGGATGGGGATGAAGGGGCTTTGGCCTTCTTCTGCCTGCAGTGCCCATCACCTTTGCTGCTGTATTTTGGGTAGAGCTGGCATTGAGCTGGCTTTGGCCTGGATCGATCCTTTAGGAGAAAATGTGAAGTTCCAGAATGAGGTGCATCAGAAGCTGGAGGCAGGCAGACTGCAGAGAAGAACTCGCTGACAATTAGGGCGTCCTGAACAGAGCAGCGGGCCCTGCCAGGCAGCAGGGATCTAATTCCAGGGAACTTCCAGGAAGCCCATTTATCAGAGTTTAGAGATGGAATTTCTCCATCTAGAGATGGAAGATCTCCGGAGGGAGGTCCTTTCCAATGTTGAGCCCCCTGGGGGGGAGTCTAGGATTCCAGGTTTCTCAATGGGAACTGAACACAGTGAATGGAGTTGCCCAGGCTTGGATGAAAACCAGCCTTGCTCCTCCTCCCTTCTTTCCCCTCATCGTCTTGCTTCCACACATCCAACTCACAAGACAATTAAAACAAAACAAAACAAAAAACCAAAATGGTTATTCTTTCAGACTGGAATCTCTGGAGGATTTAACATACTCTCAAACATGCAACACATATTTATGATACCCTTTTGATATTTCTTTTCAGAACCTGTGGCATATTCCTTGGAGTATCTCCAGGTTGAGAATTCATGATCCGCTTGGAATGGGTTTAGATCTCGGAATGAGCTGTCATCCCGGCCCAGCCAGGTAGCTCAGGAAGGTAAGCCGTGTGTAGACTGTCACTGTTGGACGGATGGCTGTTTGCCTACAAAGTGACAGGACGGCCTTTAATTTTCCAGCCCAGCCATTTAAAGATGATGCTAGACAGAACTCCAGATATTCTTGGAGCAGCATCGGCATCGGCACGAAAAGCCCCACGGCCCACAGAACTCCTTGGGAGGCAGCCACGCTTTTCTCCAATCCTGTTTAGTGTGTCAGTTAAGTGACAGTGCCTGGACTTTACAGCCACGTCTTGTGCATTTCTTGACCTATCTGTCCTGAAATAATCAGCCTTCTTGTAACCTGAATCCTGCCGTCATGGGCCCTAAATATTGTATTTATTTATTTTTATTTATTTATTTTTTATTGATCATTCTTGGGTGTTTCTCGCATAGGGGGATTTGGCAGGGTCATGGGACAACAGTGGAGGGAAGGTCAGCAGATAAACAAGTGAACAAAGGTCTCTGGTTTTCCTAGGCAGAGGACCCTGCGGCCTTCCGCAGTGTTTGTGTCCCTGGGTACTTGAGATTAGGGAGTGGTGATGACTCTTAACGAGCATGCTGCCTTCGAGCATCTGTTTAACAAAGCACGTCTTGCACCGCCCTTAATCCATTTAACCCTGAGTGGACACAGCACATGTTTCAGAGAGCACCGGGTTGGGGGTAAGGTCATAGAGCAACAGCATCCCAAGGCAGAAGAATTTTTCTTAGTACAGAACAAAATGGAGTCTCCTATGTCTACTTCTTTCTACACAGACACCTAGATATTGTATTTTTACAGCTGCAAGACCTTCCTCCAAGGAACCTGCTGCCAACTCGCCTGGCACAGACATCCTGACATGACACCACTGCTCATTCCCCACTGGCACAGGACCGGCCATCTCCTCCAAGCCTGAGCTGCCTGTACAGCATCCCAAGCTCTGGGCGCACCTGGGGCAGCCGTGGCAGGAACGCCGTGGGATCTGCTGAGTCCTACGAGGCTGCAGTGGGACCGAGTGGGAACCATGGCCCATGCAGAACTGCTTCTCCCTTGAAGAAGAAACACAGGCTATTGGCTCAGCTGTAAAAGGCAAACACAGGCTATTGGCTCAGCTGTAAAAGGAGATCACGGCATCCGCTTGGATGGGGAGTTGGTGCCAGCTTTCCTGCTACAAGAAAATTCAATCCCAACTGCTACCCAGACCCGCTGTGTCTGCACCACAGCAGTGGGGACCGAGGGCATGCCTGCCATGCCAATCCCGCAGAGGACTTTGCTGCAGCGAGACAGCCCCTTTCTCCCTCCATGATAGAGTTTAGAAGCCTCCTCCTCTTGCTGCCACCGTGGGTATTTAGGTGAGCAGCTGTAGTTGCCGGGGAGGCCTGAGCACAACACTTAACGCTGCTCCTGCAGTTTCATGGGCCATTAACAATTTGCTAATATTGTTTTAGCTTGCAAATTAGTGCAGCTCCGTGGGTAAGGAAAGGCTCTGTGGCTGTCATCAATCAGATGGAAATTCTCCATGCATGAGATGAAAAACGATTTCTAGCCTTTGAGGCTCAGACGGCAATTACTGTAACCAAAAAAAATGGGTGGTGGGGAGCCGGGGGGAAGAGAGCTCCTTGCAAAGTCTGTTAGCAATTCTATGAACTTTATTTCTTGATGCACGAGAGTGAAACTATGAGGATTTCCAGCCAAGGGAACTTGATTTTCTTAGTTACTAATAAAGTGACAATCTAAAGGAGCCCTCTCCAACTGACCTGCTCCCAGAAGGTGGGGAGAGAGGATGTCCGTGTGGCAAGAAGGATGACAAAGCTGTGAGGACCTGGTGACTGTCTTTGCTGAGCTCCCAACTGGTGACGCTCACCAGGAGGATGCCACAGATGGCTCTGCCAAAAGTGCAGACAAACCTTGGCCTTGTTTGTTGGAAACCATGTTGCTTATCCCCCATCCCTCCCACCTTTAAGCACCAACATTTTTTCCTTTTAAATATTGATACGAGACTGGGCTGGGCATGGTGGCTCATGCCTGTAGTTCTAATGCTTTGGAAATCTGAGGCAGGAGAATCACTTGATCTCCAGTTCTAGACCAGCCTGGGCAGTATAGTGAGAACCCCATCTCTACAAAAACATTTCAAAAATTAGCTGGGTGTGGTAGTATGCACTGTGGTCCCAGCTGCTTGGGAGGCTGAGGCAGGAGGATCACTTGAGCCCAGGAGATCAAGGCTGCTGTGAGCCATGAACGCCCCTCTGCACTCCAGCCTGGGCAACAGAGTGAGACCCTGTCTCTTAAAATAAAAGTGAGACTGTTATGAAATATGTTCTTCACAATTGTGTGCCATTTCTGTTTGGAAGGTGGTTCAGAGAGAGGGTTATGAGCCAGGCGATCTAGGGTTGAGTCCTGCTACTAACACTGGAGCAGGTTGCTATTATTATTAGACATCCCATAATGAATAGAACGTAATCCAGCCAGGCTCAGGGGCTTCAGGAGGCCAGTGTGAGTTGCAGCTATGGCTGTGCATCCTGGCTGCAGCAGGGTTCAGGGTACCAAGATGCTTCTTGTGTGTTTGACAGGGCTGACAAGCACTAACTTGCTTGGTGGCCTCAGCCACCTACCTGTACAACAGACCCCACCATTATCGCTCCTTGTTATGGGCTGATTGTGTCCCCCCAGATTCACAGGGTAAAGCCCTGTCCTCCAGTGACTCTCAGAACGTCACTGTATTTGGAGACAGGGCCTTTACAGAGGTGATTGTTACAATGAGGCCATGGTGATGGCCCCAATCCAATATGATCAGAGTCCCTATAAGAAGAGGAGATTAGGACACCCAGAGCCCAGCAGGGCTGCTCCCACACAGCAGAAAGACCAAGGGAGGATGCCGTCCACCAGCTGAGGAGAGAGGCCTCTGGAGGAATCAGCCTTTCCCACATCTGGATCTTGAATTTTCAGCCTCCAGGACCCTGAGGAGGTAACGTCTGCAGTGCACGCCACCCGCCTGCGGTGCTCTGTTACAAAGCCTGAGCAGCACGATGCACTCCACTATACAAAGGAGGATGCAGAGAAACCCAAAGCATCTTAGCAGGCCAACGGCCCCAGGGGCAGCGGGGCTCAGGTGCAAGCTGGGGCAGTGAGAACACAGAGCCGGCCCAGGGAGCAACCTCACGGGTTCCTTTCCCAAAGGAATATTCCTGTAGGTTTTTGAAACCACTATGGGTGTATCTGATAAAGCACTGGAGCTGGTAGGTGCCACCAGGCTGGGATTCCATTCTCCTGTAATCTGGTGGGGAGAGGAAGGGTCTGAGCTTCCTTCCAGCACCCGTCTACACTCGCATCCCGGGTCCCGCTCTTGCTCCACAAGAGCTTGTGGCTCCTTCCTTCTGGGTGCAGAAACAGGCCTATCTCTCCAACTTACGGCCTTCTGTAATTCCTCACTCATTCACAACAAATGGTCATTGGGGAGCTTCTGGTTTTGAGGAATATTCTTGCAAATGCACCTTGTGGATGGGGGAGTTTCTCCTGCCCCCGGGGGCTCCCAGCACGTCACAGCAGGGGGTGCTTGGAAGAGGAGATGCCCCCTTAAAACCAACCTGCAACTGAATTTTGGTCAATTCTGACCCACTGGTCTCGAGGGCAGTCCTGCCAGCTGCACCCCCTGGGTGGGTTGTGGGCCCCCCATGCCTGGCCAGCACTGGGGCTTCCCGTTGTTTCGTCCTGGCCAAGTTCCTGGACAAATAATCCCTTACTGCGACTTCACGTTGTCTTTGTTTTGTTCCTTTAAGGTTGAATCCTTTTTCTTGGTTATTTTCTGATTTTTCCCTTCTCCTGTGATTTGCCTGTTTATAGATTTGGCCCATTTGTTTTCTCAGTCGCGGTGTTCGTGTTGACTTTAAGGAAATTTCATGTTTTATGGATGTGAATTTTTTGGCATATGGAATGCAAAAGTTTTTTACAGCTTGCAATTTATGTATTTGCCTTCTTTGCTCTGCCTTAACACTTTTATACACCCAATTCTTTCTTTTTTATGGTCTGGATTAAAACTTCTAAATAAAAAAGGACTTTCCTTATAAAAACAATAAAATATACTCTATATTTTATTTTGGTTCTTTTTTATGTCAAGTTATTAACCTTTGGTAATTTAATTTGTATTAATGAGAAATTATTTTTCCCCAAATGCTTAACTGGTTGGCTGGTGCCACTTAACGAATAATCCATTTTTAAGACTATGTTTCAAAATAATGCCCTTTTAATTTCGACAGGGCAAGTCCTATTTTATTCGTTATTTATTTGGAAAAAAAACAAAAGCAGTAGCTGCTCTCGGGTCAGCCAAGACATTGGTGACCAGGGTCTGCGTTCGGAGCCTTCTGTCCCATGGGGAAGCAAAGAGGCCCCTCGGGAGTTCGGGGCTCACGTGGGCCCACGGCATTCTGTGCCACCCACGACATTCTGTGCCACCCACGTGCCCGATGGGTCTTTTCTAGTTTTACATTAATATTAAATATACATAATGCAAAACATATAATATATATGCAATATATACGGTTGACCCTTGAACAGTACATGGTTTAAAGTTCATGGGTCACTTATATGTGGATTTTCTACCACCTCTGCCACCCCTGAGACAGCAAGACCGGCCCCCGCCCTCCTCCTCCTCCACTCCCTCCACGTGAAGATGAGGATGGGGACCTTGATTATGATCCACTTCCAGTTAATAAACAGTAAAGGCATCTTCTCTTCCTCACCATGTTCTTAATACAATTTTCACTTACTTTATTGTATGAATACAGCATATAACACAAAGTATGCATTAATTGGCTGTTACTGGTAAGGCTTCTGTTGAGCAGTAGGTGATGAGTAGTTAAGGTTTTAGGGGGGGTCAAAGTCACATGGGGATTTTCGACTGTGCAGGGGTTGAGGGGGTCTTTGTTCCTAACCCTAACATTGTTCAAGGGTCAACTGTATAATATATAGGATTTTATTCAATAATTATATAAGTATTTATAGTATTTGTTAGGTATATAGTATCTATAGGAATATAATATATGACATCACATACTTGAAAATATTGTATATTAGATATATAAATATATAAAATATATTATATAAAATATATAACAGGTAAAAAATAAATACAACTATTCTGCATTTATAATTATATAAATAATACATGTGAATATTTATATTAATTATATATATTCCTGCAAAATGAGTGAAAAAAAAATTAGTATCTGACTCAAAGGATGCCTGTGAAGGTTAAAAGCAACATCACAAGAGGAGCTGAGACCTGGCTTGGGGGAGGCAGCGATAAACTCGAGGCATTGCAGGTTTATGATCCTGAGTCACCGGTCTGGAAAGAAGAGTGAGGTGAGCACATGGAGGGACAATGGAGATGCTCCAGGGCATCTGGGAAGCTGAGGCACAGAGGAAATGCAAAGACCAAGAAGGGTCAGGGCAGAGGGTGGGCGAGGGCTTCACGGCAGGAGAAGGTCCAGGGGCAGGAGAGGACAGGGCTGGGTCCAGACGTTGGGGACATTTAGCAGGGCTGGGGGGACAGCAGTGGCAGTGGGGGGGGGGGTTCAGGAACAGGTGAGCTGAGACATTAGTGCCACCTGCCAGTTTTATATTGTCAATAATAAAGATTATAGTTAGAAGTAGCCAAACCTAAGTAAAACTAACAGTGGCTAAAACTGAGCATTGATTCAAGATTGATGAATGAATGAATTGTGCTTGAAAAATAAATTAGATATGTATAATTTAATACCCTCAAATTGAACTTTATTGGTACAATTGCTCTAAAAATCCCTAAAGGCAAAAACTATCATCAGGAAGATTGACATGGCTGAAAGAACTACTAGTCATATCTTTTTGAAAAATAAAAATGTGAAAAGTGTGATCCAAATGAAAATATGTCAATTTAATGGAAATGGGAACAAAATATTGGGAATATTGCTTTATCTGCCCATGTATTTAAATTTGATTCAATAATTGAATTGGATTAATAGAATATGAAAAATTTCTGGCCAGGTGCAGTGGCTCACACCTGTAATCCCAGCACTTTGGGAAGCTGAGGTGGGTGGATTGCTTGAGGTGAGGAGTTCAAGATCAGCCTGGCCAACATGGTGAAACCCTGTCTTTAGTAAAAATACAAACATTAGCTGGGTGTGGTGGTGCATGCCTGTAATCCCAGCTACTCAGCAGGCTGAGGCAGGAGAATTGCTTGAAACTGGGAGGCAGAGTTTGCAGCAAGCCAAGATCACACCACTGTGCTCCAGCCTGAGCAACAGAGTGAGACTCCCAAAAAAGTATATATATAAAATATATTTAAAACATATTTTACATATAAACTATATATATATAAAATGTATATATAATTTCAACTGAATGGATGCTCATCAGATTTGGTGTGATTCTGATTAAAATATTTGCATCAAAACATCTTTCATGGTGAAATGGCCAACTCCAGGGCTGTGGTGGGGAAGGTGCACTGCTGTGCCAAGGAGTGAGAAACTGCCCCCCAAATGGTGGAGAACTGTCCTGAGAACACAGGAGCCCCTGGCCAAATCCAGGACCACTTAAACGTCAAAATAATTGAGGACAGAAATGAATTATGGATCACTGAGCAACTGATCCGTGAATGGGCTTGGTGGCTACTAGGAAGGCTCTTCCGTAGAGTAGCTGCTGACCGAGGAATAGGGCATTTTGCAATCACCAGAAGTAACTGGCTTCAGTAAGAATGGGGATGCACGCTGTCAATGGATGCCAAATTTAGAGGGAGGATTTTTTACTTCATTATTTTTAACTTTTTATTTTAAAACAATTTCAGGCTTACAAGAAAGTTGCAAATCTTTGTCAAAGAATTCCCGCCCATGTGCCCTAAATGATATAGCTTACATACACATCAATTATTTTTGGTGGAAGCTAGCTCGATTCTGTACCTGTTTAACTTTTTGCCCACAATGTTTAGCATCCAATCAAAAATTACAAGACTTAGTACATTAAAAAGTATATAACTGAATAACTGAAAATCAAGAGGAAGGAATGAAACAGTAGAAACTGGTGACTTTGATATTGGAGTTATTAGGCAGGGAGTTGAACTACCAATAATATGTGCAGAAACTAGAGAGGAAGGTGGAGGTCAGCATCAGAGACCAGGTCATAGCAGAAGGTAAAAAGGAAATGTACATATATAGAACAAGGGATTAGTGAGCTGAAAGCAAGGCATGAAAAACTATCCTTATCTAAACAAAGGAGAAAACGTGAAGAACATTGGAAGAGTGCTGGAGACATACGGGGAGTGGTGAACATGTAATGTGTATGTGAATAGAATCCTAGAAGGAGAGGAGGCAGAGAGTGGAGCAGAGGCAGCATGTGAGAAATGATCCCCGGGAATTTTCCAAAGGGATGAAAGAGTCAAACTAAAGATTCAAAAATCTCTATGACACCTAAGCAAGATAAATACAAAGAAACCCACAGCTAAGCACATGAGAGTCCAACTGGAAAACTAGAATGGGTTTACAACTATCAGACAAAGTAGACTTTGAGGCAACAAAAATATATATTAGAAATAAAACATTTCACCTGTAATCCCAGCACTTTGGGAGGCTGAGGCAGGTGGATCACGAGGTCAAGAGATCGAGACCATCCTGGCTAACACAGTGAAACCCCGTGTCTACTAAAAATACAAAAAAAAAAAAAAAATTAGCTGGGCATGGTGGTGGGCGTCTGTAGTCCCAGCTACTTGGGAGGCTGAGGCGGGAGAATGGCGTGAACCCAGGAGGCGGAGTCTGCAGTGAGCTGAGATCAGGCCACTGCACTCCAGCCTGGGCAACAGAGCGAGACTCCGTCTCCAAAAAAAAAAAAACAAAACCAGAAATAAAAAATTTCATAATGATAAAAATGCCAAATCAATGGGGTGTATGACAGCTATCCATTTGCAAACATTTACTAATTTGTAAATTGTTCAAGAGAAATGGGCAAATCTACTATCATATGTATAGATTTTCATGCTACTCTCTCTGTAACTGTTGGAAAGAGAAAAAAATTGGGGAGGATACTGAAGAGCTGAACCACATAATTAATACATGTCACCTAACAGAGATATGGAGACATTATACCAAAGAATGCAGACTACGCATTTCTGTTCTGTTCTCATGGGGCGCCTGTGCCTCATCATGAAGCAAGTCTCAACAAGGTCAAAGGACAGAAGTCAGAACGCATCCTCTGACCCCAGGGTAATTACAGGGGAAATCAGCAGCAGAAAGTTATAAAACCTCCGCAGAGCTTGGAAAATATGCAGTGATCTCTTATACAGCTCTTGGGTCACAGGGGAATTCACAAAGGAAGTGACAAAGTAGTTCTAGTATTTTAAATGGTGGTGAAAATTCAACCTATGCCTCTACTTCCCGCCAAGCTGTTGAGAGGTGTGAGGATGCTTCACAAAAATGTTCCCCTCCCCTCTCCCCTCACCCCGCCCCACAAACTTCCACTCCCAGGAAGTGCAGAAGCAGCTCTGCAGTTGATCATCCAGATCAGGCCCTGCTCAGTGACCCCAGGACTCTCCCATCTCCGTCTCTCTCTCTGTGTCTCTCTCTGCCCCACCATGCCCGCTCCTGTCATGGTTTTCAGTGATTGGCATATGTGGCTGCCCTCTTCACTGTGTATGTTCTATTTTAGGGAGAACTATTTTAAGAACTGTCTACTTTTCTGCATATTAAACTGGAAGCAGGGGTTGCTGATTCTCTCTCCAAGTGAACAATGTGGTCCACTCACTTGGATGAGCCCCTGATGCCCACAGCCTGGTCTAAGGCTTGGTATCGTCTCCTCTGGGGCACTAGGGAAGCCTCCCGTGAACCCTGATGCCCACAGCCTTGTTTAAGGCTCTGTACCGTCTCCTCTGGGGCACTAGGAAAGACTCCCATGAACCCTGACACCCGCAGCCTGGTCTAAGGCTCCGTCCAGTCTCTGGGGCACTAGGGAAGCCTCCCGTGAACCCTGATGCCCACAGCCTGGTCTAAGGCTCCGTCCAGTCTCTGGGGCACTAGGGAAGCCTCCCGTGAACCCTGATGCCTGCAGCCTTGCTTAAGGCTCTGTACCATCTCCTCTGGGGCACTAGGAAAGACTCCCATGAACCCTGACACCCGCAGCCTGGTCTAAGGCTTTGTCCAGTCTCTGGGGCACTAGGGAAGCCTCCCGTGAACCCTGATGCCCACAGGCTGGTCTAAGTCTCCGTCCAGTCTCTGAGGCACTGGGGAAGCCTCCTGTGAACCCTGATGCCCACAGCCTGGTCTAAGGCTCCGTCCAGTCTCTGGGGCACTAGGGAAGCCTCCCGTGAACCCTGATGCCCACAGGCTGGTCTAAGTCTCCGTCCAGTCTCTGGGGCACTAGGGAAGCCTCCTGTGAACGCTGATGCCGGCAGCCTGGTCCAAGGCTCCATCTGGTTTCCTCTGGGGCACTAGGGAAGACTGCCGTGAAGGCTGATGCCCGCAGCCTGGTCCAAGGCTCTGTCCAGTCTCCTCTGGGGCACTAGGGAAGCCTCCCGTGAACCCTGAGGCCCACAGACTGGTCCAAGGCTCCATCTGGTCTCCTGTGGGGCACTAGGGAAGCCTCCTGTGAACCCCGACTCCACGCCACATGCCCACTCTCTGCTGATGCTCATAAACACACATGGGATGGTGCTGCGAGCCTCAGGGACCTCTTCGTATTCTTGGGATGAAACACACATGCCTTCCTATGACCTTCAATGCCCCTGGGACCCAGCCCAGCCTTCCCTCGCAGCCTCCCTCCCCTCTTGCCCTTCCCAGGAGGAACCCACAGCACCTCCTCTCCTGGCTCAGGGCAGGTCCCGCTCTTCCATGCCCGCTGTTGCCACCATCTCTCCCACCCCGAGGACCACAGCCTGCTCTGGGTGTCCGATGCCCCTCGGGAGAGATGCCTTCCCTGACACCCCCAGCCTTTACCCCGGGGTAGGGGGGCTCCTGCTTCAAGTTCCCAGAGTGTTTTAAATGTTTGGCTTGAGAACCTTCCACTTGGTTTGGAGAATTCCTGGGTGTGAGTTCTTCAGATATTGCTTCTGCTTCATTCTTTGCCTCCCCTCCTTCTACGGCTCTGCTGACACGCAAGGTGCTCCCCACACTCCTACACTCTTTCTGGTGTTTTCCAAATGTCTTCTTCTTTGTCTCAGATGTACCTTCTCATGCTTTGCCTTACCATTCAAAAGGATGGCAATGAGGCTTAAGTATGTGAATAACATAAAGTGCAAAGAACACTTGCCTGGCAGAAAAAAAATTATAATGTTTCCCCAGCAGCCAGTGTTCCCAGCACGGCCCTCACTGCGTTCAGTCTCCCTGAAAGCCCCGTTGTTTTAAGTCCACGCTCTGTTTGATTCCCTCTTCCCTGTTCACACTGTGGCCGTGCATAGATTTGGAACTCGTCACCTCTGAACAGGCTCATAGATTGGACAGGGTTAAAGAATACATTATAGTTTGGAATTCAGCTCAAAACCTCACCAACTGTGTGCCCTTGAGCAAGACAGCCAGGCTCAGAGCTTCGATTTTCTCATCAGTAAAGTAGAAGGAACTGGGGAGTCTCCCTCCGTGGGGGCTGTGAGGATTCAGTGAGTTAAAACCTGTAAGGTTTCCCAGAGAGCACGTGGCGTGTGAGGACCGCAATGGGAGAAGTAGCGGCTGCTATGACGATTGACTGCACACTGGGGTGAGGTGGTAGCACCCAGAACAGGACGCTGTATGAAAATGCCCAGCACAGTAGCTGAGGCATGGGGGAGGCTCCTGTATTATTCATATAAATTAGACAGTAGCTGAGGCATGGGAGAGGCTCCTGTATCATCCATGTAAATTAGATTATCACAGCTATTTTTATTTGTAAAGTAGCATGTCATTTTTATTCTATATAATATATCTTCTTTCTTCTTAATAAAAACAAGTCAGGCTGTGGCTCTCCTACCTGGACCCAGCACACAGGTGGGGCTGTGACTCTCCTACCCTGACCCAGCACACAGGTGGGGCTGTGACTCTCCTACCCGAACCCAGCACACAGGTGGGGCTGTGACGCTTATATACTTGGGTCCACCCATAGCCTGAGAGGAAACTATGATGAAATTGATACTAAAGACCCAGGCCCCTTGAATGAAGACCCTCCCACCCCCATCCCCACCCCAAGGCCCAGAGTCCAAAACCAGGCTTCCCTGTGGTGGCCTGGGAGCCACACACAACCTGAGGCACCTATCCCGAAGATGCCTCTTTTAGGTTATTTACAATCAATGTATAGCCACATTCAGAAGGCAAACACTGTTAGCTTTCCTTAAATCATCTTTTTTGAGACATAATTAGTGCATTCTTATTTTAGAACAATTCGAACATTTATACAAATAGAAGGAACAAGCTGCCAGCCTCTGTGGTTGCACCCTGGGATAAACCATCACTAAATGTTGCATCAGCGACTTCCATCCCTTTATTTGTCACTCACATACTTTACATCTTTGAGGGCATAAGATACATGAAAATTTCCATTCTTACACTTAAAATTAATAAAGGAAACATTTTAAGCTTCTTCTTCTTTTTTTTTTTTTTTTAACTCCATGCATTTCTTCATCTGACCTCCAACATACTGGATGGACACATCCTGCCCTGATCAAGCACAGCCCTGGGAGCTCGGCTTACACAACAAGCACAGCAGCAGGGCCTGGCTCAGCCGTCAGTCATCCCAGCGCAGCAGTCATCATCCCCGGCTTTCAACGCCATCTCCACCGCTGTGGCCGACTGACCGCGCCCCCGCTGAGAGCTGTGATCTTTGCGGCCCCTTTCAACACCCTGAAGGTTCTGCATGTGTCTTTGAAGAGCAGAATGCAGGGGAGCGGTGAGCCGCGGTCTCAGGAAGCGCAGTGCGTCTCTGCCCGCTCTCTGACGGGCTGTGCTTACTGCTCTGGGCTCTCTTCCTCCCTGTGAGAACCAGCCAAGGCCAGGCCTCTGGGGCAGAGCTGGGTTCTCACAGTCAGCCCCAGCCAACATGCCCGCTGTGATGAGCAGCACCATGAGGCCACCCCCAGACTGTGAGCGAGACGAACGGCCCCTCCGTACCCACCCGTGCTGGGTTGCTTTGTCGCCTGGAGGTGGTTCCCAGCTGCAGCCATGCTCCGGATACTGTGACCACAGGCAAGCAGCGGGACCATCCTGTGTGTCAGTGTTCTCACCTGTAAGGTGGGGATAACAATGGGGTCCAGAGGAATGTCACAGGTGTAAATCTGTGAACCATCTACAGGAGAAGGAACACTGCCTGCCAGACATAATTAGTGTGACGTGAACACTCGTCGCTATTACTATTACAGAGCTCACCACCCTCCCTCCACCCAAGCCCCTTCATTCTTAATTCTCCACCTTTTCCAGCTTGAATTCAGCAGTTCCTCCTTGGACTTAGGATTTTTGCCCAAAGAACCCAGCTTTGGAAGAATCTCACCACCTGCCTTTGTGCACCTGACCTCATGCCGCTGAGGCCTCCAGAGAAAACTGCAGAGTCTGGAGGCTGGGGTCATGGTGAAGTTGCCATGGCCGACCTCAGACAAGGGCCCCCATGCTCTGGAGGCCCCGGTGTCCTCCTGGCTGGCGGGCTGTCCACGCTGCGCATACAGGTTTACCCCTCCCTCAGCGCTGGCCCTTCCCCGCCCCACACCGCCCCTGTTTTCTGACTTATCACTCCACCTGGTGTTCCACAGAGAGGTTGGCTGCTGTCATCTAGGAGCTTTTTAAACGCTTTCTGCTACCAAATCTGCAAACCTCCCCACATCTACAGCATCTCTCTCTTCCTCCTGTTACAACACAGGGAGGTCCCACCTCTATCCAGGCTCTGAATCCTGGATTCCAGCCATGTTAAGTCTTAAGGGTTTCACGTGCTTGCTTATCTTCCTTCTTTTTCTTATTTTTAGCACATGCCTCTCTGCGAAATAACTTCCGTTAGCTTAGAAACGTGAGCTAGAACTGTCTGTACTCAAACAAATGAATAGGACATTTACATCTCTTAAACCAACAACACATCCCTACTGTTAGAATTCCCTTTATTTGCTGCTGTTTGAAGCCAAAATCTCACCCATACACCATGACTCCATTTGTCATCAGCCTTTACATTTTTCTGAAATTTTAATATTTTTGGTCCAGGTTATACACATATAGGGTTTTAAAAGTCGAATAACTCTATGAGGCTTATAATGAAAAATTCCAGTCTCTACTCAGTCTCATCTTACCCTCTCCTAATTCCACTTCTCAGGGCCATCATTCTCAACTCTTAAAGAGTTTTTTTCTTTCTTATTCAAAGTTACTCTATTGTGTAAGGCAATGCCAGAGGCTATGGTAGATGAACTCTGACATCCCAGTGTCTTAGCAACACTGAAGTCAAGTTCACCCACCATGCTCTTGACCAATTGTCTGCTCTGCTCCAGCCGGCGACTCAGGGCCTCAGGCCCTCGCATCCCACAATCTCCCCATCTCTGACCTGCGATGCCTGAGGACTCTGAGCCCACCTGCCTGAAGGCTTCCAGAGAGAGAGTCTGAAGGGGGTGCCTGTGCTATGGTGGGTAGCTAGCTAGGTATGAGCAGGGCAGGAGGGGGCTACCCCTCACCACACACCAGGAGTGTCAGGCAACCATCAGGTGTCGGTCAGGCGGTTTTTAAAGGTTTCTCTAAAATGGTCTCAGCTGGCACCAGGATAAGGCAGTCTCCTACTAGATAGAAAACACCTGAAACTCATGATCAGCAGCTTCCTGATGAGATCTCAGGCATGGGGAGAAGGAACACAGGTGCCTGGAAATATGTCAGCATATAAACCCCGAGTCAAGAGGTCGAGCTGGGCACTGGGTCGCTCAAGTCACCTGCCCGGCCCTCTTCCAAGTGTGCTTTCTTTCCTGCTCTAAAGGTTTTTTTTTTGTTTTTTTTTTTGAGACAAAGTCTTGCTCTGTCACCCAAGCTGGAGTGCAGTGACACCATCTTGCCTCACCGCAAACTCCGCCTCCCAGGTTCATGCTATTCTCCTGCCTCAGCCTCCCAAGTAGCTGGGTCTACAGGCACCTGCCACCACGCTTGGCTAATTTTTTTATATTTTTAGTAGAGACGGGGTTTCACCATGTTAGCCAGGATGGTCTCAATCTCCTGACCTCGTGATCCACCCGCCTCAGCCTCCCAAAGTGCTGGGATTACAGGCGTGAGCCACCACACCCAGATCTAAAGCTTTTTAATAAACATTCACTCCTGCTCTAAACCTTGTCTCAGTATTTTCTTCTTCTGCCTGATGCCCCTTGTTCGAATTCTTTCCTCTGAGGAGGCAAGAAATGAGGTTGCTGCAGACTCAACACGAGTTCCTCTCACCGGTAACGTGTGGAGCTTTTCTCGCCAGGCCTGGAGATCTTGGCCTCATTTCTACGACAGTCCACAGACTGCTCCTCAGCGAAGTGGCCACACTCAACTGCCAGGAACACTCGGACATTACCTGGAGGAGGAGGAAGGAATGTGCTTGGGAAGCAGCTAGCTAGACTTTGTGAACATCTCGTGGACTCCCTGTGGGGAGGGGAGTGAGGGAAGTGCCCCAGACACTGGCCCTGCTGGAGGGGGATGGCCGCTGGCCAGTCCTTCCCACCCCCGGGGAGGTCCAAGGTCATCGCTGTCACCCAGATGGAGCCCAGGGACACCCACAGAAACAGAAGCTTGGAACACTGTCCATGTGCAATGCAAGAATGATTGTTATGTTCTAAATGATTGAAAAGTCACTTTTAATATGTGACTTCAAAATACAATCCAGGCTTGTTTTGCTCGCAGAAACTCGTGTGTGTTGAAGACAGGGCATATTGACACTCAGGCCGTCAGCACCCGAGGATTCACACTGCACCTCAGGAAGAGGCGGCTTGGTTTGAGCCACCTTTCGTCAAGGCTTGGGATGAACAGAAATTCCTCGCGCTTTACGCTTCAGGAAGCTTCTGACATTCCGAGGACACCGGCTGCTACCTAGAGCCTCCCCATGTGCATCCCCCGTGGTCAAAAAAGACTGGCGACCCCAGGCCCGGGAAGCAGCCTGCAGGAATGACGGCACAGTGCGTCCCATGCCCTGTGCTCTGCAGGAGAGGGCCCCAGACACACCACTGGGGCTTGGTGGACAGTGGGGCTCCCACTCGAATTCAAAGACCAAATTTCCTCTGCAACATCAAAGACATTGCTCAGTCGAGTGTTGACAAATCCACTTTAATTTCCAATAATTTCCAGGAGACGACAAATGGTGAAGAAGTGGGCAGAATGTTCTAGCTCCTAAGAAGACCTGGGTGGGAATTCCTGTGCCTGGGTTTGTCACGAGACAACCTCTGGTGGGACAGACCATGGTGGGCCTCAGTTTCCCCACCTGAAAAGTGAAACGCTCACGTTGGGGATGTCTTGGGGGCCCTCTGGCAGTCCCACTCACGGGGTGCAAGCTCTCCATCGATGCTCCCTGCCCTGACCACCAGGCCATGCATGGCCACCTCTGGTAGTCCCATGTAGACACAGCCACCCCAGTTAGGGACTCTGCGGTTGGCCTGTGCCACAGTGAGGTTATCACACTTCCTTTTATTTATACCCCGTAATGCAGTCCATCAATCAAAGATGGAATTGTCCTTTTCTGTTTCTTTCCATTAAAAGGGGCATTTCTCAGCTGCGTGACAAAATGAGTTAGGAGCTCCATTTCAAACTTCAGTTTCTGGAGCAGGTTCATTTAGGAGCATCCCCACTGCGAAATGAAACCGGAGGAGGGAGCGGCCGCCACTGCTGGCTCTGCATCCACATATCTTTATTTATTTTGACTATCTTTTAAAACGAAAACACCGTGGCTCCTCTAGGGAGGTCTGGGTCCTGGGAGGAGGTTCATTTTATTTTCCTCGGGGGAGCTGTTTCTTCATGTGGGTCCCAACCTCATGTTGCCTCATGACTAATATTTTCTGTTGCATTTATGAGATCACATAGAAAAAAAATGATAAAAACATGAATCACGTTATGAATTTCCAGGTTGTGAATATTTTACAGTTGAATTCATCAAAAATTTAGTTCAGAGGCTGCTGACTTGGCCATATGCAATGCTAACCTGTGGCGTGGAATCTTGATTCGTGAGAAGGAGGGAAGAGGTTGTTTCTAGAGTCGGCGGGCAGAGGGAATCGGCTCGAACTGCGATCTCCTTTTTCTCTGCATTATTCACAGGAGGCTTATGGCCAGCATGGAACTCCAGGAAACTCCATTTAGAGCAACATCTGAGTTTCTGTAGAAAACACACTGCTCTGGACAAACCTTGTTAACTGAGGAAAGAAACGTTGAGTCTCTGGGACTCTGCTGGGACTCCGGTGCACGGGTGCTGCCCGTCCCCGGGGCGGAGGCTCTGCGAGGCGGCCATCCCTAGGTGGATCTGCCCCACTGCCTCCTTCAGGCTATGCAGGCCTGTTCTGGGCTCCCCCAGGCCCAGGCCGGGGAAGCCAAACTCCTGCAGTGCCGGTCCCAAGCTTGGGGGCCCCATGCACAGCCTGTGTGCAGAGGTCGCCGTCGGCCTCCCTAGCCTGCACGGGTGTACATGACCCCTCCTGCCTCCAGCCCTCCCGGACCTGATTCTAACACATCTCCACTTCCCCAACCCGAACACACTCTCATGGTAGACACAGCAAAACCTTCCTCCCAGAAGCAAACCTCTTTCCAGAGAAAACTTCTCTTTCCTTCTTCTCTGCTTGGATATCGTGTTGTCTACACTTTTCCTAAAGCAATTATCCCAGTCTGCATGCATTTAAGTGTGTGCGTGTGTGTGTGTGCACATGGTGTAGTACATATGGTGTGTGGTGTGTGTGTAGAGTGTGGTGTGTGGAGTGTGTGTGTATGTGTGTGTGGTGTAGCATCTGTGGTGTGTGGTGTGTGTGTGAAGTGTGTATCTCTGTGTGTGTGTGTAGTATATATGGTGTGTGGTGTGTGTGTAGAGTGTAGTGTGTGTGTATGTGTGTGTATGGTGTAGCATATGCGGTGTGTGGAATGTGGATGTATGTGTGGTATAGTGTGTGGAGTGTGGTGTGGAGTGTGGTGTGTGGAGTGTGTGCCTCTGTGTGTGTGTGTGTGGGGTGTAGTATATATGGTGTGTAGTGTTGGGAGTGTGTGTCTGTTGTGGTATATGTGGTGTGTGGTGTGTTGTAGAGTGCGGTGCATGGAGTGGGTGTCTGTGTGTGTGTGTATTTTGTAGTATATGTGGTGTGTGGTGCGTGTGTAGAGTGTGGTGTTTGGAGAGCGTGTCTCTGTGTGTTTGTGTGGTGTAGTACATGTGTGTGGAGTGAATGTGTCTGTGTGTGTGTGTGTGGTGTAGTATATATGGTGTGTGGTGTGTGGAGTGGGTGTCTGTGTGTGTGTGAGTATGTTGTAGCATATGTGGCGTGTGGTGTGTGTGTAGAGTGTGGTGTGTGGAGTGCATGTGTCTGTGTGTGTGTTCAGTGTGCTGTGATGTGTGTGTCTGTGAGTTTCCAGAAGTCACATGACGTGCGATCTCACAGCGGCTTGAACGTGGAAGCAAGGATGAGCCTGAGCCTCCAGAAGCCGTCTATGAATCTGGGCATCTGAGAGATTTGCAGCTGTAGGAAGGGGTGCCTCACTTATCACTAAATGTTTTTTGTTTTGGAAAATAGAGTCATTGTCCATTAAAATATGTATTTACATCAACTGGTAATGGGTGTATGACTGCTACTTTGAAAGGAATTAATGAAAATGTTTTTAAACTTCCTATGTTAGCTTTGAATACAATGGGTATTGACAGACACAACCCACATCACAAAACTCTCCGGTGCCATGAACAACCTTTGGGTGTATAAAGGTGCCCCTAGACCAAAACCTTTTAGAACGGCTGCGCCAAACAATGTTTTGGAGTTGTAGGTGCCTTTGAGCGCCAAGCGGATGGAGTCAGACGTGTATTTGATTCTGGGACTTGACGCCTCTCCCTGAGGGACACCCATCTGGCCTGTGCGGGGGAAATGCACGAGTTTTCACCGACGTGCCGCCCTCTGGTGAGCGAATATCCCCTGGTCCAGTTGCTCTGGGGCTGACGAGCATTGGTTGTGGGCAGGCCACACACCTTGAGCTGTTTCTGGGTACCTGTGTGTGTGTTTCTCTAGATCACGTGCCTAAGAATAAATCTGAGGGCTGTGCACATATGTGACACAGCTCAATTATGCCAAATTCTTTTCCACAGTGGCCATATCCACTTCTCTTCCCATCCACAGGGCGTCAGAATCTCTGCCGCTCCAGGTCTCTGTTAATGCTCAACTTCTGAGGCCAGGGGGGCTCTGACTCCTGCTTTGTGTCCCCTCCAATAACTCCCCCTGGAGGAAGGTGGTGCCACATTCTGAGGACAGGGCAGGATGACAGCGATGTCACAGGGGAGGAGCTGAGGCCTCGCGTCCACAGCCGGCATCACAGTGCTGGCCCCGGGCACTAGCCGGCCGATGCTCGAGTGAGTTGCACAGGGGCACGGGTGGTGTGGAGTGCTTGCTTCAGCTTTGGGTGAGCCAAAGCCCAGGGCCCCGTCAGGAGGAGAGAAGCCGGCCAGGGGGTATGCAGCGGGCGGCAGAGCTTTTGGCTAGTGTCCTCTGCAAGCCCTGTCCCGGGGCTGCCATGAGCTCCACCCCACGGGCTTCTCTCTCTGTTCATCCCTCTCTCTGTCCCTCCGTACTCCTGGCACCCGGGGGGCCTCCCAGTGGTGGTTTGGAGCTTGGCTGTGGCTTCGGTTTACATTATGGGTCCTGTTATTGCAAATGGAGGAGGATGGGGGCCCCACTCAGGTCTGGTCTTGCCCCCTGCAGATGTCCCCTGCCTCAACCTCACTATGGCTGCCTTCCTTTCACTCGGAGTATGGAATGAAGTTTGCCAAGGATGACCAGCCACTTTCCTTTCTTCGTCTATTGAAATGTATGTATGTATGTATGTATGTATGTATGTATGTATGTATTTATTTATTTTGAGACAGAGTTTCGCTCTTGTTGCCCAGGCTGGAGTGCAGTGGCACGATCTCGGCTCACTGCAACCTCCGCCTCCCAGATTCAAGCAATTCTCCTGCCTCAGCCTCCCAAGTAGCTGAGATTACAGGTGCCCGCCATTACAACCGGCCAGTTTTTATATTTTTAGTAGAGACAGGATTTCACCACGTTGGCCAGGCTGGTCTCAACTCCTGACCTCAGGTGATCTGCCCGCCTCGGCCTCCCAAAGCGCTGGGATTACAGGCGTGAGCCGCTGCCCCTGGCTTTGAAATTTATTTTTAATCAGACCACAGCTTATTAAAAATATAACGAAAGTGTGAGACTTCGGGGATGGACTTCAAGGAAACTGTCTCCATTTTAGCTGCAGACGCTTTTACTCTGACATTGAATATTCTGGGTGAATTTCTCCTGTGTTTCCTCAGCTATAAATGCTTACATAAATCAGTCAAACCGTTCAATTTTCTGCTTTGCTCAAAGAATTACAAAGAATGTACTCTTGAATTTAAGGGATAGTTGAGCTGATAAATGTCACAATATATGCCTGAAATTGCACAAAATGAGAATTTCCAACAGTGCCTGATTCAGGCCACATCGTCCCAAACAGGAACTAGAAGGGCATTGCTATTCGCCCGCATAAATTTGAGGACACAGTCGTCTTAGACCCTGACAACCGGCAAGTGAGAGTCCCACGTTCCATTCATGTCTCAGGTTGTTAAATATTTCAAAGATTTAACAGATTCGATGAAGTGAGCATATGCATTGCCAGACAACGGCTGCCAAGATGTGTCAGCTGAAGAATTTGACCACAGCACCCAGGCAGGGTGAAGTTACTCAGGGGCTGACCTCACAACAATGCAATGTCAAGATGGGGGTCGCCTGGCCCCCTGGTGCCTGCTGCTGACTGTAGGATGTTTGTCATCGCAGCCACAGTGATGGGGACACCGGCGTATATGTTTGCCATGACTCTTCCAATTGGACACTTTTGATGGCACATTATTTATACATCAGTAAAGTGAATTAAAATGTTCGTGATGCTATTTGGTGATGCGAACATTGAATATCATGTTGCAACATGATTTTTAAGCTATGTAATATTTACCTGTTGATTCCTGGATGGTGACATTGGGATCGTGCACACGGCAGGATAAAGCCTGAGCAGGCATCCCCGAGGAGTTGCTCGGGAAACACACAGGGGTTGAGACCTGCACCAGGGCCAGGTGAGTTCTTGAAGCTTCTGTTCCTGCCCCCTGCAGAGGGCACTGAGACAGGTCCCGCAAACAGGTCACCTTTGTGGCTTCCTCCCTGGGCGTGGCAGGGGCTACAGTAGCCATGGGAGCTCCATCTGGGTCCCATAAGGAAACCGCCTGGGTGCCCCTGTCAGCCTGGAAGGAGCTGCTCGGGGCACCTGTTACCTTCCTTTCGTCCCTGCAGCACTGAAGCACTTAAAGGAAAAAGTGACATGAATCCTGGATTATTTCAGGCAGAGTCTGTGGGATTGGCATCTCCCTGTGGTCCTTCCTTCTATGTTTCGATATTTAGTTAACAGTTTCATCTGGTTTTTACATTTCATAAAATAAAGTCTCTCGATGTGATGTGAATATAATTCTGCTTTGATCAATTCATTCTTTTCTTTGCTTTTCCTATTTGTTCAAAAAAGCAAAACCAGCCAGTGACCACAGGGTCTCCTCATGGCCTTACCTCTCCTCCTCACCCCAGCTTCCAGGGAAACAAGGTCACACTCCCTGCTGTGGCATGAATGCGGCCCCTCCAAAATTCAGGTGTTGAAACAGCACCCAGTGTGATGGGGTGAAGATGTGGGGCCTGTGAGGGTGATTAGGTTCTGAAGCCTCCTCTCTTGATGGAATTGAGGCCCTCAGGACAGCGGCTTTAGCAGGTGTGGCTGGCAGCTCCCTGCCTACTGCCCTGTAGAGGACACACTGCATGGTGCATCGTGGAAGCAGAGAGGGCAGCCCTCACCAGACGCAGAGCCTGCCCGTGCCTCAGTCTTGGACTTCCAGCCTGCAGAGCTGTGGGAGCTGCATTTATGATGCAATCGCAGCAGCAAGCAGACCCAGACACTCCCCTTTGTAGGAGAGGAGGGGGACGGAGGGGGGCTGCATCATGGCCACAGTCAGGGAGCAGCTGAGTGCTAGACCCCCACATCACACACGAGGGGCTGGTTCCAGCCTCCTTCATTTTGAGTCCAAATCGTCCTAAGTGCTTAGGAAGGTTGGGGTTGGCAGTGCTGGAATTCACCCATCTCTGTGACTGCGGTGCCCCTGCACCTGCATTCACCACTGTGCTGGCTGTGCTGGGGGTTCTTTTGATCTCCTCATGGTTTCTGCTTTGATTTTTTTGAATTAAAAATGTTCCTTTCTGTCTTTTTCTTTCTTGCATCCTTGCTGTACAATGGGTTTTCAATCTTTGGCCGTAAGTGCTATACCTTATTTGAGTTAGAATTCAGTGTTTATCTAGAAAGAATGTGTCCTATTTTTTAATTCTTCTACTGGTTACCCTTCATTAAAAAAGCTGACCTGCACCTGTGTGCCTGAATGACCAACACAAACGCAATGCTGGCCCGCTCCACTGCCTTCCTGTGCTGTATCAATCTGTTCTCATGCTGCTACTAAAGGCATACCCGAGACTGGGTAATTTATAAAGGAAAGAGGTTTAATTGACTCACAGTTCAGCATGGCTGAGGAGGCCTCAGGAAACTTACAATCATGGCAGAAGGGGAAGCAAACACGTCCTTCTTCACAAGGTGGCAGGAGAGAGAAGAAAGCCGTGTGAAGGGGAAAGTCCCTTATAAAACCATCAGATCTTGTGAGAACTTACTCACCATTATGAAATCACCCCCATGATTCAATTACCTCCCACAGGGTCCCTCCCATGACACATGGGGATTTTGGGAACTGCAATTCAAGATGAGATTTGGGTGGGGACACAGCCGAACCATATCACGTACAATGGCTTGGGGCACTCTTCATGCTTCCTCCTGCTTGCCGGGCAAGGTGGATAAATATCTAGTGTTCACGTGTGATCCCTTTAAGTCTGGATTATTGGTTATTATTATTATTATTATTATTTGGCTTTTGTTTCAGAATGAGTTGTGACAATTGCGTTGGCTTTGAATTCATTTTCCAACTGGCATAGCATGAATTCTATGCTTAGATATTCTCAGTGAGAGGACCACAGGTCCCTGTAGCGGGTGTGGTTGGTGCCTCTTAAGATGCACCTCTGGGCCAACACATCCACCTCAGCTCAGAGGCTGATGCAGCTTGATGTTCACAGCTCCCCCTCCTCTGCAGAATGGCTCCCCACTGACCCGGGACTGTCTCATCTGGAGGTTGCAGTTTGTGGTCCTGGATCCTGTCCTCCCTCCTCTTTCCCCACCATTCTGTCACTTCCCTGCTCATGAGCGCCTCCCCTCAGTGGGTCTGTAGCTCAGGCTCTACAGGGAAGTCATGCAGAGAGAGGAGCACTCACTACCAGTGCACAGCACCTTCAGGCGGAAAACCCGAGGCCCAGAGAGGGTGAGTCACCTGCCACAGTCTGCTCGGGAGCCTGTGGTGAGTGGCTGAGGCACATCTCTGATCCTGGACAAATCTCTCTCTCTCTCTGACTCACTTTCTCCATCTCTCCATTCTTTCCTGCTTCCTTTTCCTGGGGATGTTGAACATGTCACTCATTTATCCTCCATGGACCAAGTTGATTCTCTGCAGTACCACTTCTGCTTTTTACTACATTTTCCCTTTGAGTTTTTTTTTTTTTTTTTTTTTTACATTTTCCGCCCCTGCTGTGCAGGTAGGTGGGCATAGCTGCTCTGCCCAGCCCTACCCTATGGGAATGCAGGTATAGTCTCCACATGCCATGCCCCTCGGGATGCGGCATGGGGGTGGGGCAGGTCCTTTCTGACCCTGGCTCCTTCACTAACTACAGGTGGGATTTGGGGCACTTTCCTTTCCCCTCTCTTTCCTCATCCAAAAGTGGAGGTGATGTCAGGTCCAGCTCCCAGGTTGGTGCTGAGTGGGTTATTTCTATCACATAAAACAGGCGGGTGCTTGGAGGGTGCTGTCCAAGGTGACCCCAACCTCTGTCAGTCAGTGATCTGCCCAGTGGCCTGGGAGGAAGCCAAAGCCATGCCCTCCTGCCCAGGGGAACTCCGTCTCTCCGTGGCCTCCCTTTGCTTCCGGCGAGGCCTCTTTGCTAAACGCTGGGATGCTTGTCTCCTTTGGTTTGCTGGGCCTCCTCTCCGAATGCCATTCCACATTTCTCCTCTGTCCCATGTCTATTCTTTTAGGTGAGCTATGCTTGGCAGGAAAACTCATAGTCTCTGGGATCCCACGCTAGCCCCTCTGCTAAGCCCCTCTGAAGCCCACTGACTCTTGTTGGTGAAAGAGATTTCGTGTGGAGACAGCCCCGTGTTGCCCCAGGGCCTCACCTCTCAGACCGGCAGAGTCACACAGCTCCTGCTGGCTTCTCTGGGCTCTAGCTTTCTTGGGGATGGCTTCTCACTGGCCCTCAGCAACTTCCTTTAATTCTGGTCCCCGCTGTGGCGTGCATGGCAGATTTCCTTTAACAATGTCCTGAATGATGGTGATGTGTCCTCATCTCCTAGGGTCACCACAACAAATTGCCACAAGCTGGGGGGCCCAAAGCTGCAAACATGATCTCGCATAGCCTGGAGGCCACAGGTCCAAAGTCAAGGTGTTGGTGGGCAGCACTCCCCTTGGAAGGCTCCAGGGGAAGACACTCCTGCCTCTCCCAGCTTCTGTGGCTCTAGGACTCCCCTGGCCGTGGCTGCTTCCCTCCAGCCTCTGTGTCTGTCTTTGCATGACTTCTCCCTGCAGCTCTCCGTATCTTCTTGTGGGACACCAGTCAGTAGATTCACAGCCCGCCCCGAATCCAGGATGACCTCATTTCGAGATCCTTAACTAATTCCATCTGCAAAGACCCCATTTCCAAATAAGGTCCCCTTCACAGGCACTGGGGGTTAAGAGCTGGACATATCTTCACTTTCTTCTGCCACCATTTAATTATACACATATTTGGCTAAGTCCAACTGGGAGCTGGAGAAGTTAGAGTTTCAGGGGTCCCTTCAGAGGGTGAGTGGGTGTTGGCAAGAGGACCAACTCAAAGCAAGAAAAAATAGAAAACAGCTTTCTTGTGGGAAGATCATGCTCTGGAATCTGGAGCACATGGGGAGGAAAGATGCATTTTTCAGGACTTTCTGTGCCTCCTGAGTCATACAGGATGGAATCACCTCTTGTTTACCTCCCAGGATAACTCTAGGACCCGCATTTAATGAGCAAATTGGGCTTCTTCCAGCAAATTGGTGCTGGCCAGGTGAGCCACGGCGCTGGCCTGGGCTGCTCCTGAGAGATGGGGCCTACGGTCCTGGTTTGGCTGCTGCTGATTCCTCCCAATTCCCTCTGAAGTATGATGGTAGTTTCCGCAACTCCCCCTCTGAGAACCAACACATGGGAAACATTCTGAGTGCCAGGCACTTGGCTAAGGAGCACAGAATTGCACCTGAACAGCTGTGGTGCCCTGGTTAAGTGAAATTCAGGTACGTCTGCTTGAACAAGAGTCATGGGGCCACTGTTCTGTGTGGTGGAGAGACATGATGGGGAGGGGGGTGGGCCCGCATCCCCTGGGTGGGAATCAACACACTCCGTGTGAATTAACCATCGCCAGCCCTGGTTTGTCTCTGCCCGGAGGAGACATGCTGGCACCCACACAAAAGTAATTCCAATTTCCACATTGGCTTCTGCCTCCTAGCTTTACAGGGGTTGATCCTGTAATCTCAATTTAGTGTCTCAAATGCTCATGCCTTCCATTCATGCCCGGCCTGGCCAGGGAGGGTCGCTCTGGCACGTGGGCAGGTGTATTTTTGTGGGTCATTCTGAGTGAACATAGACAAGAATGGCGATGACTGCTCTTCACACTGCCTGGGCTGTTTCTTGTGGTGTGAGGGCCCATGTGTGTCTTGGCGAGTGTTTCCTGAGTGCATCAGGCGCAGGTCCTGAGATCACCCCCATGGACAAGACTCACAGCCGAGCAAGGCGTGACGCCCTCATGAGCCCCTGCTGCTTCCCGGTAGAGTGTGCAGGGCACCGTGGAGGGAGGGCTGGGCGGCGTCCGCGGGCAAACCCTGGCTAGGGAGGCCTCTCTCGGGGGTGCCGCTGAAAGCCATGCCTCTCGCAGTGCCTGGCAGAGTGCAGAGAGAGTGAGATGGGGCTCCGGGTGGCCTCGAGTGCAATGCCGGAGCTGGGGCTGCGTGAGGACAGTGAGGCAGAGATCACCCCCGATGGAAGAGAGTGTGGGGTCAGGAGGACCCCAGCTTCATATCTGATGGGCTGAGTTGAGGGAGCCTGGAGCCCCTTTCAGAGGAGAGGGTGACAGAGGAAAAACAGGTCTGGGCCAGGGAGCAGCACAGACTGGCTTAGACGTGCTGAGTGGGACGTGAACGGCCATGGCTGGGTGTGAATGCTGAAGCTTTTTCTCTGAAGGCATTTGTGGATTCAAAGACAGTGGCTGAGAAACTGTGAATCTGAGCATAAAGTAGCAAGGACCCTATAACTCAAATAATCTCATTTGTTATATTAATTTAAAATACATTAAAGATATATTTAGCATACAATATAATATATTAATACAAAATTGCAATATAAAATAAATGTTTAATGTAAAATAAAACATATTACATATATTTAAAATAATCTTATTTAGCATATTAATTAATGATAATTAAATATTTAAATAACAGTATTTGAAGCAAAATTATTCGCAGTGTACTTTGTAGCATAGCTAGAAATACAACAGGAGACCACGCAGGACGTAAGGATGCCGCGCGGAACTGCGGTTCTGAGGCTTTCTCAGGGTTCTGAAATAGAAAGATGTCCTGTGAATATAATGACTGAGCGATGTGTACTTAATTCCTAGGCTAATATATAAACATAATACAGAGAAAGGCTACAAAGTCAATTACAGACGTCACATAGAATACTAAAAATATACAGTTTACTCACAATCAAGCAGAACAAAGAACTCACTGAATTAGTTTTTAACAAACTTCAAAATGAGAGACTTAAACCCATCATAGCAATAATTATATCAAATCTAAACACACTAAGTGCTCAAAATGAAAGGTAAATATTATGAGACTGAATCAAAACAAAACAGGAACATTCTTCCTGGAAGAAGCAGGTTTAGCTGCAACGACGTGGGGAGGAGGAAGGTGAGAGGGTGAGACGGGCCCGGGAGCTCTTCTGAGTGTGCGAGAGCTGGCGGGGCTGTGCTGGCATCAGACAGTGTGGAGCTGAAGAGGACGAGTGTTATGAGACACCGAAAAAGGGAATTTTATCACGACAAATTTATTAAAGAGGCACAATATTTTCAACATATATTAACCTAACAGCAGAGATTGTCGTTAGATTACCTAAAGCAAAATGGACAGACATAGAGAGAAACAGGTAGCCACGGTCAGCCACCTGTATCACTGATCTAGTAATTCCTTGGTAGAATAGCCAAAAAATCTTTAAGCTTATCGAATAAGAAAAGTACTGTCAACCAACTTGGATTACTTAATATTCAAAGAGCATTACAACCCACAACTACAGAGTATGCATTCTTTTCAAATGCACATGACATTTTCCTTAAGACGGATTATAAAAATGGTCTTATATATTAAATGATTAAAATTATACAGAATAGGTTCTCTAATCATAACAGCTTTAAAGTAGAAATAAGTAGCAATAAGACACTTAAATAATCCACAATTTTTTGCAAGTTAAACAACATACTTCTAAATATTCCGTGCATGAAAGAAGACATTACAAAGGGAATGAGATGGTATTTTGAATTGAATCGGAATGAAAACCTAAAGTATTAGAATTGTGGTAGGCAGTTAAAATGGAATTTAGGGGGAAATTTACAGCTTTATATATGTATGCATTTAAAAAACGGATATACATAAACCATGATCCCACCTTAAGAAGCTAGTAAGGGAAAGGTGGACTTACTAAAGTAAAAAAAAATAATAATCAGAACTCAGCTCAGATCAGAAAGTAATAAAATAGAAAACAGAAAATAATCCACTGAAGCCAAAGGTGGTTCTTTCAAAAGATTAATAATATTAGTAAACCTCTAACAACACTGATCAAGAAAAATAAAAGAAGAAAAACACAAATCACCACTATCAGGAATTAATATTACATAAATTGGAAGTCTAGCAAGGGAAAATTAGCAATTCTTTTATGTAAACAATCTCAACAACTTGATGGAAAAACAAATTCCTTGAAAAATAAGAAGTAACCAATCAGACACAGGAACAAATAGAAAATCTAAGTAAACTTAAATCTATTACAGAAACTGAATTCATACTCAAAAACATTCCCAACAAGAAAACTCCATATTCAGATGGCTTTACCAGACAATTCTTTCAAACATTTAAGAAAGAATGAACCCCAATCTTTAAAAAATTCTTTTTTTTTTTTTTTTTTTTTTGAGACAATCTTGCTCTGTCCTCCAGGCTGGAGTGCAGTGGCGCCATCTCGGCTCACGGCAACCTCTACCTCCCGGGTTCGTGCCATTCTCCTGCCTCAGCCTCCCAAGTAGCTGGGACTACAGGCACCCACAACCATGCCCAGCTAATTTTTGTATTTTTAGTAGAGGCGGGGTTTCACCATGTTGGTCAGGCTGGTATGGATCTCCTCATCTCAAATGATCCACCCACCTTGGCCTCCCAAAGTGCTGGGATTACAGGCATGAGCCACTGCACCTGGCCAACAAATTCTTTTATAAGAAGGGTGGGATCGACTCAAACACCATCAAAGAGATTATGAAGAGGGTAGTTGCAGACCAGTATCATTCCTCCACAAAGATTCAGAAAGACTTAATGAAATTTTTCTATTTAAATCAAGCATTGGGACAAGGTGGGTTTTAACTCCAGAAGGCAAGGTTGGTTTAACATTAAAAAATCAAGGTAATGCACATCAGGAGGATAAAAGAGGAAAAAACAAACGTAATTATCTTAATAGATGTGGCAAAAGTGCATGATAAATTCAGCACCTCTTCATAGCAAAAACCCTCGCCAAAACAGGAGTCAACGTGGAAAATCTGATGAAGGACATTTATGAAAAACTTACAGCTAACACCTTAATTGATGTTAAAATACTGAACATTTCTTCCTGAGGAAGAGGAAGCAGGCCAAGACGTCCACTCCTTCCACTTCTATCAAAATTGTACTGGAGATTCTTGCCAGTAACTTAGGAAAAACAAAGAAATAAAAACAATATGAATTGGAAAAGATGAAGTCCAAGCATTTTTAGCTGCAGAGTCAGTATGACTCTGCACATAGAAAATCTCTTAGACGTGAGTCAGTATGACTGTGCACACAGAAAATCTCTTAGAGGTGAGTCAGTATGACTCTGCACACAGAAAATCTCTTAGACGTGAGTCAGTATGACTGGACACAGAAAATCTCTTAGACGTGAGTCAGTATGACTGTGCACACAGAAAATCTCTTAGATATGAGTCAGTATGACTGTGCACACAGAAAATCTCTTAGACGTGAGTCAGTATGACTGTGCACATAGAAAAAAATCTCTTAGACGTGAGTCAGTATGACTGTGCACACAGAAAATCTCTTAGATATGAGTCAGTATGACTGTGCACACAGAAAATCTCTTAGACGTGAGTCAGTATGACTGTGCACACAGAAAATCTCTTAGAGGTGAGTCAGTATGACTGTGCACACAGAAAATCTCTTAGATGTGAGTCAGTATGACTGTGCACACAGAAAATCTCTTAGACGTGAGTCAGTATGACTGTGCACACAGAAAATCTCTTAGACGTGAGTCAGTATGACTGGACACAGAAAATCTCTTAGACGTGAGTCAGTATGACTGTGCACATAGAAAAAAATCTCTTAGATGTGAGTCAGTATGACTGTGCACACAGAAAATCTCTTAGATATGAGTCAGTATGACTGTGCACACAGAAAATCTCTTAGACGTGAGTCAGTATGACTGTGCACACAGAAAATCTCTTAGACGTGAGTCAGTATGACTGTGCACACAGAAAATCTCTTAGATGTGAGTCAGTATGACTGTGCACACAGAAAATCTCTTAGACGTGAGTCAGTATGACTGTGCACACAGAAAATCTCTTAGACGTGAGTCAGTATGACTGGACACAGAAAATCTCTTAGACGTGAGTCAGTATGACTGTGCACATAGAAAAAAATCTCTTAGACGTGAGTCAGTATGACTGTGCACACAGAAAATCTCTTAGACATGAGTCAGTATGACTGGACATAGAAAATCTCTTAGACGTGAGTCAGTATGACTCTGCACATAGAAAAAATCTCTTAGACGTGAGTCAGTATGACTGTGCACACAGAAAAAAATCTCTTAGACGTAAGTCAGTATGACTGTGCACATAGAAAAAATCTCTTAGATGTGAGTCAGTATGACTGTGCACACAGAAAATCTCTTAGACGTGAGTCAGTATGACTGTGCACACAGAAAATCTCTTAGACATGAGTCAGTATGACTGTGCACACAGAAAATCTCTTAGACGTGAGTCAGTATGACTGTGCACACAGAAAATCTCTTAGACGTGAGTCAGTATGACTGTGCACATAGAAAATCTCTTAGACGTGAGTCAGTATGACTGTGCACACAGAAAAAAATCTCTTAGACGTAAGTCAGTATGACTCTGCACATAGAAAAAATCTCTTAGACGTGAGTCAGTATGACTGCACATAGAAAATCTCTTAGATGTGAGTCAGTATGACTCTGCACATAGAAAAAATCTCTTAGACGTGAGTCAGTATGACTGTGCACACAGAAAATCTCTTAGACGTGAGTCAGTATGACTGCACATAGAAAATCTCTTAGATGTGAGTCAGTATGACTGTGCACATAGAAAAAATCTCTTAGACGTGAGTCAGTATGACAGTACACAGAGAAAAAATATCTTAGATGTGAGTCAGTATGACTGTGCACATAGAAAAAATATCTTAGACATGAGTCAGTATGACAGTGCACACAGAAAATCTCTTAGACGTGAGTCAATATGACTCTGCACACAGAAAATCTCTTAGACGTGAATCAGTATGACTGTGCACACAGAAAATCTCTTAGACGTGAATCAGTATGACTGCGCACACAGAAAATCTCTTAGACGTGAATCAGTATGACTGTGCACACAGAAAATCTCTTAGACGTGAATCAGTATGACTGTGCACACAGAAAATCTCTTAGACATGAGTCAGTATGACTGTGTACATAGAAAAAATCTCTTAGACGTGAGTCAGTATGACTGTGCACACAGAAAAAAATCTCTTAGACGTAAGTCAGTATGACTGTGCACATAGAAAAAATCTCTTAGATGTGAGTCAGTATGACTGTGCACACAGAAAATCTCTTAGACGTGAGTCAGTATGACTGTGCACACAGAAAATCTCTTAGACGTGAGTCAGTATGACTGTGCACACAGAAAATCTCTCAGACATGAGTCAGTATGACTGTGCACATAGAAAATCTCTTAGACGTGAGTTAGTATGACTCTGCACATAGAAAAAATCTCTTAGATGTGAGTCAATATGACTGTGCACACAGAAAATCTCTTAGACGTGAGTCAGTATGACTGTGCACACAGAAAATCTCTTAGACGTGAGTCAGTATGACTGTGCACACAGAAAATCTCTTAGACATGAGTCAGTATGACTGTGCACATAGAAAATCTCTTAGACGTGAGTCAGTATGACTCTGCACATAGAAAAAATCTCTTAGATGTGAGTCAGTATGACTGCACATAGAAAATCTCTTAGATGTGAGTCAGTATGACTCTGCACATAGAAAAAATCTCTTAGACGTGAGTCAGTATGACTGCACATAGAAAATCTCTTAGATGTGAGTCAGTATGACTCTGCACATAGAAAAAATCTCTTAGACGTGAGTCAGTATGACTGTGCACACAGAAAAAAATCTCTTAGACGTAAGTCAGTATGACTGTGCACATAGAAAAAATCTCTTAGACGTGAGTCAGTATGACTGCACATAGAAAATCTCTTAGATGTGAGTCAGTATGACTGTGCACATAGAAAAACATCTCTTAGACGTGAGTCAGTATGACTGTGCACATAGAAAATCTCTTAGACGTGAGTCAGTATGACTGTGCACATAGAAAAAATCTCTTAGATGTGAGTCAGTATGACTCTGCACATAGAAAAAATATCTTAGATGTGAGTCAGTATGACTGTGCACATAGAAAAAATATCTTAGACATGAGTCAGTATGACAGTGCACACAGAAAATCTCTTAGATGTGAGTCAATATGACTCTGCACACAGAAAATCTCTTAGACGTGAATCAGTATGACTGTGCACACAGAAAATCTCTTAGACGTGAGTCAGTATGACTGTGCACACAGAAAATCTCTTAGACATGAGTCAATATGACTGTGCACACAGAAAATCTCTTAGACGTGAGTCAGTATGACTGGACACAGAAAATCTCTTAGAGGTGAGTCAGTATGACTGTGTACATAGAAAAAATCTCTTAGACGTGAGTCAGTATGACTGTGCACACAGAAAATCTCTTAGACGTGAGTCAGTATGACTGTGCACACAGAAAATCTCTTAGACGTGAGTCAGTATGACTGTGCACACAGAAAATCTCTTAGACGTGAGTCAGTATGACTGTGCACACAGAAAATCTCTTAGACGTGAGTCAATATGACTGTGCACACAGAAAATCTCTTAGACGTGAGTCAGTATGACTGGACACAGAAAATCTCTTAGACGTGAGTCAGTATGACTGTGCACACAGAAAATCTCTTAGATATGAGTCAGTATGACTGGACCTAGAAAATCTCTTAGACGTGAGTCAGTATGACTGTGTACATAGAAAAAATCTCTTAGACGTGAGTCAGTATGACTGTGCACACAGAAAATCTCTTAGATATGAGTCAGTATGACTGGACATAGAAAATCTCTTAGACGTGAGTCAGTATGACTGTGCACACAGAAAATCTCTTAGACATGAGTCAATATGACTGTGCACACAGAAAATCTCTTAGACGTGAGTCAGTATGACTGGACACAGAAAATCTCTTAGAGGTGAGTCAGTATGACTGTGTACATAGAAAAAATCTCTTAGACGTGAGTCAGTATGACTGTGCACACAGAAAATCTCTTAGACGTGAGTCAGTATGACTGTGCACACAGAAAATCTCTTAGACGTGAGTCAGTATGACTGTGCACACAGAAAATCTCTTAGACGTGAGTCAGTATGACTGTGCACACAGAAAATCTCTTAGACGTGAGTCAATATGACTGTGCACACAGAAAATCTCTTAGACGTGAGTCAGTATGACTGGACACAGAAAATCTCTTAGACGTGAGTCAGTATGACTGTGCACACAGAAAATCTCTTAGATATGAGTCAGTATGACTGGACCTAGAAAATCTCTTAGACGTGAGTCAGTATGACTGTGTACATAGAAAAAATCTCTTAGACGTGAGTCAGTATGACTGTGCACACAGAAAATCTCTTAGATATGAGTCAGTATGACTGGACATAGAAAATCTCTTAGACATGAGTCAGTATGACTGTGCACATAGAAAATCTCTTAGATATGAGTCAGTATGACTGGACATAGAAAATCTCTTAGACGTGAGTCAGTATGACTGTGTACATAGGAAAAATCTCTTAGACGTGAGTCAGTATGACTGTGCACACAGAAAATCTCTTAGATATGAGTCAGTATGACTGGACATAGAAAATCTCTTAGACGTGAGTCAGTATGACTGTGCACACAGAAAGTCTCTTAGATGTGAGTCAGTATGACTGTGCACATAGAAAATCTCTTAGACGTGATGAATTACACTAGCGAGGTGATCACGGGTCCACCTCTGTCTCGTGACTTAGCAATTTCACTCGCAGGCATTTACCTGGGGGTAGGGGTGCTGCCTGTCACCATAAGCAACTTCATAAGAATGTTTATAGCTCTGTTATCCGTAATCGCCCCAAACTGAAAATAACCAAAAAGTCTAAAAACAGAGCAGAAAGTGTGTGTAGAGACAAGGGAGCTTCCTGGCAGGACGGAGATGGTTTGTGTCTTGCTGTGGGTGCTGGGACACAATTTATACAATTGCTAAAGTTTATCAAACTGAACATTGAAGGTCTTTGTATTTTTGTATGTTCATGATATATTCAAACAAAACACTACAGCAATTCCCCACATTAATAGAATAAACCAGGAGAAAATGATAATCTTAGGCACAAAAAGTCTTTTGAAAAACATCAATATTCTTTTTTTTTTTTTTTTTTTTTTTTTTAAGATGGAGTCTTCCTCTGTCGCCCAGGCTAGAGTGCAGTGGCACGATCTCGGCTCACTGCAACCTCCACCTCCCAGGTTCAAGCGATTTTCCTGCCTCAACCTCCCGAATAGCTGAGATTACAGGCGCCCACCACTGCATCCAGCTAATTTTTGTATTTTTAGTAGAGATGGGGTTTCACCATGTTGGTCAGGATGGTGTCGAACTCCTGACCTCGTGATCCACCCGCCTGGGCCTCCCAAAGTGCTGGGATTACAGGTGTGAGCCGCCGCTCTCGGTCCAATATTCATTATTGATAAAATATTTGACAAACTGGGAAGAGAATGGAGTTTCCTTAATCTGATAATGCCAGGCAGCTGATGACATGATGGTGCGACAGGGATGCTCCCATCCTCCCTCAATTTTCATATTGAACTGCAGATTTTAGGCGGATCATTAAGGGGAGGGGAATAACTCAAGCATGAGGACCAGAATATAAAAAATCAAAGTTATTTGGGTACAACAGAATTGACTAGGTAACACTTCAAAAAGGTCACAGAATAATTATGAGAATTAATAAGTTGCATGTATCTTGGTTCCTGGAACAAGGTAAATATCATGTTTGTTTTTATATAAAAATCAACAATTAAAAATGGAATTTTAAAAACTGTTCTATAAATAGTATCAAAAATAAATAAATCTATGAAAAGTGTGCGTGACCTCTGAGCAGAAAGCGTCATCGAGAGAAAGGAAAGGCAGTCCAAGGGAACTCGAGCTCCACACCGCAGGGGTCAGGCTGGACCCACACGGCAGGGTCAGGCTGGACCCACACGGCAGGCATGAGGCTGGACCCACAGGGCAGGGTCAGGCTGGACCCACAGGGCAGGGATCAGGCTGGACCCACAGGGCAGGGATCAGGCTGGACCCACAGGGCAGGAGTCAGGCTGGACCCACAAGGCAGGGTCAGGCTGGACCCACACAGCAGGCGTGAGGCTGGACCCGCACCAGAGGGGTCTGACTGAGCTTCCATCTGAGGCTGTGAGGGGCAGAGGAGAGGCCATGAGGCTCAGCTGAGGACACATCCCGGGGGCTCTGACACAGCTCCCGGCCTTGGCACTGGGAGAGAAGCGAGGGTGGAGGAAGGATTTGCAGAGCTGACAGCACTTGCTCCTTTATTCCCCCAAATGTGAGCCTGGTTTTCTCAGAACCGCCTTCCCCACTTCCCTCCTAACTCAGGAACCTCCCCGCTTATCCTCATGGCCACCTGCTTTTTGTCTCTGCAGCATTTCATGCAAACTAAAGTTATTTTACTTAGTTTGTTTACATGGAACCATTTTGGTTTGTGTAAAATGTACAGAGACCATAGAAGCAGGTGGCCATGAACAGACACCGGGAAGCTGGGGGACACTGCATGAGGAGAGGAGTGGGGGACGTTTCTTCTGCTGAGACGGAAGCCGCAGGAGCCAGGTCAGGAGAAGCTCTTTCTGACAGAGGTACCCGGTGCTGGGCCAGGCTCTGAGTCAAGGCCATGAGCAAGGTGGGCGTGGCCCTGTTCCCCCAGACTGTGCACGGAAGGCGACCAGTACAGCAGGGGCTTTCAGGGATGTATTTAATTACATGTGAGGTACAAGGAGAGTGCCAGTCCAGAGCCCCACTGCTTCCTGGAATGGAGTGGTCAGAGGAATCCTGAGTAAACTGGAGCCGGAGGGAGTAAGAGTTAACAGGAGAAGGAGGGCGGGAAGGTGGGGCTTCCTAGGAGGCACGCACAGTACCCGAGCCCTGAGCCCTGAGCTGGGGAACAGTGGGGCAGGGTTAGGGAATGAGGACAGGAGGACAGCCAGCCCTCCAGGACAGGAGTGCATACTAGAAGGGATGCAGAGGAAGCAGAGCCAGGCAGGTGGGACATCGCAGGTGGGGTCATAATTTTCGACCCAATGGCAGTGGAAAGCAGCTGAGGTCTGGTAACCAAGAGTGTGACCCAGTGAGATTCATGGTTTAGAGACAGTGTGCTTTCAGAACCAGGAGAAAGATGGGTGGCCACTCGGACCAGAGTGATCGCCCAGAGATGGAGGCCTCATAGACTGGAGAAATGTTTTCTACTCGAAATCACCACACTTGAAGATTGGTTGGAGCGGAGTTGGAGGAAAAGGAAAGGCTGACTGAAAGTGTCTGGGGAGTGATATTGAGAGGAGTGTGGATTCGTAGAACACACACCTGGATGGGGAGAGCGGACACCCGAACTCCATCACGGAAAGCCCTGGAAGCCTTGGGAAAGGATGAGTTGACGAGCAGCTGTGTTGAAGGCCACCCCTGTGGGGGATGGTGGTGTGCTGAGGCCGGCCACTATCAGCTGCTTTCTAGACTGAGTGGCTCTGTTTCATGCAATTTTTATAGAATTTTGTGTGCTAAGTAGGACACATGATCTTTTAATTACAGAGCAGAACCATAACCAAGCTCAGACCTTGGAGCCTGCTGCATTTGGTGTTGACTGAGGACTGCCCTCAGCCTGCCTGGCGAGTCAACACCTTGCAGATCATCACCATCCACTCCCCAAGTGTCCAGATGATTGGGCTTCCTGAAGTGGCTGCAGATCTTGCTCTGACTCCAGGTTGGATAAAGTGAGGTTGAAGGTGGGGGTGTCAAAGGTGACTCAGATTTCACCAGGTGCAGGGAGCTTTCCAGGGATGGGGAAGACACGCCAAGGCTCTCTGAGGAGGCAAAGGCCAGGTGCATCCTGTGCGTGTTGCTTGCAAGAATCTTTGCATACTGAGTGGAGAAGGTCAGGTGCATCCTGTGTGTGTTGCTTGCAGGGATCTTTGCATACCGAATGGAGAAGGTCAGGTGCATCCTGTGCATGTCGCTTGCAGGGATCTTTGCATACCGAATGGAGAAGGTCAGGTGCATCCTGTGCATGTCGCTTGCAGGGATCTTTGCATACTGAGTGGAGAAGGTCAGGTGCATCCTGTGTGTGTTGCTTGCAGGGATATTTGCATACTGAGGGGAGGTGTGCAGATGCAGGAGTGGAGCTCATCGGATCCCTTACAAGGCGATGCATTGATTTCATGTCTAACCTGAGAACTGCAGTTTTTAGTCCCTTTTACGAGGCTGGGGAGCCAGGAGAAGCACGGCATTTGGGGAGAAAGGCAGTCACCTTGAGCTTGGATATGCCACATTGAGGCCTTTGTCACACACTCCATCCAAGTAGAGATTAATCCAGGACAGTGGGGCCTCGATGTGGCCTCTCTCCTTTCGGATTTGTGATCTAAGCCTGCATCCTGCTGTTTTAATTCACCCTTCAGCCTCTAAGCCCCACAGGTTCTGGTCTTTGGTGAAATCTAAGTAATGACCATCCCCTTCCTGGGAGAATCTTCTGTTTTCTCCCACCTGACTGACTCCTTTGTTTCCAGCCACCCTTTGCAATTTGGGTCACAGAAGTACCACTCAAGTGCTCCATCAGGGAACTGACCACATGCAGTGTGGAACCTTTGGTGGGACCACGTTGACAAGGGTGGCCTCTGCGCCTTTGGCTAGGGAGAAGACTTCTAAGTGGGTTGCAATTCTGTGTGCTCAATTATTCAGCAGACTTTTTAGCTGAAAGTGTTGAAAGGATTTGCAATCTGTTATATTGCGGGTGCCTGCTATGAAATTCTCCATGTCCCTCGAGTTCTTTAGGCAACTGACAAAATGAGGGTATGAAATAACTTTTTGTTCCCTGTTAATAATGTCGGGGGAATGCAGAATCGATGCTTTTAAATATTTCATGGCCTTTCATTCTGAGATGGGTAAACAGAGGAGAAGCAAACTGCAAGACTTACATGTTAGTGGTCGGTAAAGACTAATGACCCAGCGCAGTAACTCATAAGACAAGTTGGGCTAAAAAATCTCCCACTGAGATCCCATTCCCCAAGGTGGCACAGACTGGCAAACCAAATGTGTGAGAAAGGGGGCAGGTGCGTTATTCCCCAACTTCACACCCCATGGCCCTGAATACCCTCCTGTTAATGCAGGCAGCAGAGGGAGGGGACACACCCTCCAGGAAGCAAGTGGGAGTCCCCACTTTTGTTTTTTTGTTTTTAGCCACTGCACTGCTGCACACAGATTTTCACTTTCTTTTGGAAGCAGAATGAACCCATTCAACACTTTGCTGATGAGAAAAAAGACATAAGGAGGGTGATATTTCTCAAAATCTAGTTTTTCCTGAAATTTAGCTGATATTAAATGACTCTTAGGCTCGCTCAAACGGGCACCCACACTAAAGATGATAAGAAACTGCCTTTGTCCTCTTCTTCCTATCCAAACGTCTGCTCCATCACCATCAATTCTGTCTTTAACCTCCTGTAACCGGGTCATGTTATTTCACCAAGTCTGCACTGGAAAAATTAACTACCTGGTTCCATATTGTCAAATCCAAGGGGCACAGTGAGTTCTTTTCCTATTTGACACTGTTGATCGCTCCCTCTGGCTTAACTCTCTCCTCATTAATTCTGTAAAATGACTTTATAGCACTTCTTCTTTTATCTCTCCAATCACGCTTCCCATTGTCCTTCAGAACATTTGTTTTACTGAATTTACTCTGTCCATCTCCTGCGCGCCACTGGTCTTCAAGGGTCCATTCTGATCTCGTTTCTTTATTCGCCCTGCTCTGGGAAAAGCACCTGGGGGTAGGTGCAAGCGGGAGGAAGTTCGACTCGGAGGAATTGTTTTTCACTCAAGCCCTGCAGTTTAATTCCAAAGCATCGGGAAGGAAGGCACGGGGGTTTCCACTTCTGGAGGGAGGGAGCGCATGAGGGGTGTTGGGAATTGTCATGACCTCTTAATCCAGGGCTGCCCACAAGCTGGCTTTGACATCTGCCTTGGTGCTGATATGTTAGAGGTGGCGTCTCCAGCCTGGACTGTCTCTGGAATTCACCGATCTGACACCACCCCTACCCACACCCTACACCTGACACAGGCAACTCCCGCCAGTCCCGTCTCAGGTCATCATCCTCATGGTCAGATACCGTCTCTCCCCGGATTCCATGTGTCAGCTGGAACTACCAAGAACATCCAATCCCCCCACAGAAGATTTTAACTATCTGAAGTTTAAATAATATAATAACTATCTAAAATTTAAATAACCAACTCTCTGACCACTGCCTCCTGGCTTTAGCAATCTCTCCATCATTCCCAGAATATTACTTGCACATACTGCAAACAAACCGCCTCCTGATGGCCTCTGTCCACTCCACGAGCTCTCCTGCCTCCCAGCAGAGTCCAGAACCCCAGTGCTTGCTCCGATTTTCTTTCTCCTGAGCTGAGGGGGTGGGGTGTACCCCACCCTGCCGAACCTTATTTTTGGATATCATTGCTTTATCTGCTGAAACTGTTAGAGAAAACTGTAGAATTGTCCAGTCTGATGACATGACTAATTGATAGCCATGGTCTCCATTCCACCAGGTCCCAGCCCTGGTCTTCCTCCTCCCCATGTCTCTGGGATGGGGCACAGAAGCTTCTCCCTGACTGTCATCCCCTTCCCCCGTCATTTGCTGTCCTGAGGGCATCTTTCGCGCCCACAGTCCTTACTCTCTTTCCATTCCTACCTCAGGACATTGTCCCCAGAAACGCATCCCATCATCTTGGCCCCGTTCCTTTCATAAATTCCCTTAGACAGAGATTCCTCTCTCCCGGATTTGCCGCTGCACTTTTTCTTTCCCTGGCAAATTCAAACGTCCTTAAGTTTTTCCTATCTTAGTAAAAAGTAAAGATGAAATAAATAAGTAAAAAATAAATAAATAGATGAAAGAAAGCTTTGGTTCCAACGGAACCCTCCATGTGTCCTCCTCCCGCCCCCTCATGTGTCTTGAAAGAGTGGGACTCAGTTTCCTCAATCCCCAGAGCCCCGAATCCAGCCGGCTACTGACATCTACCCTCATCCCCGTCCGCTGGAAACTCCTGTTGCCAGGTCAACTTTCCTCAAGTCCCAGAGCCGACTAACATCTACCCCCGTCCCATCCACTGGAAGCTCCCGTGGCGAAGTCAACCTCCTGTTGCAAGGCCCAGAGGCTGCATTTAAGGACTGTCTTTTGAGCTCTCTACACGGTTGGAGCTGTTGGCCATTCTCTGTTTTCTTTGTGGAGAGTAGAGGGAATAAGGGGAGAGTTCTTCGCTTCGACCTGACTTTGCACATCTGGATCTAAAATAGCTCATCGTGTGCACCTTTCACAGAAACACTCCCACGCACTCACCGCAGAAGACGGAAACTTCTCCGGAGATGATGCCCTGGGATAGATCTCAGATGGAGACAAGAATCCCACATAATTCCATCCCTTGGGAAAGAAAAACTGTTAAATAGCATTTCATCCCAACAGTGAATAAACTCTTGCACTCTCGCACATATATTTCAAGGTCTCCACTATATAGATTTTATTCTATTTTTTTCACTGATTACACTTATTTTACTGTGTGGTTAAACAATGCCAATAACGTGGTTATAAATTTGATGTCAATAACAATGAATTTGTAAGAGAAATATATGTAATTTTGAAATGTTGATCAAATCATGGTAATATTAAACCTTATTTTATATTAGCCAAATTTAGAAAATTGAATGGAACATGTATAAGATATTAAATTATGATGAATCGTTTTTTTTACATAAAGAACTGGCTTGGTTAAAAGTTAAATTAGTTAGCATATTGAAGGCACCTGTACCAAGGCTAAGTGCTACAAAGATGTTATAGCTGCTATTGTTATTATGAGTCCAATATTTACTTTATACAGTAGACCCTTAAATAACCTGAGGTTTATGGGCACTGATCCCCTACACAGTGAAAAATACTCATACAACTTTGGACTCCCCCAAAACTTAGCTCCTGAGGGCCAACTGTTGACTGGAAGCCTTACAGATAACATAAAAACTCAATTAACACATAATTTGCATCTGTGTTATATACTGTATTTTTATAATAAAGTAAGATAGAGAAAGGAAAATGTTATGAAGAAAGTCCTAAGGAAGAGAAAATCTACAGACTATTCATTAGGTGGGAGTGGGGCACGATCAAGGTCTCCATCCTCGTCGTCTTCACGTCAAGTGGGCTGAGGAGGAGCAGAAGGAGGAGGAACTGGTCTTGCTGTCTCAGGAACGGCCGTGGTGGAAGAAAATCCAAGTATTAGTGGAGGAACATGGGTTCAGTTGGAAACATGGAACTGCAGAAAAGAATGAACAGAATCAGAAAAGGAAAATGTACTGTTTGTTGCTTAGAGTAACAATAATAACCGTATCCTTTGCATTTCTAAAGTAGATGGTGGCAACCGCCAAAGGACAGATGAGAAGTAAATATACTTAAATAATGATAGATTCTTGCATTCTTTAATAAGTGATAAAAAATTAATTTAAGATAAACTGTAAGGATAAGTAAGATAAACTGTAAGGATAAGTAAGATAAACTGTAAATTAAGGATACACATTTAAACCTTCATGCGTTCAGGAAGAAAATAACACTAACATGCATAACTGATAATATAAAGGATATAAAATAATAAAAATACTTGATCACTGGAAATAAGGCAAGAAAAGAGGAAGGAACAAAGAGTAGACGGGTTGAATGCAGCACTCCTAGCAAGATGGCAGACTTCATGCAGTTATATCATCGGTTCCATGACATGGAAATGGGCCAGACATTCTGATTAAAATCCAAGGAGCATTTGTTTGAATGTTATTTTAAATACACCCAGCTATGTGCTATTTGTAATATAAATGCTTTAAATAGAAGGAAACACATTGAACACATTGATTGTAAGGTAAAGGATGGAAAAATACACACCATGCAAACACAAACCAAAAGAAAGTTTGAGGCCAGGCATGGTGGCTCACGCCTGTAACCCAGCACTTTGGAAGGCTGAGGCAGGGGGATTGCTTGAGCTCAGGGGTTTGAGATCATCCTGGCCAACAAGGTGAAACACCGTCTCTACTAAAAATACAAAAAAAATTTAGCCAGGCCTGGTAGCATGTGCCCCTAGCCCCAGCTACTCTGCAGACTGAGGTGGGAGAATCACTTGAGCCCTGGAGGCAGAGGTTGCAGTGAGCCAAGATCATACCACTGCACTCCAGCCTGGGCTACAGAGTGAGACCCTGTCTCAAAAAAAAAAAAAAAAAAAAAAAAAAAAAAAAAGAAAAGAAAAGAAAAAGAAAGAAAGAAAGAAAGTTTGAGACTATACGAAGCTATACCCATTTCAATTTCAAACAAACAGAATGTAAAGCAAGACGTGCTGCCAGAAATAAAGAAGGATTTTTAACAATGACAAAGGGCCGATTCCACAGGGGGAGATAACAATCTTAAATGTACATGCACCTAATGACACAGCTTCAGTTAGATGAAGGGAAACTCGGCAGACTGGGAGAGAAGCTCCCAAGTCTATGTCGAGTTGATATTCCTCCATACTTCCCTCACTAACGCTACCTGCAACCACATCTAAAACCTACAGAACACACATGCTTTCCAAGTTTTTAAGTTTTAGTGCAAGATTTATGAAAATAGACCATATGCTAGGCCAAAAAACAAGGCTTAATACATTTCAAATTATTGGAATCATGCACATTATATATTCTTATCATAATGTAATTAAACTGGAAGTCAGTTACAAAAAGATTATGAAAAAAGCCCCAAATATTTAGAAATTGTGAAACACATTTTAGATTTCCCATGAATTGAAGAAGAAATCATAGCAAAATTAGAAAATATTTAAACTGAATAAAATAAGAACTAGATGTGTATGTGTGTATATATATATATATATATATATATATATATATATATATGTATATAACATATAATATGTAACATATATAGAACAGATCTAAACTTGTGGGAAACAGCCAAAGCAAAACTTAGAGGGAGATTATAGCTTTAAATGCCTATGTTAAAAAGAACAAAATTTGAAAATCAATGATGTAAACTTTCAATTCAAGGAACTATGAAAAGAACAGTATATAAAACCCCCAAAAACTGAAGAAGGAAAATAAAGATAAGACCAAAAATCAATGAAATAGAAAGCAGATTTACCTTTGACAGGTTCGTTCTTTGGAAGTATTAGCTAATAATTCATTTCCTAGGAATAATATTTTAAAAAACCAGAAAGAAAACACAAGTTATGACTGTTAGCAATAAAATAGGAATATTCATTAAAGGTCAATAGATATTAACAGGGCACAAAGAGGATATTAAGAGTAACTTTTTGCCTGTTAGTTTTATATTGAGGAAATGGACAAAAGACCTCCCACCGTAGGATTCCACGGCATTGATCTTATGAAAAAGGCAGGCCGTAGGGAAAGAGAACGCCTCGGCCGGGGAGCTGGTAACCCTCCTCGTGGGATCCTGTCTTGAGGGTCCCAGGACGCTGCAGTCCCGGGGTGGAGGGGCTTCGGGCACCTGGTCGCTCCCTCTGCCTGCAGATAAAACTGCCGTCTCCAGAGCCCACTTGCCAGCTTCCTGGAAAACAGGAGCGGCCTCTGCCTGCCCAGTGCTTGGAGGTCACCTTGGCAGATGATGGCATTCGGTGGCTGCTCCTGTCACCAAAGTCAGGACAGAGTGCGTGGGGAGTGGCTCCGCCTCCTGGCTCAGGACCCGGGCATCTCATGGTGGGTGCCCACTGAGCATCATGGCCTCTCCCAGCAATGCTGGGACCCCGTCTCTCTCTCCTCGTGGCTGTGCATAGGTCATTTCCTTTGTTATTTTGGAGCTCCAAGTTCTGCAGCAGCCACAGCCCGCGTCCTTTCTCGGGGCTTCCTGACTCCACTCTGGGTCACCTGTGTGTCTCCCTTTTTCTGGGCTTGTTTGTGCAGTGGATGCTGCCTCATTACGGAGCTCCACGCCATGTTCTTCTTGCATCAGGATGTGGACAGGGTGAGCAGGGCCAGCTTCGCCTCCTGGGCTGCCCCTGGCTGTTCACTGCTGAGCCATCGTCTCTGCTCTTCCCAACTCCAGTCACACTTGTCCTGGCTTTGGAGCAGTTTCCTGGGTGGACGTCTCCCTGTGCTTCCCCAGCTGGAACCAGCCCCACAGGCCCCCTGTGGCAGCAGCATGAGGCTGGGAGTTGGCCCCTCCTGCAGGGACCGGGACTTTTCTTCCTCTGAAACAGCTCCTTTATCCCCTGTTTTGCTGACTTTGCCTTGTGGATGCCTCTGGCATCTTCTCTGTTTGTTTCTGGTCCTGAGGCCTCCCGGGCCCTGCTTTCCTTCCGGACTCTGGGGCTGACCGTGGCCATACTCCCAGGTGCGAGTGACCTGCAGAGACGGAGGCTTCCCAACCCCAGGCAATGCCCACCGTGTCCCTCTTCCAGGGACCTACCGCCGCCCTGGGTGTTCCTCCTGGCTATGCCCACGTGGTCATCACTGAGGCACTCTGGGCCTCCCTCCTTGGGCTGGGTCTGGCTCTTCTGCACCCTGAAAGCGATGCCTGCAGCTGGCTGGCCTGCCCAGCACCCGGTGCTTCCCTGGGCTTCTGCTCACCTCCCCACAGCTCTGCCCTTTCCAGCCCGAGGACGGCCTGGCAGTCGGCACTCAGGACAGGAGCCCTCCAGAGCAGAGGCTGTCTGGTCATAGGCGGGGGCGGCCTCCAGCAGGGCCACCCAATGGCTGGTCATTCCTGGGGACAGAGAGGGTGGGGACTGAGTCAGACAGTCCCATGAGGGCTGAGCTGCTGCCATCTCCAGGCTGAGTCATTGTTCTTCCCACCAGGCCCTTCCTGCATACCAGGGAGAGGCTCATTCACCTCCCTCAGCCAGTGCCCCTGATGCTGTCCCCCCAGCCAGGTCCTGCTGACTGGAAGGCTGCAGGGAGGACCTCGGAGTGCGCAGGGAAGAAGGACCCAACCCAAGAGCCGTCCCCAGTGCAGACGGCAGAGACTGCAGCTGCGGGAGCCTTCAGACCTGCTCCAGGCCCCAGAGTCCAGGGCCCATTCTGAGCACTCTCCCTGGTGCTGAGGCTCAGGAAACCTGGGGGCGGGGTGGGGGTGATGCTGTTTTTCTCCCAATTCAGTGAAAGGATGTGTCCTCCCCATGAAGGCTGGGGGTGCAGGGAACGGGGCCGTGGTGCTGACAGTGGTGAGCGGTTTCTCTTTCTTCTGAGGATGCCGCTGCTTTCACTGAGTTCCAAGGGCTTCGTTTAAGCAGGCGCCTAGCTAAAGCAGGCAAGAGAGGAAGAATCACTCAAGGCACCCAGGCTCCTTCACCACGACTCCCTGGCTCACGCACTTCCCTCGGGCGCCGTCCTGATTTCCCTGCAGCACCTGGACGTTCCCCGGCCTGGGACTCCGACCACCTGACTCCCACCCCACAGCACCCATCTGCCAGCCCAGAGGCCTGAAGCAAATCTGTGGGGGTCAGTAACCCGCTCTGCATGCGGAAAGCCTGGGATCACCCTGTCCCCGGGCCGTGTCTTCTGTGGGGTCACAGCTGAAGGCACAGACCACAGTGGAAATGCACGTGCTGCTGGGCATGGGGGGCCGGGGTGTGGGGGGGGCACGGGCTGCGGGCATGGGGGGCCCAGCACACAGCTCTCCTGGTGGGGACACACTTAGGAGACTCAATGAGCCCACAGGGTCCAGAGAGTCCCTTTGGGGCTTTTCAGAGAGACTTAGACTGTGAAAAGGATTCTGTAGAAAGTGGAGCCCGAATGAGCCTGGGCATCCCAGCGCCCCCAAGGCTTGGACCAGGTGTCCAGAGGAGCTTTCAGGCTGGGGGACCACGTGAGCCGGGTGGACCTGGCGACAGCCCGGTGCCCGTCTGCTGTCCTGCCGTCCTGTGCAACTACGCCCCATGCCCCTTTCACCCTCGAGTGTGCCCAGGCTGAAGGAGAAAGCACGTCCATCTCTGGATCCGTCTCCTCCTGGGGAGATTTTCAAGGATTCTTTGCCGTTTCAGACATGGCTGGAAACACCCACCCGGGACTCTAAAATCCCAGGGCAGGGCTGGGTGGACTTGCTTTACGAAGCTTGCGAACAGGGTGCTGTACCGGTTCCCATCTTCGTGGTGGCAGGGAGGGACTGCAGGACAGGGAGGGCCGTCACTGGCCTGGAGGTGACAAGGACGCTGCAGAGGCCACCATGTCTCAGGGCAGAGGCCACCAAGTCTCAGTGCGGAGACCTGGGCCTGGTGTTCCATGGCTTTGGAGAGGGCTCCTGGTGGAGCTTATGGTTAATTAACATGGAGTCTTGATTCACACGTGAAGCAAGTTCCCATCTCCACTTGCTCCTCCCTGACATTTGGGCTGTCACGAGCCCCGGCAGGCTGGGGGTGGCCTGCATGAGCTTCTCAGCTGAGCACAAAGGGTGTGGGCTTGGAGGGGTCTCAATGGAGTGAGGAGCATTAGCCCAGGAAACGACGCCTCTCCCGAGTGTTTTAAGAATGCACCATTCGTCCGTGTGCGTGTGTCATGCGAGGTGCGCCGGGAAGGAGCTTGGCTTAGGCAGCACCTGCTTCTCTCTGAAAACCACCGGAATGGTCGGCCTGCATCCCAGGAAGCTCACCACATGCAATAAGGAGGCAGGCATCGTTTGGAAAGAGCGGGCTGTCGGTAGCCCGTCAGGGCACGCAGAGCTGGCCGCACCTCATTTATCAACAAGTAAAAACCTCCTCCTCGCGATGAACAGATGACCCTAAGCGCAAGATCAGAGAGACAGCCGGTCTCCCGCAGCTTTCCAGAGACAATGTGCTTTGAAACAAGGCGCCTGCTCTTCCATCGACAATGCAAAGGCTTGCATTATTAAACAAGCTGCTTAATAATTTAGGCTGAAATAAACTTGGAACACAGAAGAAAGCGCTCCGTCTGCCCTTGCAGTAATGAAATGCTATTGAACTTGGGTTTGGAGGGATGTGGACGTCCAGTTCAAATGAATTATGATACCTTGGGGCAGCCATGGACAAAGAGCCTGTGACTAATGCCTTAAGTGAGCCCACTCAGCGCACCTCTCAGACCTCACAGAGCAGAGAACCCAAAAGCCCAGTCCCTGGGTCTCCTCCAGGCAGTCCACAGGGATTTCTCCTGTGCTGTTTCCACTGTCAGCCGGGAGACCTCGGCAGCACAGCCTGGGGGAAGCCACAGAGCTTCATCGAGGCACTCTTGCCAGACAGAGTCCGCCTGCAGCCCTGTCTCTGCTCTGTGCCCAGCCAGTGTGAGGCTTAGGGGGTCCTTCATTTCCCTCTCCTTGTTGGAGCCCAGAGCCAGCGATGGCAATCCTGCTCTTTCCTCTCGGGTCTTCCTCACTGCTTCTGTGCAGTGAACATCCTCCCTGCTAGGGTCCCCTGTAGCCAGAATCACCTCAGCCCTTCCAGGCTAAAATGCAAGCTGCTTCCCCAGGGCCTCTCATCCCAGGGGCCTGTCCTTCCTCACCCTGGCCATGCGGTCGCCACCAGCTCGCGGTGTGCCCAGGGTCTTCCCAGATGCTGGTTGCTCCTGGCGTCAGAGGCCTGTGCGCTCTCCCCTGCCTGCCAGGCTCTACTTGCCTCTGGAGCCGTCTCCAACTTCTGCAGCCCTGGGCACCCTCCCCACACCGCCATGCACACCCTGGTGCTCCTGAAGCCCCCCAGAGCGCTCCTCAGGTCCGGCCTCCCCTTTATTCCTCCTTCCCTCCCCCGAAGTGTGCTGTGGGATAGGAAGGGAGGTGATTTCCCCTCAGGCCCATCTCGAGTCCCGGTGTCTCCATGTGGGCTCGGGCTGCAGGCCTGGGCTGCCCCTTCAGGTTTGCCAGCCAGGCCCCCACCACGACTGGCTCCTGAGGCACCAGTGCAGGCCCCTGCCTCACCCAGGCTGAAGTGGGGTCCTATTTTGGAGCAGCTTCTCAGCCGTGCTGCTTGCAGGAACCTCTCTGGTGAGGTGAGGGCCCTGAGGGTGGGTAGAACCTGAGCTCCCTTGGGGGGTCGTGCTCTTTGCAGGAACGTGGGGGCAAGGCTGCCCGAGTCCGAGGGGGAGGAGCAGCTGGCGTTGCCCGTTTCATCTTCACAGCTGCCTGCAGCACTTTCCAGTGGTGACTCAGAGTCAGGCTTTCCCCCGTGAGGCTCCACGAGCCCAGGGTCTCCTTGAAGTCCCCTCAGGGGCCCTCCCACCCATGGGGACAGTGAGCTGAGAGCAGGAACGTGACACTGCCTGTGAAGGGGAAGGGCGTCGCCGACGTGGGCGTGGACTGTCGTCATTGGACGGAGTCCGTCAAGGCTGGGGACACGGGGACGGAAGCGATCTGCAGACAGCAGTTCTGTGGCCACAGCCTGGCTGTGTGGCGATTCTCAGCCGAGGACCGGCGGGCACGGGAGGAAGGGCGAGGGAACGTGGCTTCCTCTCACACAGTAGCAGAGGCTCCATGCGGTGCTGTCCAGGAGCCACGTGGGGTCACACAGGAAATACCACGGAGGAGAGAGTGGGCAGCGGACGCGACGAGGGCGTGGCTCCTGGAGGCAGAGCTGAGAGCCATGGGGACGCTCCTGGGAGAGCAGGAGTCGGACGAGGCTTGGCTGTTCCCGGGCTCCTGGCAGCCAGTGTCACCCGAGAACATCAGAGCCCACTGGGTCTCCGTGGATGATTGTTGTGACAGTAACAAAACCAGCAGCCATCATTTGTGGGGCTGCGCTCACGGCCAGCGCCTTGGCTCTTAAAGGCACAGTGCTGGGCATGGCTGGGGGTGCTTTGCTGCCTTAACATGCCAGATATGCCAGTGGTGAGCGGGGACCCTGGGGCCTGAGCAGCTCAGGGGTTAGCTTGCAGTGATGCAGGTGGTGAGTGGTGGAGCTGGGATTTGAACCCAGAGCCTCTGGCAGGAGGGTCCCAATGCTTTACCTGCCCTCTACTCCTGGGGGCTGTGCAGGAGTGGGGAGGCCAGCGCTGGGGGGCCGCACTTGGTGTCTACATTCCTGGAGCCTTTGGGGAGACGCAGAGGCCAGGCCCCCCGAGCATCGCCTATGTGCTGAGGACTCCGGATTCTCTGCTGATGGCAACAGGGAGCCAAGGATGATTCTAAATCAGGGAGAATCATGGTCAGATTTGTGTCTTAGGAAGGTTGCTCTGCAGTGAGCGTTGTGGGGCCATCAGATGAGATGCCAGAAGCTGGTGCCTGCAGGGCGGTGGGTCGTGCAAGGCAGTGGGTCACGCAGGGCGGTGGGACTGCAGATGCAGGAAGAGGTGGCCGTGCTCAGAAGCGGGTTCTGGAAGTGGGAGAATCTGAGCGAGACCCAGGGGTGTTTGGATGTGAAGATCTTGGAGCAAGAGGGGTACAGAGCTGAGCTTCTGTTTGGGCACCTGGAGGATGGATGGAGATGTTCTTCCGTACACCCGGTGTGTGGGAAGGAAGAGGAAGTTCAAAATGTTTCATGTAAGGATCGTGGGGTCTGCCCAACGAAGTGCTCAGAAGGAACCAACTGTCACTCCTGGTAAATTTTATGCTGTTTTTTTACCACAATAAGATATATACATGTGGCCGACTACAGTGGCTCACACCTGTAATCCCTACACTGTGGGAGGCCGAGGCCAGTGGATTACTTGAGGCCAGGAGCTCGAGACCAGCCTGGCCAACACAGTGAAACCCCATCTCTACTAAACATACAAAAAAATTTAGCCAGGCATGGTGGCAGGCGCCTGTAATCCCAGCTACTTGGGTGACTGAGGCAGGAGAATCACTTGAACCCAGGAGGCGGAGGTTGCAGTGAGCTGAGATCACGCCATTGCGCTCCAGCCTGGGTGACAGAGTGAGACTCCATCTTAAAATATATACACACATATATACATGCATAGTGAATCTGTAAATATATACATATAAATTCCAGAGAGTGGGCTTAGTCATGCTTAAGCCATATTTCATTTTCTTTTGAACTGTGATTTTAGGAACTTTCTTCTCATTATGGCTCAGAAGATGGCGGGGAGCATACAGCCCCTCCCTCTGCTCTCATGGGGGTGGTGCACTCAATCACGCCAATCTCCCAGGGAAATTGCCCTCTGTGCTGTGGGCAGGTGGGCCAGATCCCAGGGCTGAGCCACGCCTCTGGTGCCTGTGGGTCCCTGTCCAGCCAATTCCGTGCTGAAACCAGATGCAGGGGCTGCAATGGCAGGTCCCCACTGAAGCACAGGGAAGCTCAGGCTTGCTGGGTGGGTGTAATGCTTGCATTAAAATAAAACCATCTGAAATATTTATGTTGCTCAAAAGCATGAAACTTCAGGGCCATGGATAAAAAGCCAAAGAACATTATTCAATTTAGAATATTATTCTACTTAGTCACCAACCCTGCAGTGCAGGGGCAGGAAGGATAGAGGGCCTTCAGTATGTTCACAAACATAACTATGTGGTCAAGTCCGGGCTCGGTGGCTCACGCCTGTAATCCCAGCAATTTGAGAGGCTGAGACGGGTGGATCACCTGATGTCAGGAGTTCAAGACCAGCCTGGTCAACATGGGAAAAACCCATCTCTACTAAAAATACAAAAAATGAGCCGGGTGTGGTGGCACGCACCTGTAGTCCTAGCTACTTGGGAGGCTGAGGCAGAATTGCTGGAACCTGGGAGGCAGAGGTTGTGGTGAGCTGAGATCACGCCATTGCACTCTAGCCTAGGTGATAGAGTGAGACTCCGTCTCAAACACAAAACAAAACAAAACTATATACATACATATATATATATATATACACACTAAGGTGTGTGTGTGTGTGTGTGTGTGTGTGTGTGTGGTCAAATGCAAACAGAGGCAGTCTTCCACGGCCCGGTTCCCTGCGGATACACACTGAATGTGGGTGGTCATCTTGGAGCCTCCGTGTGGAGACCCCACGAGGTCTCCTTAAATTCTTTCCCACCACACATGCTCCACTGCCTTCTGGCATCGGAAGGCCTCCCTCCTGGCCCAACTCCTCATCCTCCGGGCCCTGGACCCACCGTGGCACCTGCCTCATGGTTCCTTTTTCCAGGAGCTTCTGCCCCTGACTCTGCAGACGCTCCTCTCTTCTGTCAATAAACAAGCTCAACTCCCACCCACTGCAAAATTCATTTCCGGGACCTGCTCCCCCAAGCAAACCCTGACTCTCTCGTGACTCTCTCTGTATTTCCAGAAGGCAGGACATGGAGATGCTCGGCCCCTGAGTGCCCCCACCCAGCTCCTGCTCCCGGCACCGCTCTGCACACTCTCATGATGGTCCTGCCTGGCACACAGTAGGTGCACAAAAAATCTTTGCAGAATGCGTATAGGAGAGGGAAACGGGGCCGTGAACCGGGCATGTTCTAGTCCACCTGCATTGATCTCCGCTGACCCTCCCTCCCTTCCTGGGGTTCCCTGCACCCCAGCTTTGTGGATGCACATTCTCCTTCCTCTTCTTCACCTTAGGCGGTTTCTCCACAGCCCCCACGGCGCCCCTCTGACCCATCAGTAAAACATGCATGGACCCCTGGGTGGTGCTCAGGCGCCCTCCTCACTGTGTGTGCTCAGCTGTCCTCCTCACTGTGTGTGCTCAGCCGCCCTCTTCACTGTGTGTGCCGAGGACCCCTGGGTGGTGCTCGGCCGCCCTCCTCACTGTGTGTGCTCAGCCGCCCTCCTCACTGTGTGTGCTCAGCTGTCCTCCTCACTGTGTGTGCTCAGCCGCCCTCCTCACTGTGTGTGCCGAGCTGGGGCGAGTTCACCCTATAGCACGGCCTCAATCTATGCATCTATGTCAATGCATCGCAAATCCGTCTGAACTGACTGGGCATCTTCCCAGAGATACAACCCTGGACATCACTCAACCTCCTGGAAATCTCTGCCCGAATGTCCCTCAGGTGCCAGCATGCTCCAAAACACCTCTGCAAGCAGCCCCGCAGGACTCTCCTTAAACGGGCAGCCCAGCCCTCTGTCTCCCACCCCAGCCGTCCACCAGCCCTCCAGGCTGCACCGCTGGGCACCGCTCCCTACCCAGCCCCTTCTACATCCCTACATCCATTCTGTTCCAGGCAAGTCTCACCAATTCTGTTCCTAAGTACTTTTCAGACTGGGCTCAGGCCCTCCATGACTAACACCATGGTGCTACTATGAGCCTCCCTGCATTTTCCCTGGAGGAGCAGGAGGATGGTGGGAGGGGGAGCAGCAGGGGGTCTTTATGCTCTGCTGAGGATGTGGCAGATGCTGCACCAGATACATCGCTGGTGGGTCTGCGCCGGCTTCACAGATGAGGTCACCGAGGCTCACAGCAACCTGGCCTCAGCCCCTGCTCCTCGCCCCACGCTGTGCTTTACTTTTTACCTTGCATGGTGTCTGGCGTACACAAAACAGTCAGTAAGGCCGGGAGCAGTGGTTCACATCTGTATTCTCAGCACTTTGGGAAGCCAAGGTGGATGGACTGCTTGAGGCCAGGAGTTCAAGACCAGTCTGGGCAACACAGCTAAGCCCTGTCTCTACTAAAAATACAAAAATTAGCTGGGCGTGGTGGTGCATGCCTGTAGTCCCAGCAACTCGGGAGGCTGAGGCGGGAGGAGCCCTTGAGCCTGGGGAGGTGGAGACTGCAGTGAGCTGTGATCACACCACTGTACTCTCGCCTGGGTGACAGAGCAAGATCCTGTCTCAAAACAAATAAAATAAAATAAAATAAAAAGCCCAATAATGTAATTGTGTCAATAGTAAACATTGATCCTGTACTGTGTTTATTTTTTACTGCTGCCATTAAAAAATCACCTTTGACCGAGTGATGTAACAGCACAGAGCGGGTGCATCACCCCGCAGCTCTCGAGGTCAGAGGTCAGCCGTCCAGCCTGGGTCTCATGGGGCTAATATTGAGGTGTGGGCAGGGCTGCATCCCCCAGGGGCTCCAAGGGAGGATCTGTCTTTCCAGCTTTTAGAGGCGTTTTCCTCCTTTGGCTTGCGGCCCCTCCTCCATCTCCAAAGCCAGCGCCATCGGCCGAGTTTTTCTCTTGCTGGTGTCTCTCTGCTTCCACGGGAAACAGGCCAAAGAGGCAGCAATAACGTGGCCAGGAGGGTCCGAGTGCCAGGAAGGGGAGGGAGGAGAGGGTCTGATGACGTGGCCAGGAGGGTCCGAGAGCCAGGAAGGGCAGGGAGGAGAGGGTCTGATGACGTGGCCAGGAGGGTCCGAGAGCCAGGAAGGGGAGGGAGGAGAGGGTCGGAACAGAGCATTGTCAGCGGGTCACACCACGAGCCAAGGATGCAGAATTTCCACCTGAGTCCAGCCAGGAGTTCACGGAGCTTGGTGATAATTTGTTAGAGCAATGGCGGGGACAGGAGCAAGTGGCAAAGTTGGAAGGATCCAGGAAGATGTGAAGACCAGGTCAGGTAAACGCCTGACAACATCTCCTTCCTAAGGTCCCCAAACCATCCCTTTGAGGAACAGGTTGTGGAAAGCACCAAGGTGCGTGTGGACTCTGCTCCCCCCAAAACCTTCAGGCTTTGGCACTTGAGTCCTGCCCACGACTCACAGGTCCCCGTTCACGGGCTGAGGCCTCTTCGGGAAGGTGAGGCCACCCTGTGTGACACCAACAGGCGAGGAAGGCCGTCGGTTGATACAAGAACGTCTCGTGGGCTCCCACAGACCCTCCCTGAGCTGCAAATTCACAAGCAGTTAACCTCGATGAAGACCTCCGCGGCCTTCGTGGACAGTTTAATCATTTGCTCCACGCATTGCCATGGTGCAGACATCTGATTTACCGGGTGACAAAGAGGAGCAAGCTGGTACTCGCAGCCAGAGGTATCCGGGGGGAGGCTGCCTTCCCTGTGTTAAGAATGAAATAAGAGTGCTTCTAAGAGGACGCCCTCCCCGCAACTCTCCTCACTGAGCCAGAAGACACACAGCAGAGGAAGGCAAGCTCTTCTCCAAGGACCCCGTGGGGCTGTTTGTCGGCTCTGCCTGCGCTGGAGCAGGAGGTGTCGGGAGTGGGAGCCGATGTTCCGTGGGGCCCCTGGTGGTTGGCGTGTTCTGAGTTAAACTCACAGCTGACCCCTGATGTATAATGCACCATTTATTATTATAAGGTTGCAGTTAAACCTTCTGTTGTGGACACTCAAACACATATGTGGGGAAATAACACACATAGTCACTGTGACTACACCAGAGAAGGGCGTATGAGAAAGAGTTAAATCATCCTCCTTTGGGGAGGAAAACACTTAAAAATATTGGTGTGTACTCTTTAAGATAGTATCCATATATAAATATACAGAGAAATTATATGCATTTAAATATCATGTCACAGCACATATCACATGTCACATTATATATCATATCACATCATAAATCATATCAGGGCCAGGCACAGCGGTTCACACCTGTAATCCCAGCACTTTGGGAGGCTGAGGCAGGTGGATCACAAGGTCAGGAGATCGAGACCATCCGGGCTAACACGGTGAAACCCCATCTCTATTAAAAATATAAAAAAATTAGCCGGGCGTGGGGGCGGGAGCCTGTAGTCCCAGCTACTCAGGAGGCTGAAGCAGGAGAACGGCGTGAACCTGGGAGATGGAGCTTGCAGTGAGCCGACATCGTGCCACTGCACTCCAGCCTGGGTGACTGAGCGAGACTCCATCTCAAAAAAAATAAAAATAAAAATAAAAATAATCATATCATATCATAGTAGGAAGACTAAAGCCCTCCTAAAGACACCTGTGTCCTGATCCCTGAAACCTGTGAACCTGTTACCTGGCTGGTACCTGTTACGGGGGCGCTAGGGTTGCAGGTGGAACTTGGAGTAAGGGAAGCGACCTTGGATTATCCAGGTGGGTCCTGTCTTCTGCTTAAAGGTGGAAGAGGGAAGCGGAGCGATACGATGGGAGAAGGACTCCACCCTCCGTTGCTAGCTGTGAAGACAGAGGAGGCCCTGAGCTGCAGAATCTGGTGGTTCTAGAAGCTGAAACAGTCAAGGAAAGGGATTCTCCCCCGGAGCCTCCAGGAGGCCCTGCCTGCCGAGACTCATGCTGGACTTCTGATCTCTGGACCTGTAAATGAATAAATGAGTGTTGTTTCTCCCCTAGAGCCTCCAGGAGGCCCTGCCTGCGGAGACTCGTGCTGGAATTCTGATGTCTGGACCTGTAAATGAATAAATTAGTGTTGTGTCCGGCCACCAAGTTTGTGGTCATTGGTTACAGCAGCTACAGAAAATTAATACAAATGCTTTGTGCTTTTGAAGTCTTAGTTTCTGAGGCAGCAGCTGATAAAACACAGGACGCTGCATGTGTCTGCAAACACAGTCCGGAACAGCTTGCTTCAGGGATTATCTGCTCCTCCAAAGTGTGATAGATTCCCTTTTCATGACAACCTTTTCCAGGTTTTGTTGGACACGGGAGTCTTTGGCTATAATTTTAATTTCTTTAATAAGTATTGGTCTATTTAAATTCCCTACTTATTTTTCAGCCTGTTTTTGCATTTTGTCTGTTTATCCATTTAATCATTTTTCAAATGCATAGGGGTAGAAGAGTGGACAAAATTTTAGCGTGTTTTCATCTCTGCGTCCCTTTAATTCCTCTGCATCACGGTTGCCCTCTTCCCTCTCTCTGTGATTTGTCTTTCTCTCCTCTCCCTGCATGGTTCTTACTCTGATTTGTGGAAAGCCTATTCTATAATCTCTGTAAAGAATCAGATTTTGGTTTCCTTTGTGGTCCAATCACCTTTTCTATTTCACTGATTTTTGAAATAGATTTAAAATATATTTTTAATTGACAAATAATAGATGTATATATTTATGGTATACAACATGGTATTTTGATATGTGTATGCATTGGGGGAATGATTAAATCAAGCTAATTAACATTTTGTTATATAAACTTTTAAATTATATTATCACCTCACTTACCCACCTTTTTTTCATAGAGAGAACATTTAAAGTCTCCTGAAGCAAAGTGAAATGTTTAATACATTACTTATTCTTGACAATAGTCACTGTGCTGTGCAGTGGATCTCAAAACCCTTTTCTTCTGCTTGAAAAACTTTGTACCTAATCCCTATAAGCAACACAGATGGACTTGGAGAACATGAGGCGAATGAACTATTTCAATGATTTTCATCCTCTTGTTTCTCGTTTCTATATTTCTGGTTTCTTTGGGTTGTTCTGATGTGTTTTCCAAACTTCTTGATTTGAAAAATTAGTTTATTGTTTCTAATCTTACTGGTTTCCTGGTTAACACAAGGAAAGCTATACATTTTCTCCCTGAAGATTTTCCTTCCTGACTGCTTTTGCTGTGTCCGCACATTTTACATGTAATATTTTTATCTTCATTTAGTTCTAAATACTTAAATTAGTTTTCTATTCTTCTTCATAACCCAAAGTTTACATAAGAAAACATTTCTTCGTTTCCAAACACTTTGACAATTTAGATACATTTTTGAAATTAATTTCAATATTGATTGTATTATAGTTGGGAGATCTTTTTCTGTATACTATTTAGACTGAGAATGATTGAAACTTTATATGTCTATGCTTATAAATACTTCCTAGATCTTGAAATTATTGATTCAGTCTTTACCTCTCCTTTCTTTCTGTGTTTGGTTGCTTGATCTAAAAATATCCTCAGAGTAGTTAAAATAGCCAACCACAACATTTGACTTAGCTGTCTCTTCCAGCAGCTTTTTTTAGATCTTGCTGATGTGCTTTTCAGCTGTGTGATTTGACGCTTGCATGTTGATGATAGCTATGTGTCAGTTTAGCTGTCCTCTTACTCCTCCATCGCATCCTGCCTTGATCTTCAGGGTATGATGTAGTTGCCTGTGATTTTCTCCAACGTTGTGGTTGCTATCTAGCCTTACTTGGATTCATATTTAGATAGCATATCCTTTCCATCTGTTTCTTGTCCATCATTCCGCATTCTTCTGTTACGTCTCCTACAGATCACATGCTGTTGGCTCTTTTTTATTTTTCATTCAACCTGAAAAGTTTTGTCTTAACTTTATTTTAAATGTTTATTTGGTAGAACTTACCTCTACTATTTTATTTCATTTTTCCATTTGTCATTTATCCTTTTATTTATTTGGTTTACTTTCATTGCATTCTCTGTATTTTCTTCTGTTTGCCAAGTTGCATAACCTATTTTATTTTACTAGTGGTTACCCTTAAGACCATACTCATATTTATTTACCACTATTGATTTTTTACCATATAGATTTTTATGTTGTTTTTCTAAGAAGACAATTAGTTTAGCACGCTCATGTTCCTTTCTGAGTTGTCATGAATATTCTTTCTTTTACCTCTTTGGCTTAGCTTATTTTCTTAAATTTTAAGATAATGGCACATAAATATTAGATCACTCTTATTCTCCATCTTGCTTGTAACATCTCTAGATTTGCTGATTTTACTTGAAAAATTCAAGAATTTTTTTTGTGTTGTTGCTTGGTTACTTGTTTTTTTACACATAAAAGACAACATGACTAGATAATACATTTCTAAACTCAAACTTATTTTCTTTTAATACTTACATCGATTGCATCCGGAGAAATCTGGCATGAGTCTTACTGCTGTTATTGTGAGCAAGCTGCTCCTTCCTCTACAGGCTTTGATCAGTTTCTCTTTGTTTTTGGCGTTCTGGAATTTTGCTATAATGTGTCTAATTAGAAAAAGTTCCTCACTGTGATCTTCAGTCTTATGATTTTTTTTTCGGTTATGTCCATTCTACTATTTATTGTGTTTGTTTTGCATTTCAAATATTGCATTTTCATGCCTAATATTTCCAATTACTTTGTTTTCAGTGAGTTTTCCTTGTCTCATTTTTTTTTCTTTTTTTTGGAGACAGAATCTCACTCTGTCACGCAGGCTGGAGTGCAGTGGGGAGATCTCGGCTCACTGCAAACTCTGCCTCCCGGGTTCACACCATTCTCCTCCCTCAGCCTCCCAAGTAGCTGGGACTACAGGCACCTGCCACCATGCCCGGCTAATTTGTTGTATTTTTTAGTAGAGATAAAGTTTCACCATGTTAGCCAGGATAATCTCGATCTCCTGACCTCGTGATCTGCCCGCCTTGGCCTCCCAAAGTGCTGGGATCACAGGCGGGAGCCACCATGCCCGGCTGTCTCATTTTCTTCCCTTATATTTTGGCATGTATTTGGCCATCCTTATTTTAAGTCTTTCTACCCTTGTTCATAGCAGTTTTCTTGGTTTTCCAGGTGTCTTAGCCTGTGGGAATGTGAGCTTCTCGGTCGCTCCCAGCTGGGGAAGGATCAGAGGGTAAGACATTTTCTACACCAGTCCCTGCCATTTAAACAGAAGAGAGGAGATGTCTTCTCAGGCAGTCACCACGGCTGATTTCACTTGCTTGCCGCTGGGTCAGTCCGCACCTGCTTTCGTTAGCTCCTCTGCAGCAGGCTTCAGACGTGCCCCTTTCTTGAGCAGGGCTATCCTCAGACCTGGATGAGAAGCTGAGAGCACTGACACAGCTGCCTCTGCCCGAATGAAAGTGCCTTGGGAGAATATATTGGTATTAGACTGTACTGAATTGCTAATTCTTGAGGCTTAAGCATATATCTATATCTATCTAGATGTGTGTTTATGTCTATATCTCCTTCAAATAAACAAAATTTATATTACATGAGTGTCTGTGTGTGTGTGTGTGTGTGTGTGTGTGTGTGTGTCCTTCAAATCAAAGAGAAGAACCTGCGACTAACACATTTAAAGAGTGGGCAAAGGACACAAACAATTTAAATAAAGTTGTATAAATGACAAATAAACCTAAAATATGATCGACCTCACTAGACATTTAAAAATTCTAATAAAAACAGGCCAGGTGCGGTGGCTCATGCCTGTAATCCCAGCACTCTGGGAGGCCGAGGTGGGTGGATCACCTGAGGTCAGGAGTTCAAGACCAGCCTGGCCAACGTGGCGAAACCCTGTCTTTACTAAAAATACAAAAATTGGCCAGGTGTGGTGGTGCGCACCAGTAATCCCAGCTACTCCGGAGGCTGAGGCAGGAGAATCGTTTGAACCTGGGAGGCGGAGGTTGCAGTGAGTTAAGATCACACCATCGCACTCCAGCCTGGGCGACACAGGGAGACTCCGTCTCAAAAAAACCAAAAATTTATAATAAAAACAATAAAGACCTCTGTCAAATTGGCAACATTGAAAGGACTCATAGCATTCAGGTTTGACAGGAGGCTGCTGGGGGGCCCCTTTCTGGTTTGCACTGAGGTTCGGAACAGGAGTGACGCTCTAGAAGGGAATCTGAGAGACAAAATATAATCCACACAAAGCTGCGCTCAGCCTTCTCCCCACTGCTGCTTCCAGCCGCCCCCTTTCCTGGCGGGTCCTTCTCCCGCCACAGGCAGCCTCTGGGCTCCCAAGCCCCTCAGAGCTCTGTGGGTGCAGTTGTGTTTGCAGAGGAGCTGGTGGTCCTGGTGGCTCTTGGAATCCCTGCCTCTCTCAGGTGGCCCGGGGGAGTTGGGGGTCTGCTCCCTGCCCTCTTTGGAAGATGCTGCTGCTGCCACTGCCGTGGGGCCTGTGCTCTCCCGTGAAAGCACCACTCCTTCCCATGTGATCCTTGGACGCAGCTCATGAAGAACCTGCTCCCTGGTCGTTACCCAGTTGCTGGCATCTGTTTTCCTTTGGATAATTTTGGCAATTGGTGTTTCTCCCCAGAATGATCCTTTTCAACTACACGGTCTGGATTTGAGTGTATCGCTCTGTAGACGGCGTCCTTGTCATGCAGTGGCTTCGCGGCATCTGAATTCTTTTTCCTGACTCGTTGTTCTTAATTAGAGTTGACAGGGGTGTCTCTATTTGATTGGTCTTTCCAAAAAAAAAAAAAAAAAGATTCTCGGCCTTAATTATTCTGCTGAATTACCGCTCACAAGTCATTACTTTCTGCTTTTGAGTTAATTAAGTTCTTCCTGGCTTCCTTTGGTCTTTGGTTGGTCTCATTCTAATTTCTTAGATTTAATGCTCATTTTATTTATTTTTATTGTTTCTTTTAAAATGGAAATAGTTATAAAAGTAATGAAATTTAACTGAGTGGCGATTTGGCCTCATTTTTAAAGTTCTCAAATGAATTACTTTCTTGATAAATCATAATGACAGTTTTAATTTTTACGTTTGGCCAAGGATTTACTGGAGGAAGTGTGGTGGGCATGGTGGCAGGTGTTTGTAATCCCAGCTACTCTGGAGGCTGAGGCAGGAGTATTGCTTGAACCCAGTAGGCAGAGGTTGCACTGAGCAGAGATTGTACCACTGCACTCCAGCCTTGGTGATAGACCAAGTCTCAAAAAATAAATAAATAAATAAATAAAAATAAAAAGATGTATCCTTACCAACAAAATCCAAAAGAGTCTAGGCATTCATAAAATTCTTTAGAACTGAACCATGTGCCTCTTGAATTGCGTCTAAAGATTAAGCGAGGGCCACTGGATATGAACAGAGAGGACAGCTCACGATTCCATTGCTCGCCGTTGCACCTGCCCTGCCTGATGGGTTTAGGTCGTCTATTAGCTTGAGCTGTGGTCCTTCCCTTTCAATTAAATCAAAGGTAGCTGCTCCAGACTAATCAATTTGGAAGCATTTATTGAGTGTTAAACATAAGCCTAACTGGACTCAAGAGCCTGTGTTTTTGTAAATAAGCTCAAACTTGATGCATCTTGGATTTCACAGCACAAACCAGACTTCGGGCAATTGTAGGCATTCGTATTTGTGATTCACATAAAAATACTATCAGCTTATTCCTGGAACGAATGTTTGCGGTCCCCCACCCCGTTCACATGTTGTGACCCTAACCCCTAATAGGATAGCATTTGGAGATGGGATCTTTGGGAAGGAATTAGGTCATGAGGATGGAGCTAATAAAAAACAGGATTTGAGCCCGCATACAAATATATGAGAGCACTTGCTCTTTCTCTCTCTGCTGTCTTCCAGGCATGGAAACAGGAGGAAGATGGCTATCTGTCCACCAGAAATGGGCTCCCACCCATGGACCTGCCAGCACCTTGATCTCAGACTTCTTGGACTTCAGAACTGTGAGGAGTGAATTGCTGCTGTTTACATCACCCCGTCTTTGGTGTTCTGTTTCAGAAGCCTGAATTGACCAGGATAGGAGTTGGTACTGAGAACGGGGTGCTGCTGTCACAATCACCTAAAAATGTGGATGCAGCTTCAAAGTGCATAGGAAAAAATTCTGACATTGCTGCCAATGGACTTTGCAAGGTGATTGTGACGAGGGCCCAGAAAGGAAAAAGAGCTATAGAGAAAGTTCTCATCTTCTTAGAGAATACGTACTTCACTATGTACTGAACATTGGTGGAAGCAGGGGCGTTAAGAGCTCCTCTGCTGAGGTCTCAGATGGAAAGGGGGAACATATGATTGGAAACTGCAGGAAAAGCCGTGCTTGTCATCAAGAGGCAAAGAAGGTAGCGGAACTGTGTTTGTGTTCTATCATTTCAAGACAAGCAGAGCTTGTCAGTGATCACATTCGATATTTAGCTGAGGATCTCTAAGCAAAATGTTGAAGGAGCAGCTTGGTTTCTCCTGAAGAGAAAAATGAACAGAGATGGAATTACCAAGGAACCAGAAATTAAACAATTGGAAAATTCCATGTTACAAAAAATAAAACATCTTCAGCGAAGAACACCAAGGTTGTGGTGACTTGACGACCTGATAAGGCGATTGGTGTGGGTGTGAGCACAGACCTTCTCCGTCATCTCCGCAGAAACCAGGGCTGAGATGGGGTCAGGGCAGTGGAAGCTCTGCAGAGGGATTCTGGGAAGCAGAGGATGTGGGCAGAATGAAGGGGGACCGTGCAGTGTTCTGTCCTCCAAGAAAAGGGGAGAAGCGCCCCAAAGGTTATTCAGACATCGTCAGGATGGCCTAGATTTCAATGAGGCGGAGGGCTTCCAACAGAAGCCACGGGGCTGGCAATGCCTGGCAGAGCCGCGGCAGGGGTCAGGGCCTGGGCAGCACCCCACTGAGCTTTGGAGGTGGCGTTGCCACCATAGTGGGCCCGGCAGGCAGACTTTCAAGCCAAAGAGGAAATTCTCATGGAACCTGCCTCGCTGGGATTTGGACCCGCTTGGGACTTGTCATCCTTTCCTCCTTCCATTCCTCCCTGCGGGAGGGAGCGCCTGTTCAGTGGCTGTCATGACATTGTGTTTTGGAAGCACGTCGCATTGGGTTTGCAGAGGCATGGCTGGAGAGGAATGCTGCCTCGGCATGGCTCTGGCCTCGGCCTCCCTTACTTTTGATTTAGGCGATGTTAAGGCAGGCTCTGGGTTTTAACCCTCACAGCAGCTGGGGTGAGTTATGGCTGTGGGGGCTGTTGGGATGGAATGAATGTGTTTTGCCTGTGAGGAGGACAGTTGGGGTTGGTGGCAGAATTAGAGGCTGGGTGTCTGCACTCCCCACTGCCAGCATCACATGCTGAAATCCTAATGAGCCTCCTTGTTATTTCCCTGTTTTCTCAATCCCTGAAAACATCTTTGGAATTTCCACCCGACAGATACTGTGATAATAGAAGTTATTTCATCTCCAGGGAATGTTTCCAAACTTCTAATGAACCCATCTGGAATGTACCAATTAACCAGGAAATGCATGACCCTCTCCCACTCTATTTTGAAATGAAAGCTCTGTGTTCACCCCAATCGGACCCTTTACAGGGATCCTTCAGGGTTTAATCACGCACTGTGTGGTCACCCCAGTTGGACCCTTTACAGGGATCCTTCAGGGTTTAATCACACGCTCTGTGGTCACCCCAGTCGGACCCTTTACAAGCATCCTTCAGGGTTTAATCCATGCTGTGACAGGGTGAATGAGATTCAGGGCATCGTGACTTTGCTCAGCTTGACGGATTTGCTGAGGATGGCTTGGAGACAGGCTTGCAGCCAGCCTGGGTGTGCTCAGACCCCTGAGGACGCTGGCCAGTGCCTGATGCTCCAGAGTGTCCTGTTCTGGGGACCACCTGCCGGCACCCAGCCATGAGCGCCTTGAGGAAGCCTCCTGTGACCAGCAGTCAGTGAAACTCTGTCTCCACCCTCAAGAGGAGGAAGGAAACTCAATTCTGTTAGGGTTAGCTCTCTAGGACGTGAGAGAGATCCGCCACGTCAGGGGACCTTTCAGCGGGCACCATCCTGTTTCCTCTCTGATGATATCCACCGTCTGTACTTACCATCTATAGAATTGTTAGAAAACAAATGTTTAAAATCTGTTTATGAACATATTTTTTAAAATTTCACTGTCTTTTAACACAATGGAGAATTTCTGACTGACTCTGGAATGTTTAAATATTTACACATATTTAATGCTCATTGCTTTGCATATTACTATTATCCCATACAGTAAATCCAAATGAAAATGTGAAGACAATGATATAATCAATGTTACAAAGTACAGTCTAAATTATCGCTTATGAATCCATTCTGTGCTTGTTGATTGAAAAAAAGATTGATGAAATTCACTGGTACTGAACTAAATTGCTAAAATCTTTAAGCTTCCTTGAATTAAGATGATATATATATGTGCGTATATAATATATAGATAAATATATATCTCACACTTCAACAAGAAAAATACAACTAAAACAATTAAAGAATGGAAAAAATTATATGAACAAGCAAATTAAAGAAATATGTATAAATGGCAAATAAACATAAAATACAATCAATCAACCTCACTAGTATAAAAACAATGATACCTCTCTCAAATTGGCTAAATTGGAGGGATTCTCAACATTCAGGATTGGTAGGGGCTGGGGAAATGTGTGTCCTCCTGAACTGTGGCTCAGTCCTTGGATTCATTCATTCAGTAAACGTTCCCAGGCCTGGAAAGGCAAGGGGAGATGATAGGAGCCCCGTGTCTGTCCACAGGGTGTCCACAGCTGATGGAAACACAGCCAGGCCGATCGATGGTCAGAACATGGATTAGCTGCAGACAGTGAAAAATTCTAAGGAGAAATCATGAAAATAAACCAGAGAAAATGGATACGTTTCAGGGGCAAATTGGCGGCATCTATCACATTTTAAATGTGCATTTTCTTTTATGCAGCAGTTTTAGGTTTGAAAATCTCTGCGGAAGTCTGTGCATGTGCAGAAAGTGGCCCCCAGGAGGATCCTGCAGCCCTGCTCCCGAGAATGAACATTTGCAGACGACGTCAACGTTCACGGGTTGGAAACCGGTTATGTAAATGATGATGCATCCATGTCGCAGATTCACGTACATCAGTTCCATGAAAGGAGGCCGACCTCAGTGGCAGAAAGGCACCGGGAAGTACTGAGGAAGGAAGGAAGCAAGTTGTGGTGTAGAAAGCGCCACTCCATCGGCACCAGGAGGCGTGAAACGGCCATGTTCACGGACACCAGCACCCTTTCCCTGCCCAGTGCAGGAAACCAGGAGAAAAACACGAGGAAAAAAAAATCAAGCACCACCTCAATTTAACCACAGAGAAGAGGAAGGAGTGAGGCCGAAACCCCTCAGTTCCCTGCCGGGCCCTGCCACATCTGACGTGACCCCTCTCCCCGCGGGTTTGATGCGGCTCCCCTCTGTCCTCCAAGAGAAGCACCCCAAAGGCATTCAGACATCATCAGGATGGCCTCGGTTTCAACAAGGCAGAGGGGTCTCAACAGAAGCCATGGGGCTGGAGATGCCTGGCAGAGCCGCGGCAGAGGCCAGGGCCTGGGCAGCACCCCACTGAGCTTTGGAGGTGGCGTTGTCACCTGCCTCTGCCGGCTTGTCCCCTTGGTCACTTGGCTCCAGCCAGCCTTGTCCATTCCCCATGACTCCAGCCTCAGAGGGCGGCCCCGGCTGGAGGGCTTGTCACAGGGTTGGCCTGCCTGGGACGCGATGCCGGGGGATCAGCCTGGCTGTTCCCTTACTGCATGCGTCACTCTGCCATCATCTGGGTAGGAGTGCAGACTCTGATGCTTGTAACTCTAACTGCAGGCAGACCCACGCTTTCCCAGACACTGCCGTGACCCTCCCGTAGCCCTTCCTCACCTGGGGTACTGCCTCCATCCCTCTGGCCCTAGGAACACTCATCCCAGTTATGACTTGCTCCCTTTATCTGGAAATCAGCCGCTTGTGCCGTGACCGTAAGCCCCTCTGTGGAGGCCGCTGTGGCGTCGGAGCTGGCCTTTCTATCGTTTAGTTTCTACCAGGACAAGAACTTCCTGGATGAGGAAACTGCCTCGGCCACTGCCCATCTGCGTGGAATCCTTTAAGTGGTTCTCCTGGCCATGGAGAACGAATCATGGAACTTAGAGCTCAACCATTTGTCTCTATTTTCCATGTGTGGTACAGAAACCAATTTTCCTGTGACTGTTCCTTAAGGATGAACCTCTAGACGCTGTTTTGGTGAATAATTCTGTAGCTCACTTGCAAACGGCATTGCACTCTGTCTGCCTTAATGAGAGCATAAACAGAGCCTTAGTCACACATCAGAGAGTGAGGGGCTGCCGAGGGCAGGGAGGCAGGGTTGAGAATGAACAGAGAGACAGTCTTGGCAGCCGGCGGTCGCAGACAAGCTTTCTGCTTAAAACCAGGCCACTGCGGGAACATAGACACGAGCCATCTTCAGGAACTATTTGAAGTCAGCTGGAGCTCAGGCGGGCACCGTGCAGCCACGGAGTGCCGACTCCATCTCAGCCGGTGACTGATGAACTGGAGATCCGGAGATGCAGACCTTCAGCGTCCCGCCATCTGGGGCCCAGCGGCAACCTGGTCCCAAAGGCGGTGAGGCAGGAAATGGGTTGTTAAACAGGGAGAAGGTCAGGAGCCGTGGGGCCGAGATCTGCCTCTGAAAGTGGAAGAGAGGACCCCCGTGCTGCAGACACCCACAGCTGCAGACGCCCACAGCCGAGCCAGTGGAGCCGTTCTGGGCAGGTGTAAGGCCGTGGTGTCTCAGGGGACATCCCGTGTCACAGCCCGGAGGTGTGGGGGTGAGAAGTTCCTTAAGGGAAATTTGAATCACTCTTAGCATTAATGCTGGGGGGATTGCAATATGTTCTGCAAAGTAAGCATCAACAGGAACTGTTTTTTCTTTGTAATGTTTTAATTGTGGTAAGATATACATAACATTTACCTTCTTTACCACTGGTGAGTGAACTGTTCCGTGGCAGTGAGCACATTCACAGGGTCCTACAGCCATAACCACCCCCCATCTCCACAACTTCTTCATCTTCCCAAACTGAAACTCCAGCCAGGAGCTGTGGCTCACGCCTGTAATCCCGGCACTTCGGGAGGCCAAGGTGGGCGGATGACCTGAAGTCAGGAGTTCAAGACCAGCCTGACAAACATGGTGAAACCCTTTCTTTATGAAAGAAAATACAAAAATTAGCCAGGGGTGGTGGCACATGCCTATAATTCCAGCTACTCAAGAGGCTGAGACAGGAGAATCGCCTGAACCCGGGAGGTGGAGGTTGCAGTGAGCTGACATCGCACCACTGCACTGCAGCCTGGGTGACAAAACAAAACTCCAGGCCCATTAAACACCAACTTCCTCCCACCCTCCGCCAGCCCTGGCATCCCCCATTCTTCTTTCTGTCTCTGTAAATTTGATGCTCTAGGGCTCTCCTAGAAGTGAAATCATACAGTGTTTGTCATTTTTGTGAATGGTTTGTTTCACTTGGCACAATGCCCTTAAGGTTCATCCGTGATGGACCATGTGTCCGACTTTCCTTCCTTTTCGGGGCCGAAGCTGCCCTCTGTGTGTGAGGACCGCATTGCCTTACTGCTTTTATCCCTCCAGCTGTCGACAGATGGGCCCCTGGGCTGCTTCCACCCTCTGGCCGTTGTGAAGAAGGCTTCTACCAGCAGGGGTGTGCAATGGTCTCTTTGAATCTCTGCTTAAGAATCATAATTGCTAGAAGAGTGAGATGTGCAAACCCCACTTTATCTTGCAGTTTCGCAAAACAGGTGGCATGATCTGGTTGGTCCCCAGGTCTTAGGGAGGCAGGGAGGCCGGGCTGCAGAGAGCAGGTGCCGCAGGGTGCCCTGGAGGATGTGGAGGGGCCGCATCAGAGGCACTGGCAGCGCCTGCGGTCAGGGAGAGCACGGCCAGCCCGGAGTTTCTCCCGGTCAGGGACAGAAGCTCCATGGAGTCTTGGCAGGTGCCTCCAACAGCAGAGGTGCTAACTCTGACTTTTGTTTCCAAGCTTTGACCTTCAGGTCCTCGCTGACCCTGGAGGGACTGCTCCCCCGAGCTCTAATCCCTAGAGATGGTGGGTGACTTGCCTCTGAGCACACCTTTCAATACAAACCACTCAGATTGGAGGCCCCACCTCTCCCTCCTCCCTGGGCTCTCACACCCTGGGTCCCATCCTCCAGCCCTCATCGCCCCGGGCCAGGTGGCCGGCAGCCAGGGACAGCCCCTGCCCAGCTCCCACAGGGGTGTCCACACTGGGCAGTCCTAAGCCCGCTGCCCCACCCTGCCCGTTCCTTCCATGGAGCCACAGTAAAGGCTTTGCCCACGCTTCCCCTTCTCTGCGTGTGATGACCCTGGTGCCCCTGCGTGGCCTGGCGTGGCACGGGTGCCCCTCTTCTGGGGATCTGAGGGGCAAACTCTCTTCCCAAAGCAGGTGTTTCCTGCCCTGCTGGCTCTGCCTGACCTTGCATTTCCTACGCATGCTCTGTCCCTCAAAGCCTGTGGCTCTGCTCCTCACAGGCCTGTGAAGGGAGGGGCTCTGAGAGGCCCAGGGCAGGCGGGGGACCCATCGCTGGAGCTACTCTGGGAGTGGTGGCTGGCAGGGGGCCCCATCGCTGGAGCTACCCTGGCAGTGGTGGCTGACCAAGGGGCCATGCCCTCCCAGGCAGCAAGAGCCCTGTCCCATTGCCCCTCAGGACATAAGCCATTGTCCTCTGGCCCTTACTCCCCAAACCAGGCCCTTCCTTCCACCTTTCTGCAGAGATGTGAGTGCCTGTCGCCAATTGTCTTTCTGCTCCTGGGTGGCTGCAATCCAGCATCCACCTGCCCTTACTCGCTTTGTTGCTAATTGAATTGAGATATGACACTAAGCTCCACATGAAGCTCTGGAATTGAAATGGATTTGGAAGAAAACCCAGGCAGAAGCCACTGGCCTGCTCTCCTCTCTCGCAGGGCTGTGTGGAGGGCTGTTTTGCTGACCAGGCCTCGCCTCACAGCCACCTCTCGTGCCTTCTTCTCCCAGTTCCTTAGCTTCACACGCAGGTCAGCAACCAAACCTCCAGGCCTGGAATCCAGCCACGGCCCCAACCAGCAAGGTCAGGAAGGGGCAAGGAGAGGTGTCGTCCCCCCGAGGCCACCACAGAACACTGAGGGCGCTCTGCCATGTGGGCCGACGTGCCGAGCCCATATCCAGTTTCCGAGGACGGCACGGGTGTCCCCTGCTATGCGCTGGCCACTGCCATCTGCCAACCCTCCATACACCCAACACCAGAATGTCGGTCCTCTGGGTGGTTTTTGAGGAAACCTGGGAGGGAGTTAGAATAGGTTGGTAGGGACCGGGGATGGGAAGATTGCTGGATATAAAATCCTGGGAAATGACATTTTTCTCCCCAAGTCGGGTTTGGCCTGGAATGTCGCCGGACTGCTTCGTGGGTGCCAAGGTCAAGGTCAGCTCCCGGTGTTTTGACCTCCCCAGGTCAGCAGCCTGAAGAAGGAGAGAGAAAACGCCAGGAAGTGGCGGAGGTGCGGGCACCGAGGAAGGCCTTTGTGGTGACCGTGTGGGTGGGTCTGTGAGGTCGGTGGGGACCAGGGAAGGAGAGGGTGTGGCTGGGAGCTTCTCACTGCTTTTCCAAAAAGGCCATAGCTCAGGAAGTCTGGTGGCGTGGTTTGCAGGGCTGAATGGAGTAGCCGGCTCCTCGGAGGCAGCCAGGGTCCTGGGAGCTTGGCCGTTGCTGCTCAGGGCCTTGCTTGGAAGCCTGTCTTGGCTCTTGCCAAGCCCACTCTGGTTTCCCTCTCTCCCCTGCATGGTGGCTGCAGGGGGCTCAGGAGGGGCAGCTTGTTCCCAGGTGTGTGAGAGACGGAACCGTCCTGTCTTCCTTTCTCAGAACCAGACAGTTCAGGTAGACAGCATCCTACACCAGCGTTTCCTGGAATTGTTCTTAGCCTTGAGTGACAATGTCAGCAGTGCTGGAAAAGTGGGCTGAGCAGGCAAAGGGGACAGGAGAGGGAGACTCAGGGTCAGCAGATGCCTCCAGGGTGCAGAGAGGGCCCTGTGAGCTCCTCCATTATACCGATGCCTCCAGGGTTCAGAGAGGGCCCTGTGAACTCCTCCATTATACTGATGCCTCCAGGGTACAGAGAGCGCCCTGCAAGCTCCTCCATTATACCAATGCCTCCAGGGTGCAGAGAGCGCCCTGTGAGATCCTCCATTATATCAATGCCTCCAGGGTACAGAGAAGGCCCTGCGAGCTCCTCCATTATACCGATGCCTCCAGGGTGCAGAGAGGGCCCTGTGAGATCCTCTATGATACCAATGCCTCCAGGGTACAGAGAGGGCTCTGTGAGATCCTCCATTACACCAATGCCTCCAGGGTGCAGAGAGAGCCCTGTGAGATCCTCCATTATACCGGATGCAGACAGGTTCCCTGTGAGCTCCTCTATGATACCAATGCCTCCAGGGTGCAGAGAGGGCTCTGTGAGATCCTCCATTACACCAATGCCTCCAGGATGCAGAGAAGGCCCTGGAGCTTCTCCATTATACTGATGCCTCCAGGGCCCAGAGAGGGCCCTGCAATTTCCTCCATAATACCAATGCCTCCAGGGTGCAGAGAGGCCCTGTGAGCTCCTCCATTATTCTGATGCCTCCAGGACCCAGAGAGGGCCCTGTGAGCTTTCATCATACCAGGAAAACCAGGGGACTGAATCCATGTGGTTCTGTACCAGTGAGCAGTGGGGTCATTTGCTGTCTCTGTGTTGGCCTCTGTCCCTCCGGTTCATGCTGACAAGAGCCAGGGGCCAGTCTTTTGTTGTTGGCATGGGCCCCGCGGCCTGGTTCCTGGGTTGAAGCCGAAATCCTGCATGTGATGTCTGGGCTCCAACTCTCCAGAGTGTCGCTCAGCATGTGGTCTGGAGAGGACTCGAGGGGACGCATTGCTGAAACCCTTTATCATTCCTGACAGCCACCCCTCCCTGCGTTGCTGCTTGTAGCCCCTGGTCTTGTTCAACTTGTCCACCCCCCTCACCTTCATCAGCTCATCCCCAGCTCCAGCCCCACCCACCTCTCTTGAACTGGAGGCCTGGGCTCCTCCTCCCTCTGCCAGCCAGGCCCCACCAGCCACCCCCGCCTGTGGGCCCCCACCCAGAGCTGCATTCTCAACTCTCTGACCACGGCTCCCAGAAACGTCTTTCAGGATTTCTGTTCTGGGCCAGGCGTGGTGGCTCACACCTGTAATCCCAGCACATTGGGAGGCTGAGGCAGGTGGATCACCTGAGGTCAGGAGTCCGAGACCAGCCTGATCAACATGGTGAAACCCTGTGTCTACTAAAAATACAAAAATTAGCCTGGCATGGTGACGGGCACCTGTGGTCCCAGCTACTCGGGAGGCTGAGGGAGGAGAATTGCTTGAACCAGGGAGGTGGAGGTTGCAGTGAGCCAAGATCGCACCACTGCACTCCAGCCTGGGTGACACAGCAAGAGTCCATCTCAAATAATAATAATAATAAAAAGAATTTCTGTTGTGATGTCCAAAGCCGTGCCGCGATGCCCTGGCAACACGTTTCCTTTATCCTTACCTACCTTCCCATCTCAGTGACCTGCGGCCATCCTCCCAGCTGTCTGGGACTGCCAGGCGTATCTCAGAATTTCCTCTTTTAATTCCTGTGAATTTCATTTCTAAACACTTCAAATATCATCCGTGTCCTCTCGATTCTTCATAATTGCACCTTTCACCTGGACCAAGTCTCCAGGAGACGGGATGCTCTCTTTCCTGCCTGTTCTCTCCTGCCCCTTCCCTGGCAGACATCAACAATCGGGAAACTCCACCTCTGGAACCCTTCCCAGTTGGGTCCTCAGGGCTGCCCCCTGGCAGACATCAACAATCAACCAGGAAACTCCACCTCTTGAACCCTTCCCAGCTCGGTCCTCAGGGCTGCCTTGTCCATCTGCCAAGGAGCTGCACCGTCTCCTCCCACCTCTGCAACAGCAGCACCTTCACCGACCTGCTCTTATTCATCTTGTCACCATCGTCCATCTTCCTCCTGCCTCTGTGTGGCCACCTGAGCCCAGGCAATGCTTCCGTATCTTCTGAAGTTGGAGATATGCGTGGACAGCAATTCTACGAACAGACATGCACCCTGAGTAGTGTCCTGTGATTGTGGTAAGATGCTGTTTATCGAAACAAAACCAAAGCCTGGAAATAGACGAAAGCTCCCTCGACTGCAAACAGGTCTTCTGTGTCATTACAGGGTCACACCTGTGCAAGGTGATGTCACACAGCCGCGGATGCGGGTGAGGCAGGCTGACACGGACGCCCCTTGCGGGTAGGCTCCTCCATGCAGGTATTTTCTTTCCGTTTTGTTCATTTCTGCCTTTTTAGGGGCTGGAAGGGTTGTGTAGCTCATGGTGGGAGCTGGCACCTGTTAGCTTTAGCCACAGAGCAAGCCACGCCGACGGGCAGTTGTTTAAAGCAATGACGTCATATAGGTCAGGATGGTGTAGGCTGATGATGTGGGCAGGCGAGGCCCTTTCCGGGTGTCCATGGGTCCTGCGTGCCACATGGGACACGTGCTCACCACAACCTCCTCCCCCAGGACAGCGGTCCCAGCAGGGATGCAGCATCAGTGGCCCTCTCTAGGGTCATTGCACAAAACAGGGCTGGCGTTATCTCAGACTATAAGAATGAGCCACTTTTGAATATCAGTTAATGAATATCTTTCTTTCTCTCTTTTTCTTTTTCTTTTTTTTTTTTTTTTTTGAGATGGAGTCTGGCTCTGTCACCCAGGCTGGAGTGCAATGACATGATCTCAACTCACTGCAACTTCCGTCTCCCGGGTTCAAGTGATTCTCCTTCCTCAGCCTCCCAAGTAGCTGGAACTACAGGTACATTCCACCACACCCAGCTTATTTTTTTTTTTTTTTTTTGTATTTTTAGTAGAGAAAGGGTTTCATCATGTTGGCCAGGCTGGTCTCAAACTTCTGACCTCAAGTGATCCGCCTACCTCGGCCTCCCAAAACGTTGGGATTACAGGCATGAACCACCGCACCTGGCCAATTAATGCATTTTTAATAAAATTAAAAAACATGTAAGAAGACTGATAATTAAAGAAAGTACTCACTTAGAAGACAAAGGTGTCCTGGGTGCCACACCCGCCGGGTACGGCTCCAGGTGTCTTGGGAACAAGGCAATGGGTCTGGGAGGAAAGGGAGGTTTTATTTCTTGTCGTGCAGGTCACTCGGTGACAAATAGAATGCAAAATCTCAAATACAATCTCAAAATTAATCTGCTGGGTTTAGACCCAGGACAAAAACATCACAATGTGTAATAGTCAGAATCACCTAGTTTATAGGGCTTTCCTGAGACCAGACACTAATCCAAAAAAGGCTGGAATTACTTAGAGGTATTGTTTCAATTTCTTCCAGTCCGGCTGGAAATCTCCTGTTGATGATAAATAACTGAATATAATTTCTGATGTGACATCTCATTTCCCAAACAGAAGCAGGATGCACTCCCTCAATCCATGTCTTGCAGCTCCTGCTGCCCAGTGGAGGAAAAAAATATCCCACACAGACAGCTCTGCTCGGATTTCAGCACCCTCTCTCCTTCCTCCAGGTCTGCAGAGGCCTGTTACCCGTTAGGCGCAGCAGGCGCAGTCCCTCCTCCCGCTTCTGTTCCAGCAAAACACTCACACAGGCTGAAACATCCTACACCCCAGAGTCAAAGTTCTTAATAACATTTTCCAAAGGACTGAGTGCTTTTTTATGAATGCATGGGGAAAATATGGTGCGGGTTTAATATTGTACTATGAGCCTCTGACGAAGGATTTTAAAAATATGCTTTATGCATGAATATATAAAATAGGCATATGTTGCAGTAAAGTTTCACTGTTGTACATAAAGCATATTATAATAAAAGTTGTGAAGTTAGCCCTTAGTGGAGAATTGAAGAAAGAAAAAAATGCGATGCTTCCAGCCAGCGGGGATGGAGTCTCCCAACACATTCTTTGTTTTGCCATAGAAGCCGCTTACTCTTGCTGGAATGTCTCTGTCGAGCCAAGGCTGGCTAGGCAGTAATGGTGGGGCAGTTATATGATGAATAAAAGGGTCAGAGAGAGGTGCCCCCCCGGGCAGCCCAAGCCCCAGCCAACGGCAGATGCAAATTTGCCTCAGAAATACACATGGATCAAAATCTTAACACTGCACTTTGCAATGCTCTTGGAATGTCCCCAAAGAAGAAAATGAGAGATTTCAAAGCATGAACACTGATGGCTTTTCTTCCAGGCAGATTAGCTTGAAAATTACTGTTGGGGTTATTTGCATTGCACTTAACACTGACTACTGTGTGTTGAGTATTTAATTCTCAGGACAGGCCAGGAGTTCCTTAAAGGCAGAGATTCCTCATGGGCATTGCCCCACCACCCCCTGGACCACACACACACACTCACACACCAGCTCGTCTTATGCCCGCAGCCGTAAGCATTAGCCAGTGATTAGTTGAATGCATTACTGTATTGATGTCTTTTTTTTTTTTTAAACACACTCAATCAACTAAATATAGGCATACCTTAGAGATATTGCAGCTTTGGTTCTAGAGATATTATAGGTTTGGTTTATTAAGCTAATATTGCCATAAAGCAAGTCACAAGAACTTTTTGGTTTCACAGCAGGGATAAAAGTTATGTCTGCACTATCCTGCAGTCTATTAATTGTGCAATAACATTGTGTTAAAATATAATGTAAATATCTTAACTAAAAATACTTTGTTGCTAAAATATGCTAATGATCATTTGAGCCTTTGGTGCTTCGTCATCTTTTTGCTGGTGGAGGGTCTTACCTCGATGCTGATGGCTGCTGACTGATCAGGGTGGTGGTTGCTAAAGTTGGGGTGGCTGTGGCAGTTTCTTTCTCTTTCTTTCTTTCTTTCTTTCTTTCTTTCTTTCTTTCTTTCTTTCTTTCTTCTTTCTTTCTTTCTTCTTTCCTCTTTTTTTTTTTTTTCTGAGATGAAGGTTTGCTCTTGTTGCCCAGGCTGGAGTGCAATGGTGCGATCTCGGCTCACTGCAACCTTGCAACCTCGGCCTCCCAGGTTCAAGTGATTCTCCTGCCTCAGCCTCCTGAGTAGCTGGGATTACAGGTGCATGCCAGCACACCCAGCTAATTTTTGTATTTTTAGTAGAAACGGGGTTTCATCATATTGGTCAGGCTGGTCTCGAACTCCTGACCTCAGGTGATCCGCCCGCCTCAGATGCCCAAAGTGCTGGGATTACAGGCATGAGCCACTGCGCCTGGCCAGTAGTTTCTTAAAATAAGACAACAATGAAGTTTGCTGCATCGATGGATTGTTCCTTTCATGAAAGAGTTCTCTGTGGTGGGCAATGCTGTTTGATAGCCTTTTACCCGCAGTGGAACTTCTTTCAAAACTGAAGTCAGTCCTGTCGATTTCTGTAGCTGCGTTGTCAGCTGGGTTTGTGAAATACTCTAAATCCTTTGCTGTCATTTCAACGATGTTTACATCGTCTTCACCAGGAGTGGATTCCAACTCAAGAGACCACTTTCTCTGCTCATCCATAAAAAACAACTTCTCATTCATTCAAGGATTATCCTGAGACTGCAGCAATTCAGTCCCTCTTCAGGCTCCACTTCCAATTCTAGTTCTCTTGCTGTTTCCACCATGTCTGCAGTGACGTCCTCCACGGAAGTCTTGAACCCCTCAAAGCTATCCCTGAGGGTTGGAATCAACTTCTTCCAAACTAATGTTCATGTTGATATTTTGACTTCTGCCCCCGAATCACAAATGTTCTTAATGGCATCTAGAATGGTGAACCCTACGCAGAAGTTTTTCAATGGACTTTGCCCAGATCCATCAGAGGAATCACTTTCTATGGCACCTATAACTTTACAACATGTATTTCTTAAATAATAGGGCTTGAAAGTCAAAATTACTCCTTCATCTATGGGCTGCAGAATGGATGTTGTGTCAACAGGCATGAAAACATTCATCTCCTTGTACGTCTCCATCAGAGCTCCTGGGTGGCCAGGCGCATTGTCCATGAGCAGTACAGTTTTTAGTTTTGGGGTGTTTTTTTTTGAGACAGAGTCTCAGTCTGCTGCCCAGGCTGGAGTGCAGTGGTGCAATCTCAGCTCACTGCAACCTCCACCTCCTAGGTTCAAGCGATTCTCCTGCCTCATCTTCCTGAGTAGCTGGGACTACAGATGCGTGCCAGGCTGGTCTCAAACTCCTGACCTCAGGTGATCCACTTGCCTCGGCCTCCCAAAGTGTTGAGATTACAGGCTTGAGCCACCGTGCCCGGCTTGAGCAGTACAGTTTTAAAGAAACCTTTTTCTGAGCAGTAGATCTCAACTGTGGGTTTAAAATATTCCATAAATCATGCTGTAAACAGACATGCTGCCATTCTGGCTTTGTTCTTCCATCCATAGAGCACAGGAAGAGCAGCTACTGCATAATTCTTAGGACCTAGGATTTTCAGAATGGTAGGTGAACATCGGCTTCACCTTAAAATCACCAGCTGCATTAGCCCCTAACAAGAGAGCCAGCCTGTCCTTTGAAGCTTTGAGGCGAGGCATGACTTTTTCTCTCTTGCTGTGAAAGTCTCAGGCGGCCTCTTCTTCCAGTAGGAGGCTGTTACACCTGCAATAAAAATCTTTTGTTCAGTGGAGTCACCTTCATCAAGGATCTTGGCTGGATCTTCTGGGGAACTTGCTGCAGCTTCTCCATCAGCACCTGCTGCTTCACCTTGCACTTATGCTCTGGAGATGGATTCTTTCCTTAAACCTCA